>NC_000019.10:45119661-45422692 GCF_000001405.40 Homo sapiens | reverse complement strand
CTCTGCCTCCTGGGTTCAAGCGATTCTCCTGCCTCAGCCTCCCGAGTAACTGGGATTACAGGAGCGCGCCTGGCTAATTTTTGTATTTTTAGTAGAGACGGGTTTCACCATGTTGGTCAGGCTGGTCTCGAACCTCAAGTGATCCGCCCACCTCGGCCTCCCAAAGTGCTGGGATGTACAGGCATGAGCCACCATGCCTGGCCCCTTCCTACTTTAGATAGGAAGGTCAAGGGAGGGCCTCTCTGAGGAGGTGACATCTTGGTAGAGACGTGAAAGAGGTGAGGGAGTGAGCCATGGCGACATCTGGGGTAGAGGGAACAGCCAGTGCCAAAGCCCTGAGGTCAGAGAGAGCCTGCCGTGTTCAAGGGCAGAACGAAGTCTGGTGGGGCTGGAGTAGAGAAAGCAAGGAGAAGTGGTAGAAGGTGTAGTTTCTGAGGCAAGGAGCAGGGACAGATCTAGAGCCTTGTGGGTGATGGTGACAGCTTTGGCTTTCACTCTGAGGCAGGAGCCACCCACCAGCTCTGAGCAGAGGAGGGACATGAGGACTTAGTTAGGGGACAGACTTCCAGGGGGCGAGGGTGTGGGCAAGGAGCTGGTGAGGAAGTGACTTCAGTGGTCCAAGGGTGAAACGCTGGTGGCTGGGACCAGAGTGGAGGCTGAGGAGTGGGGGAGAAGTGGCTGAATTCAGATTTTGAGCTCTCAGCCTTCTGGAAGGGACATTAGGAGGAAGGAGGATGGGCAGCCCTGAAGAGGGGAGAGGGGTCAAGTGCTGTGGCTCACACCTGTAATCCCAGGACTTTGGGAGGCCGAGGCGGGCGGATCACCTGAGGTCAGGAGTTCGAGATCAGCCTGGACAACATGTTGAAACCCTGTCTCTACTAAAAATACAAAAATTAGCCAGCGTGGTGGTACACGCCTGTAGTCCCAGCTATTTGGGAGGCTGAGACAGGAGAATCGCTTGAACCTGGGGGGCGGAGGTTGCAGTGAGCCGAGATCACGCCACTGCACTCCAGCCTGGGTGACAGAGCAAGACTCCATCTCAAAAAAAAAAAAAAAAAATTAGCTGGGCGTGGTGGTGGGCACCTGTAATCCCAGCTACTTGGGAAGCTGAGGCAGAATTGCTTGAACCCGGGAGGTGGAGGTTGCAATGAGCCAAGATAGTGCCACTACACTCCAGTCTGGGTGACAGAGCAAGACTGTCTCAAAAAAAGAAAAAGAAAGGGGAGAGGAACTCACAGGGCCTCAGATGTCCTCTGCTCACCCCAACCAGTCCCCTGCAAACTCCCTTTCTCCCCACAGGCCAAGCCCTTATTCCGATCTACACAGAGCCTTCCCACTGTGGACACCTCGGCCCAGGCGGCCCCTCAGACCTACGCCGAATATGCCATCTCACAGCCTCTGGAAGGGGCTGGGGCCACGTGCCCCACAGGGTCAGAGCCCCTGGCAGGAGAGACGCCCAACCAGGCCCTGAAACCCGGGGCAAAATCCAACAGCATCATTGTGAGCCCTCGGCAGGTGAGGAGGGAGACGGAGAAGTGAGGCCTTGAGGTTTTCAGTGGGAAACGCTGTTCTAGGGATGACTCCAGTGCAAGGAGGTCTGAGTTCCAGCCACTTTGTTCTCCCCATTCATTCATTCATTCATTCATTCATTCGACAGCAGTGTGTGGGTTGAGAGTGCCCCAGCTCTACTTGCTGGGGCTGTGGCTGTATTGGTGTAGCTCTGTTTCCTCACCCCAGGTTTGTTAATTTATTCAAAATGTACTGAATGAGGCTGGGTGTGGTGGCTCACACCTGTAATCCCAGCACTTTGGAGAGGCTGAGGCAGGTGGATCACCTGAGGTCAGGAGTTCGAGACCAGTCTGGCGAATATGGTGACACCCCATCTCTACTAAAAACACAAAAAGTTGCTGGGCGTGAGGGCAGGAAGTGTTCAGGACCACAGGACACGCAGACTGGGGCTGGAGGGAGAGGGCTGAGCTGGAGACAGACCCGGGGACCCTTTAGGAAAGGCCTGGTGCCAGTGGGCATGGAGGGGAGGAGCCTGGATCAGAGGATCAGGGACTGTCCAGGGTTAGGAGGAGAGAGAAGCTGGAAAAGACCCTGCCACAGGTGGGAGGAGGGAGGAGGTGTGGGAAGAGGTGCGAGGAGGCAGGAGGTGTGGGAAGAGGTGGGAGGAGGGAGGAGGTGCAAGAAGAGGTGGAGGAGGGCCCTGTGGTTATCAAGGGTCATCCCTATTGATGGCTTCTGCCCTTCGTCCCTCCCCAGAGGGGCAATCCCGTACTGAAGTTCGTGCGCAATGTGCCCTGGGAATTTGGCGACGTAATTCCCGACTATGTGCTGGGCCAGAGCACCTGTGCCCTGTTCCTCAGGTGAGCTCTGCGGCGCCACCCCAGACTTCAGGAAGGGCACCCCACTGGCCTGGGAGGGTCATGTCCCAGTGTTCTGGACTGTTCTATGAGAAGCCTCTGGGCATGGTCCTGCAGGTTCTGGGCCTTGGTGGGACCCTGTGTTGGAGGCAGGGGGTCTTGGCCTGGAGGTGCCCAGTGCAACAAGAGCTGGAGCCCGAACTCCTGGGTCTCAGGAAGGAGGGGCTGGGGGCCGGACTCCTGGGTCCGGGGGAGGAGGGGCTGAGGGCTGGACTCCTGGGGATCTGAGGGAGGAGGGGCTGGGGCCTAGACTCCTGGGTCTGAGGCAGGAGGGGCTGGGGGCCTGGACTCCTGGGGTCTCAGGGAGGAGGGGCTGGGGGCCTGGACTCCTGGGGTCTCAGGGAGGAGGGGCTGGGGGCCTGGACTCCTGGGTCTAAGGGAGGAGGGGCTGGGGCCAGATTCCTGGGTCTAAGGGAGGAGGGGCTGGGCCCAGACTCCTGGATCTGACGGAGGAGGGACTGGGTCACTCATGTCCCAGACATCCTTGACTGGAGTTGATGAGAAGCAGGATTTCTCCCATCTCTACCCTAGTTAAACAACTTTCCCCTCCAACCTAGGGGCCCCTCTGCAGACAGGGCCAGACAGAGGAAGTGAAACCTCTGAGTTCCTGTGCTCCCTGCAGGCTGTGACAGCTGCAGACTGCTGGGCAGAGCCAGTCCTAGTTCCCTGGGTCATGAAGCCCTCACCGTAGCCCTCCAAGGCCAGAGCAGATGGTTTGGCAGTGGGCCCTGCTTCCCACCGCGAGCCATGCAGTGTCCCCGTGCCCACACTCTCTAGGGCCCCTGGCACCTGTTCTCCCCTTGAAGCCCAAGTCTCTTCCCCTCTTCATGAAGAAGCCAGGGGTCTGGTCTTCTAGGTAAGCACAGCCATGTGGCCCTGGCTGCCAATCCCTGCGGAGCATCTTCTTGGAAGAGTGACCTGGGGCAAGTGACTTACCCTCTGTGGGCCTCAGGACCCTCTGTCCCCCATGCCGTACTCTGAGCCCTTAGTATTCCAGTGAGAGGGAAAAGGGCTTTGGGGGTCTTGAAGAGACTGAGACCTCTCAACTCCCGCTCCCTGCCCCCACCAGCCTCCGCTACCACAACCTGCACCCAGACTACATCCATGGGCGGCTGCAGAGCCTGGGGAAGAACTTCGCCTTGCGGGTCCTGCTTGTCCAGGTGGATGTGGTAAGCAGGGGCTGCTCCCTAGCCAGCCTCACCGGGCTTTGAGGTTGTGCAGTGGGCTGTTGAATCCCTTCCAAGAGGAAATGCAGCTAAAACCTCAGCGAGGAACGTTTTTCACATCTGAGATGACATGGGTCACCAAGACATTATGTTGGCAAGGAGAGGGGAGGGCAAAATTGTCTATTTCCTCTTTCCCCACATCCCCTTCAATTAGTCCCAGATCTCTGCCACCTAAATATCTCTTCTTTTTGTTTTGTGTTTGTTTGTTTGTTTGTTTGAGACGGAGTTTCGCTCTTGTTGCCCAGGCTGGAGTGCAATGACTTGATCTTGGCTCACTGCAGCCTTCACCTCTGGGGTTCAAGCGATTCTCCTGCCTCAGCCTTCTGAGTAGCTGGGATTATAGGCATGCACCACCACGCCCGGCTGATTTTTGTATTTTTAGTAGAGACTGGTTTTCACCATGTTGGCCAGGCTGGTCTTGAACTCCTGACCTCAGGTGATCCACCCACCTCAGCCTCCCAAAGGCTGGGATTACAGGCATGAGCCACCGTGCCTGGCCATATCTCTCTCTTTTATTTTTTTAAGACGGAGTCTCCTCTGTCGCCCAGGCTGGAGTGCAATGGCCAGATCTTAGCCCACTGCAACCTCTGCCTCCTGGGTTCAAACGATTCTCCTGCCTCAGCCTCTCGAGCAACTGGGATGACACCATGCCTTGCTAATTTTTATTGATTGATTGATTGATTGATTGTTTTGAGACAGAGTCTCGCTCTTTCGCCCAGACTGGAGTGTAGTGGTGCAATCTTGGCTCACTGCAACCTCCACCTCCTGGATTCAGGTGATTCTCCTGACTCAGCCTCCTGAATAGCTGGGATTACAGGTGCGTACCACCATGACCGGCTAATTTTTTGTATTTTTAGTAGAGATGCGGTTTCACCATGTTGGTCAGGCTGGTCTTGAACTTCTGATCTCAGGTGATCCTAAAGTGTTGGGATTACAGGTGTGAGCCACCCCCACCAGGTGATTTTTTTTTTTAATTTTTAGAGACAGGGTCTTGCTATGTTACCCAGTCTGGTCTTGAACTCCTGGCCTCAAGCATTCCTCTTCCATTGGGTTGGGTGCAGTGGCTCATGCCTGTAATCCTAGCTCTTTGAGAGGCTGAGGCAGGAGGATCACTTGAGGCCAAGAGTTCGAGACTAGTCTGGGCAACATAGTGAAGACCCCCATCTCTACAAAATACAAAAAATATGGTGGTGGGCACCTATAGTCCCAGCTACTCAGGAGGCTGAGGCAGGAGAATTGCTTGAACCCGGGAGGTGGAGGTTGCAATGAGCCAAGATCATGTCACTGCACTCCAGCCTGGGCAACAGAGCGAGACTCCGTCTGAAAAAAATTAAAAAGATCATAAAACTCACATGGCTCCTAAGCACCCTAGGAGAAAGTTCTGCTCCCTTCCATGACCTATGGGGCCCTGTGTGACCTCCAACCTCTACCCAGTTCTCCAGGCCCGTCTCTAAGATTCCATGCTCCTCATGGAATTTCACATCCTCTCTCCCGTAGGGAGCGAATTATAATTCCTCAAGCCCTCTTTCCCCTCCCATCCTTTGCCCATGCTGTTCTTTATGTCTGGAATTCCCTTTTCTGGTCTCCTTTTCATCCTTTCCTCCTCCTCATCCTCCTTTGGGTCTCAGCTCTAATGTCCCCTCCTCCAAGAAGCCCTCCCTGATCCCCCAGGCAGGCTCAGTCCCTCCTCTGGCTCCCACATCGCAGCCCTGGCCACTCCAGATCATCAGTGTCTGGGGACAGGTCTGTCCTGCTCATCAGACTGTGAGCCCTGGGAGGGCAGAGTCAGGGCTGTCTCAGCCACTGCTGGGTCCTAGCACTGCTTAGCACGGGCCAGGCACCCAGTAGGAGCTTAGAGAGTGACAATTGGGTGAGAGGCTCTTGGCATCCTGAGCTACTGTGTTTTCAGGCTTTAATTCTTTTTTTGTTCTTCTTTTTTTTTTTGAGACAGAGTCTCACCCTGTCGCCCAGGTTGGAGTGCAGTGGCGCGATCTTGGCTCACTGCAACGTCTGCCTCCCGGGTTCAAGCAGTTCCCCCACCTCAGCTTCCCTAGTAGCTGGGATTACAGGCACCTGCCACCACGCCTGGCTAATTTTTGTAATTCCTGGCTTCTAGGTTTCTAATTCTGATTTTCTCCTCCAGAAAGATCCCCAGCAGGCCCTCAAGGAGCTGGCTAAGATGTGTATCCTGGCCGACTGCACATTGATCCTCGCCTGGAGGTGAGATGAGGGCTTCCCTGCCTCATTCAGGCTCCACCTGGGATTGGTCCCTGCTCCCCCATCCCACCCTGCCCAGCCCTTCCCTTCTCCTTCCTGTGTGGGCCTGGTGCAGGCACTGCCTCTCTCTGGCCTTCAGTTTCCTCATCTGTAAAACAAGGTCTTAATTTTTTTTTTTTTTTTTTTGATACAGAGCCTCACTCTGTCCCCTAGGCTGAAGTGCAGTGGCACGATCTCGGCTCTGCCTTGGGGGTTCAAGCAATTCTGCCTCAGCCTCCCAAGTAGCTGGGATTACAGGTGTGCACCACCACGCCCAGCTAATTTTTTTGTATTTTTAGTAGGGACGGGTTTTGCCATGTTGGCCAGGCTGGTCTTGAAATCCTGACCTCAGGTGATCCTCCCGCCTTACCCTCCCAAAGTGCTGGGATTACAGGCGTGAGCCACTGTGCCCGGTTGGAAGCTGAACATTTCATGAGGTTGGCTTCTTGCTGCAGCGGGAAAATAAGCAGTGTTTCTGGTTTTCCTCCTGTCAAACCCAGTACAAACACTTTGTGTGCTGACTTCCCTTCCAAAATAGCTAACATTTCTTCAGCAGTGCCAGGCGTGGCTTTTGGCACTTACAGAGCATTCCAGAGTATTCTCTGATCTTCAAAGTCATACCATCCTCCCCACTTTATTATTATTTTTTTGAGACAGGGTCTTGCTCTTTTGCTGAGGCTGGAGTGCAGTGGTGCTATCACAGGTTACTGAAGCCTCAACTTGACAGGCTCAGGCAGTCCTCCTGCCTCAGCCTCCCGAGCAGCTGAGACTAAAGGCACGCGCCACCACACCTGGCTAATTTTTAATTTTTTGTGGAGACAACACCTTGCTATGTTGTCCCGGCTGGTCTTGAACTCCTGAGCTCAAGTGATCCTCCTGCCTCAGCCTCCCAAAGTGCTGGGATTACAAGCATGAGCCACTATGCCTGACCACCCCACTTTACAGTGAGGAAACAGGCCCAGAGAGCAAACCACTGGCCCAGGGTTACCCAGGGAGAAGTGGGGTTGGGCTCCCAAGAGCTGGCCTGTAGCCAGAAAAGATATCAAGATGCGCCCAGCAGTGGTTACTACCAGGTTGTATTTGGCGGGGGATGGGCTGGAATTTTGATTTTTAGCAACCACAATTGTTTTTTTTTTTTTTTTTTTTTTTGAGACGGAGTCTGGCTCTGTCGCCCAGGCTGGAGTGCAGTGGCGTGATCTCGGCTCATTGCAAACTCCACCTCCCGGGTTCACGCCATTCTCATGCCTCAGCCTCCTGAAAAGCTGGGACTACAGGCGCCCGCTACCACGCCCGGCTAATTTTTTGTATTTTTAGTAGAGATGGGGTTTCACCATGTTAGTCGGGATGGTCTCGATCTCCTGACCTGGTGATCTGCTCACCTCAGCCTCCCAAAGTGCTGGGATTATAGGCGTGAGCCACCACACCCGGCCTTTTTTTTTTTTTTTTTCTGAAATGGAGTTTCACTCTTGTTGCCCAAGCGGGAGTGCAATGGCGTGATCTTGGCTCACTGCAACCTCCGCCTCCCGGGTTCAGGCGATTCTCCTGCCTCAGCCTCCTGAGTAGCTGGGACTACAGGCACGCGCCACCAAGCCCAGCTACTTTTTTGTATTTTTAGTAGAAACGAGGTTTCACCATGTTGGCCAGGCTGGTCTCGAACTCCTGACCTCAGATGATCTGCCTGCCTCATCATCCCAAAGTGCTGGGATTACAGGCGTGAGCCACCGCGCCCGGCCTAGTATTGGCAATTCTTATGACTGACCATAATGAAGCAAATCTATAATCTGATACCTCACCTCCCGGCTGCCCTGTATCCTGTTATCCCAGCCCCGAGGAAGCTGGGCGGTACCTGGAGACCTACAAGGCCTATGAGCAGAAACCAGCGGACCTCCTGATGGAGAAGCTAGAGCAGGACTTCGTCTCCCGGGTGAGGCCACCTCACCTCCCATCCCTGCCTGGGCCTCCCCGCAGCTCCTGGGTGGTTGAGCTTCAGTTCCAATTTTAAGGCACTGTCCATTCATCCCTGGGCCTCGTCTTTCCTGGCCCATCCCACCGAAACTGCAGCTAGAGGGGTTTTCCTGAGCACAAATCTGCTGCTACCCTCCCTAGCTCAAAATCCTCCCATGGCTCCCCAGTACCCCGAGAGAAAGCCCAGACTTCTCACCAGGCTCAACAAGGGCCCGTCAGGCTCAGAAGCCCCGTGGCCTCCACTTCACACTTCACTTCTCCCAGGCCTAGCTCGCTTCTCCAAGCACTTGCCCCTTCTGTTCCCTCTGCCCAATTACCTGCCTAATTCCTTTTTTTTTTTTTTGAGATGGAGTCTCACTCTCTTGCCCAGGCTGGAGTGCAATGACATGATCTCGGCTCACTGCAACCTCTGCCTCCCAGGTTCAAGTGATTCTCCTGCCTGAGCCTCCTGAGTAGCTGGGACTACAGGTGCCCACAACCATGCCTGTCTAATTTTTGTATTTTTTAGTAAAGATGGGGTTTCAGTGTGTTGGCCAGGCTGGTCTTGAACTCCTGGCCTCAGGTGATCCTCCCGCCTCGGCCTCGAAAGTGCTGGGATTATTAGGCATGAGCCACCACGCCCAGCCTGAGATGACTTTTTAATCAGTTGGGAAAAAAAGCGTTTATTGAGTGCTTCCTGCACGCCAGGCAGTCTGGGGACACAGCTGTGACCCAGCCCTGCCCTCCTAGGCTCAGTCTTGCTGGCCTTTCTTCTTCCGACACACTCCTGCCTCCACCCTTTCCAGGTGACTGAATGTCTGACCACCGTGAAGTCAGTCAACAAAACGGACAGTCAGACCCTCCTGACCACATTTGGAGTAAGGAATGGCTCCCCTGCCCCATAGGCATTTCTGTCCCCTTGCCTTTTTTAGAAAGCCTGTCACCCATTTCCTTCCATCTCCCTGCCCACCCCTTGCCCGTCCTGCCTTCCCACAGGCCCTCATCTCCCCTGGGGAATATCTGAGGCCCCTCCTCAGCTGGGACAGGGGAGGCTTTTGTGCTCAACTGCCCTGACCCCTCGCTTTCACCTTTCAGTCTCTGGAACAGCTCATCGCCGCATCAAGAGAAGATCTGGCCTTATGCCCAGGCCTGGGCCCTCAGAAAGTAAGAGCTCTGGGAAAGAACCCAAGGAGTTGGGGGAAGGAGAGAGCCCCAAATAAACACAACCTGAGACCCCAAAGTTTTAAGGTGAAAAAAGAACCAAAGACCAGACACAGTGGCTTCCGCCTGTAATCCCAACATTTTGGGAGGCCAAGGCGGGAGGACTGCTTGAGGCCAGAAGTTGGAGACCAGCCTGGGCAAGTGGACACCTCATTTTTACTAAAAATAAAAAAAACTAGCTGGGCATGGTGGTGTGAGCTTGCTACGTGCCTGTAGTCTCAGCTACTGGGGAGACTGAGGTGGGAGGATCGCTTGAGCCCAGGAGGTTGAGGCTGCAGTGAGCTATAAGCATGTTACTACGCTCCAGCCTGGGTGACAGAGCGATCCTGTCTCAAAGCAGAAGCAATCCAATGAGGAAGAATGAAACTAGATAGCTATCTCTCGCCATATACAAAAATCAAATTAAAATGGATTACAGACTTAAATCTAAGACCTCAATGCATGAAACGTCTACAAGAAAACATTGAGAAGCTCTCCAGGACATTGAACTGGGCAGAGATTTCTTGAGTAATGCCCTATAAGCATAGGAAACTAAAGCAAAATGGACAAATGGGATCACATCAAATTAAAAAGCTTCTAAGCCAGGTGCGGTGGCTTGGGCCTGTAATCCCAGCACTTTGAGAGGCTGAGGCGGCTGGATCACCTGAGGTCAGGAGTTTGGGACCAGCCTGGCCAACATGGAGACACCCCATCTTTACTAAAAATACAAAAAAGTAGCCAGGTATGGTGGCACATGCCTGTAATCCCAGCTACTTGGAAGGCTGAGGCAGGACAATCGTTTGAACCCGGGAGGTGGAGGTTGCAGTGAGCCAAGATAGCGCCATTGCACTCCAGCCTGGACAATAAGAGTGAAACTCTATCTCAAAAATTAAAAAAAAAAAAAAGAATAAAAGGCTTCTGCACAGCAAACATTCCACAAAGTGAAGAGACAACACACAGGATGGGAGAAAATATCTGCAAACTAACCATCTGACAAGGAATCAATAATCAGAAGATAAGAGTTCTAACAACTCTATAGGATAAAATATAATAATCCAATCAAAAAGTGGGCAAAATATTTGAATTAACATTTCTCAAAAGACATACAAATGGCAAGCAGGCATATGAAAAGGTGCTCAGCATCATTGATCATCAGAAAAATGCAAATCAAAACTACAGTGAGGCTGGGTGCAGTGGCTCATGCCTGTAATCCCAGCACTTTGGGAGGCCGAGGCGGGCAGATCACTTGAGGCCAGGAGTTCAAGATCAGCCTGGCCAACATGGCGAAACCCCATCTCTACTAAAAATATAAAAATTAGTTGGGTGTGGTGGCGCATGCTTGTAATCCCAGCTACTTGAGTGGCTGAGGCAGGAGAATCTCTTGAACCCGGGAGACGGAGGTTGCAGTGAGCTGAAATCACACCACTGCCCTCCAGCCTGGACAACAGAAGCAAAACTCCATCTCAAAAAAAACCAAAAATAGGCCGGGCATGGTGGCTCACGCCTGTAATCCCAACACTTTGGGAGGCCGAGGCGGGTGGATCGTGAGGTCAGGAGATTGAGACCATCATGGCTAACATGGTGAAACCCCGTCTCTACTAAAAATACAAAAAAAAATTAGCTGGGTGTGGTGGTGGGCACCTGTAGTCCCAGCTACTCGGGAGGCTGAGGCAGGAGAATGGCATGAACCTGGGAGGCAGAGCTTGCAGTGAGCCGAGATCATACCACTGCACTCCAGCCTGGGTGACAGAGTGAGACTCCATCTCAAAAAAGAAAACCAAAAACCAAAAATAAACTATAATGAGATACCATCTCAGCTCTATTAAAATGGCTTATTATTATTTTTTGAGATGGAGTCTCACTCTGTTGCCCAGGCTGGAGTGCAATGGCATGATCTCAGCTCACTGCAACCTCCGTCTCCTGGATCCAAGCGATTCTCCTGCCTCAGCCTCCTGAGTAGATGGGATTACAGGCACTCGCTACCATGCCCAGCTAGTTTTTGTATTTTTAGTAGAGATGGGGTTTCCCTAGGTTGGTCAGGCTGGTCTTGAACTCCTGACCTCTGGTGATCCACCCACCTCGGTCTCCCAAAGTGCCGGGATTACAGGTGTGAGCCATGGTGCCCGGCCTTAAAATGGCTTTTATCCAAAGGACAGGCAATAACAAATGGTGGACAGGCAATAACAAATGGTGGCGAGGATGTGAAGAAAAGGGAACCCTCATATACTTTTGATGGGAATGTAAATCAGTACAACCACTATGGAAAACAGTTTGGAGGCTCCTCTAAAAACTGAAAAGTTGAGGTTCCACATGATCCAGCAATCCCACTGCTGGGTATATCCCCAAAAAAAGGAAATCAGTGTATGGAACAGGTATCTGCACTCCTGTTTGTTGCAGCACAGTTCACATTGCCAAAACTTAGAACCAACCTGTGTCCATCAGCAGATGACCAGGCAAAGAAAATGTGGTACTTACACACAATGGATACTCTTCAGCCATAAAAAAGAATGAGATCCTGGCTGGGCGCGGTGGCTCACACCTCTAATCCCAGCACTTTGGGAGGCCGAGGCGGGCAGATCACTTGAGGCCAGAAGTTCAAGACCAGCCTGGCCAACGTGGTGAAACCTTGTCTCTACTAAAAATGAAAAAATGAGCTGGGTGTGGTGGCGCGTGCCTGTAATCACAACTACTTGGGAGGCTGAGGCAGGAGAATCGCTTGAATCCGGGAGGCGGAGGTTGCAGTGAGCCAAGATTGTGCCACTGCACTCCAGCCTGGGCGACAGAGCGAGACCCTTTTCAAAACAAAACAAAACAAAACAAAAAAAACATGAGATCCTGTCAATTACAACATAATGAACTGGGGATTATTATGTTAAGTGAAATAAGCCAGGCACAGAAAGACAAACATTGCATGTTCTTATTTATTTGTGTATCTAAAAATCAAAACAATTGAACTCATGGAGATAAGAGTGGATGGATAGTTCCTGGAGGCTGGGGAGGGTAGTTAGGGGCTGGCAGGGAGATGGGGAAGGTTAATGGGTACCACACACACACACACACACACACACACACACAAAGAAAGAATGAATAAGACATACTATTTGATAACACAACCAGGTGACTATAGTCAATAATAATGGTACATTTTAAAATAACTTGGCAGGGTGCGGTGGCTCACACCTGTTATCCTAGCACTTTGGGAGGTCAAGGCAGGTGGATCACGAGGTCAGGAGTTCGAGACCAGCCTGGCCAATATGGTGAAACCCCTGTCTCTACTAAAAATACAAAAATTAGCCGGGTATAGTGGTGGGCACCTTTAGGCCCAGCTACTCGGGAGGCTGAGGCAGGAGAATCGTTGGAACCCAGGAGGCGGAGGTTGCAGTGAGCCAAGATCACACCACTGCACTCCAGCCTGGGTGACACCAGGAGACTGTCTCAAAAAAATAATAATAACTTAGCCAGGCGCAGTGGCTCACACCTATAATCCCAGCACTGGGAGGCTGAGGCAGGCGCATCAGGAGGTCAGGAGATCGAGACCATCCTGGCTAACGTGGTGAAACCCCATCTCTACTAAAAAAAAATACAAAAAATTAGCTGGGCAGGGGCCTGTAGTCCCAGCTACTCAGGAGGCTGAGGCAGGAGAATGGCGTGAACCCGGGAGGCGGAGCTTGCAGTGAGCCGAGATTGCGCCACTGCACTCCAACCTGGGCGACAGAGCGAGACTCCATCTCAAAAAAAAAAAAAATAATAATAATAATAATAACTTAAAAAGATTGTAACTGGATTGTTTGTAACTCAATGGATAAATGCTTGAGGGTATAGGGGAAAATAAAGAACCAAAACCCCACTCTAGATTTACCCAGGAAACAGCTCCTTTAATGACTGGTTCCTCATTTTTTTCTCCCTCCCATCCAGGCCCGGAGGCTGTTTGATGTCCTGCACGAGCCCTTCTTGAAAGTACCCTGATGACCCCAGCTGCCAAGGAAACCCCCAGTGTAATAATAAATCGTCCTCCCAGGCCAGGCTCCTGCTGGCTGCGCTGGTGCAGTCTCTGGGGAGGGATTCTGGGGGTGTCACCTTCTGGTGGCCCAGGTGGGCACCTTCAGCTTTCTTTAGTTCCTCAGTTTCCCGGGGGCAGACTACACAGGCTGCTGCTGCTGCTGCTTCCGCTTCTTGTCCCGGCCTGTGGGAGCCTCCTCCCCAGACTCTGAATTCAGTGGCGGCCCTGGCATCTCCTCTTGGGGCACTGTCTCTGGCATCCGGCTTTCCTGACTCTGCTTCTTCCTCTTCTTGGTGGATCCCGGAGTTGCCCTGGCTTCAGGCTGTCCCTCCCCTGGCAGTTCAGGCTCTAGTGGCTGAATTGGCTCAGTCACTGTGTGACCTCTCTCTTTCTTCTTCTTCTTCTTCTTGGTGGATGTGGGAGCTGCCTGAGGCTCAAGGTCATCCGGCAGCTCAGGCCCCACCACCTCTGTCTCTGGCTCCACTGTGGCATCTTGCTGTTTTTCTTTCTTCGTCTTCTTTTTGGGAGCTGCCAGAGCTGCCTGGGCCTGAGGCTTCGCTCCTTCTGGCTGTTGAGGCGCCATGGTCCCCCCTGGGGACTCCAGAGGCTTCATCTCCGGCTCCACTGGCTCCATCGCCTCCGTCCCTGGCTCCATCATTGCCATCTGTCCCTTTTCTTTTTTCCTCTTCTTCGTAGGGGGCAGAGGGATGGCTTCCTCCAGTGGCTCCACCTTCACCTGTGGCTGAGACTCAACTGTCACCCCCTCCTCTGGCTCCATCCCTTCCGTCCCCTTTTGCCTCTTTCTCTTTTTGGTCGGGGACAGGACTGTGTCTTCTAGAGGCTCAGTGTTAATCTGTTCCTGCTTCACTGTCTTGTCTTCTGGCTCGAAGGTTTCTTTCCCTTTGGGCTTCTTCCTCTTCTTGGTGGTGGACGGGAACAGCACTCCCAGAGGCTCCAGTGTCTCCACTGTGGGCTCTGTCCCCACAGGCCCTGCTGCCTCTGGTTCTTTCAGCTGCTGATTTTTTTTCTTCTTCTTCTTCCGCACATCCATTTCTGGCGACCCCAAAGCCATGTCCACCTCCAGGGCCCCGTGCCCATTCACTGCCTCCTGAGTGACTGGGGCCTCTGTCACCTGCATCTCCTTTTTCTTCTTCCCTGAGGTGAGCAGGTTGGGGGCCAAGGCTGACCTAGGCCCTGTGACTGGTGGGTTGCCCCCAAAGGCACAGAACCGAGGCCTCAGGCCAGGAGGGATCTGTGGTGGGGGACTTGCTGGGATGGGCTGCAGAGGGCTCCCTGACAGGGATTGCTGGGGACCCTCAAGGATCCTTAGGGTGCCCTGGGGGGCTGAGGCACAGGTGAGTCCACCTCCTGCCTCCGTTGAGGGGGCCAGCAGGGTCGCTTCTCCAGCTTGGGGACAGCTGCTGAGGACTCGATAGCGGTGCCGCTTGCCTGCCAATTTGCCCTTGACGATCTGGGAGCCAGAGAGAGGCACATGCCGCCCATTGAAGCTACAGAGAGAAACAGGGAGGGCAGAGGCTTAAGTGGAACAGGAGAGGGAAGGTTTTTTGATTTTTTTTTTGTTTTTTTTTGAGAGAGTCTTGCTCTGTTGCCTAGGCTGGAGTGCAGTGGCATGATCTCGGCTCACTGCAATGTCCACCTCCTGGGTTCAAGCGATTCTCCTGCCTCAGCCTCTCAAGTAGCTGGGATTACAGGCACCTGCCACCACGCCCAGCCAATTTTTGTATTTTTAGTAGAGACAATTTCACTATGTTGGCCAGGCTGGTCTTGAACTCCTGACCTCAAGTGATCTGCTCGCCTCGGCCTCCCAAAGGATGGGATTACAGGCACCAGCCACTGCGCCTGGCTGGCCTCTGGTTTTTAATAAAACATGACTAGAGTGACTCCATCTTAAAGTGAGTAGCTAGGCACTTACAAGGTTCATGCTTATGGCCTGAAAATAACCACATCCCAGGCTGACCACCAATTATAATTACAGAATATTTATGGCCATACAGAACATGTTCCACCAAGCCTGCAGAATGTCCAAATGTCCTAAGAATGCAGCCCCCATTACTTAAATATAACATAAATGAGCAAGCTTAGGTTGCAGGATTAATGGTCGTGGATAACACCAATAGCCCCTACCTTTAGTGAGCTTATCTGCACACTCCAAGTTTAACTATAGTTCCTTATAGTTTCTTATAAGTAGAAATACTAACAAAGGGCTGTGGGTTTCTCCCCCTGCTTTCTGAGGACACTCTACTCTGTAAAGGAGTAGTTTCCAATAAACTTGTTTCTTTCACTGTGCTCTGTGACTCACCTCTAATTCTTTCCTGTGACAAATTCAAGAACCCGCTCTTGGGGTCTGGACCGGGACCCTCTTTTCCGTCAACAAGACCACTCACCATTCTGGGGCAAAGTCTGCAGGGGCCTGAATAAGCCACAGCTCCGTATCTGGACCCGTCAGCGCCTCCAAGGAGAAACGAGGGGACTCTGAGGCTGGGGGCTTCGCGGTAAAGTTGGGGGGACAAGAGAACCGAGCAGCATCTGCAGCAGAAGGGGAAATGGGGTCGACTGACACCTCCTTGCCGGTCCAATCTTGCAGGGCGCGCCTATCGGTCCATTGGTCTTAACCTCGTGAGCACTCCAGTCCCCTCAACCTGGTTTCTCCTTTCTGCCCACCTGTTCCCCAGGGGCGACCTCAATTTCACCGATCCAACCCCTGGGGGCGCCTTGCTCTCCACGGGTAGCCCCCCACAAGATAACCCTCTCTCCGTTCGAATTCCCGTTCGCCCACTGGGAATGCACGCTCTTCGCAAGTCCTGCTTGCAGGTACGCCTCCTTTTCCGCCCGAACCCTCTCGGACGCCCCTTTCTCCTTCCACCAACGCACCCTCCGCACCCCGTCAACCCGCACCCTCACCGCCGGCCTGGGGCTCCTCCATCCTGGGACCCACACCTCAGGCAACCCTGTAGCCCGGGCTGCTCGCACCAGGTTGCAGACCACGTGGATCCAAAGGGGTAGGGCATCATCCGGGAGCGCCCAACTGGTGCGGGAGCGCGGGGGTAGGCATTGCTCGACTCCCGATCTGCAGGAAAAACTGGGGAAAATTTCAACGTGTGCAGAGCAGAAAACCGAGGAAGAAGTCTTTTTCCGAAAAATGTATTCCCGAAAGCCGCTGATTCGCTGTATTGCTGGAGTCAGAGGCCCGTCGGGTCCCGATGGGTCGCCCCCATCGTCTGTCCAATATGGTTTGTTGCAACGCCTCCTTAAAGGGGCAGCCACACTGCTCTTCCTAAGCCTTAAAGAGACAGGACGGTCGATTGGTCTGAAATTCTTGAAGAGACAGGTAAGAATACTAGTTAGTAGGGCTGTGCTTTCTGTGTTAAATGTCTTCTGGGGAGGCCCAGATGCCTCACAAGTTCAGAACTTGACTGGGAGAAGCGGGAAAATGGAGAAATAGGGGCAATCCGTCCGGAGGGCGTGAAGTTCCAGCCAGGGGCGGGGCTTCTGGACTCCGGGGGAGCGGGAAACATAGGGGGAGGAGCTTGTGGTTCTCGAGGGCGGAGCCTCGGACCCAGGAGCCCCACACGCGTGGAGTGGTGCTGGGCACGGTGTAGCGTTTGTGGATCAAATGGGACTTGTAGATGCCCTCGGGGGTTTAGTCTCATGCGTGGGAAACCTCGATGACTTTCAGGAAGGGACCTGATCGGCGACTCCTCCCTGCCCCAGGGAGCGTGTAAACAGCGGCACGTGGACACAGATTTGGGGGACGCACCCACTTCCCTTCCCACTGGGGCCGCCCCGCGTTGGGCGGCGGTTGGAGCCGCGAGACGGTGGCTAGACAGGGTGACCCGACTGCATTCCTGGCCAGTGTGTCAGCGCCACTTCCCGCCCCCTCTGCCAAGATTTAGGATCCTACTCCAGAATTGGGGCACCCCTTCTCCCCAGGTGGGAGAGGCTTTCCAGAGCGGAGGGAGGGTCAAGGGGAAGGGGAAATGTTTCCCCTATCCAGGATCTCCAGACGGTTTCCTTCGCGTGGGCGAGAGAGACACCGGGGTGCAGCCCCTGCGGGCTCCAGGACTACAATTCCCACAGGACCCGAGGCAAAGAGTCGCCCGAGGGCGGTCGCGGAGGCTGCTGGGGGTTGTAGTCCAAACTAAGATTTTGAACTCTTGCTGGGACATCCTTTGAAGATCCAACCCGCGCTTTTTATCGACGGGGAGATTCGGGCTCAGAGACCCTGGGGGATACTGATCAGGAAAGGGGATAGTGCGCCTGAAGGGGTGGGGCAAGGGCTCAGGAGTCAGTCTCCAGCCACAGCGAGGCAGGCGTCTCGGCTCTTCTGTATCTCCCTGGCCTGGTCGCTCTCGGCTTCTGGGCCTCGCCCTTCCTGTCTGTGAAATGGACTCTGGGTGAATCCAAATGGGATCGTCTTGGGCTACGTCCTGTCCCTCCGGGACTACAAGTCCCAAGGTGCTCGAGGCGACCTTGGCTCCCCCTCCCCACCGGGACCCGCCTCCCTCCAGCCCAAGTCACGTCGTCTAACCTGTTCCCAGCTCCTGCCCCGCCCCGTTCTCCGCTCCCCAAGCCGGAGCCCGAGCTGGAGGAAGCCCCCAGGTGCCAGGATCTGCCCGGATCCGTGAGTTTCACCCTCCTGGGGACCAGAGGCCCTGAAAAAGCCCAACACCCGCGTCCCTGGGAGGATTGGGAGGGGACTCGGACGCCAGGTCCCAGGGCGGAATTTGGGGCGCGCCGACACCTGGATCCTTAGAAGGAAACTCCGTTGCCTGTTTTACTGGAGGGAAGGAAAGCGGGTTCGGATGCCTGAATTCTTGGAATGGAGGGATTCTACCCCTTCATCCCGGGGAGACGTTGGAGCTGGAATTCCTGAGTCCCTCGAACTGGGGGGCTCTAGGAAGCCGAGTCTTTGGGTAGTATAGGGGTTCGAATCCCCGAGTCTTGGTCAGAAATGAGAGGCTCAGACTGGTGGGGCTCAAGGTGGAATGGGTGACCACCCTGCCAGCCTCAAGCTGCTGTCTCGACCGATCTTCTAGGTCTCTGAGCAGAATTAAGGGTGGGGCAGGGATAGTGGAGCCTGGGTTCCTGAAGTGGAGCAGGACAGGTACCCGGGGTCCCTCCGGAGGCTGTGTCCCGGCTCTCCCCCGACTTTTCGGCTCGGGGATGGGGGCGGGGTAGGAGAGAAAACACCGAGGCAGATCTCCAACCTCCTCTGTGCCGCTGAGCGAACCCAACATGTCATTAACCTGGGCGTCAGACCTGCCTAACCAGAGAAGGGACATCCGCCCTAGGGCACCCCCTGGCGGAGGTGGGCTCCCCTATTGCCTTATGGGGTGGGAAACAGCTGGGTTTGCAGAGGTAGTTCTAGAACCCAGGGCAGAATTCCGGAAAGCGGCTATTGGATTCTGGGAGGTTTGCATAGCCGGGCATTTAACCATTACACGGAGAGGAAGGGGTAAACTGAGGCTTGGAGCTCACACAGGCAGTAGAGTTTGTAGGGTCAGGATTCTGCCTCCTCCTTCTTCTGCAGCTCTCTGGGGGACGGGATTCCATCCGCCCCCGCCAGATTTTCTGACTAACCTTCTGCCTCAGGGCTCCTTGCCCTGACCCTGAGGTGAGAAATGTCACCTCCACGCCCATCTGTCTGACCTGGGGTATTGTGGGAGATAAGGGAGGGACAGAGGCTAATTCTGGAGGTGTCTGTCTGTCCTTGAGGCGGGGGGAGGGCAGGACCAGGCACCTCCCTCTGTCTATCTCCCCGTTCTCTCCACCCCCATGCGTCCTAAGAAGGGGGATTAAAAACAGAATGGGGGAGGCGAGCATCTGATGAGAGAGGAGTGTTTCCCAATGTCTGGGCTTGAAGGGCATTTGATGATAACCTGAAATGAAATTAAAAATAATAACCGTGGTTGCCAAAACAGGGCTCTGGGTGTACCAAGCTCAGAGCTGGTAGGTAGGTAGGTAGGAAAGCTCGCATTGTCTAGAGGAATCTTGGGTGACTGAGAGGTCTCCCTTTGAATAAGGTTTGCTGACCCCAGGGAAGGACTCCTCATTACGAGTGGAGAAACGGAGGCTGGAGAGTGGATATTGCCCACACCCTGGGCTTTTGCCAGCTTCTGTCTGGAATCTTCCAGGGCTCTCCCAGCCCTCCCGTCCCTAAGTGACTGAGGGTGATCACTGGCCAGACTCAGGAATGTACAGGGGAAATTTAGGACTCTGAGAGGCAAGGGCTCAGGAAGTTGAGACCCTGGGTGTCAAAACTCAGGGCTTGTATGATCTCAGAAAGAGTTGAAAGGGCCCTTTTAGGGGAAAAAAAAATTACATTGAGTCTGGACCCCTCACTCTGTTGCCAGACCCTGTGTTATTATAATGAACAGCCAAGGACATCTGGTAATTATGAATCCTGTATGTGTGAACTTTATTTCGCGCACTGCATTGTTCTAATCACGGCTTATAAATTATGTCACTCAATCCTCATACCCCTTTGAGGCGAAGGTATTAATTCTTCCCATGGTCCACATGAGGAAACAGGCACAGAGAAGCTAAATAACAAGCCCAAGTAGAGGCTTAGAGCAAGAAAGGCCCTAGCCCATTCCATAGACGTCCACAAAGGAGGAAACCGAGTCCCAGAGACAGTGGAGCCTCTCCAGATTCAGTGTGACCCGACAGGGCTGTAGGAGTCCAGCCTGGGTGTTCCCAGCTCAGTCTGGCTCTCTGACCCGGTTCCTACTGAAGATGACTCCTCCAGGAAGTCCACAGGATCCTTAGCCCTAAAGAACCTGGCTGGGGTGCAGAGGAGGCCAGGGAAGGAGAGCCAGGGGTGGAGCGGAGAGAGGAGCCCAGGGGAGAGTACCTGCGGCTGGCCCAGAGCCCGCGGGAGAGCTCGGAGCTAGAGCTAGAGGGGAGCACATGGGAGAGGACTCGGAGGCAGAGGTCAGGGGCAGAGGCCTGGGAACAGACACACGGCCCGCGCCACCCCCGCGCCCCGCCCTTGTACCCCGCCCGGCCCAGCTCCCTTGCCCCGGGATGTACAGCACCTGCCCGGGCCCGCTGCGCATTCCCCGGGCCTGAGCTCAGGCGCAGTCCGCCCTCCTGGCGGGGGTCCGGGCGTGACCGCCCCCTGGTGGCTCCGACGTCCCCACCGCCTGTCCCCGCGACAGCCCCACACCCAGGGTTGGCATTTCCTGAGAGCCAGAGAATGTCAGTATGGAATCTGAGAATCTTGGAAATTTGGGGATCATGGCGCCGTGGCTCACGCCTGTAATCCCAATACTTTGGGAGATCGAGCCGGGGAGGATCCCATGAGGCTAGGAGTTCGAGACCAGCCTAACCACAGGCGCGAGAGAGACTAAATCTCTACCAAAAGAAAAAAAAAGAGTCACTTACAGCTGGCATTAGGGCTGCACAGACTTGCTCATTTATCTATTTTAACAGTTAACAAAGTATTGTTTGTGTATCTCTGAAATTCTAAATGCCCGAGTTTTTATTCCTGTAGTCTCTTCTTCCTGAGGCCTCAATTCTCAGAGCTCTGAATTCTTCCTGCACCTTCTGACCAGGTGGATTCTTACAGTAGTCCTATGAGGTGAACTTTCATCCCCATTTTACGGATTACGAGACTGAGGTACTGTGGTCAGGGTTGGACGGTGGTGCTGCCAGATTTGATGATTTTATTTTAATTTTTTTTAAGAAATGGGGTCTCATTGTGTTGGCCATGTTGGTCTTGAACTCCTGGCCTCAAGTGATCCTCCCCCCTCGGCCTCCCAAAGTGCAAGGATTACAGGCAGAAGCTACCATGCCCGGCCCTCAGATTTGAATTTTTGAAGTCTGACTTCTTACTCATGCTTTTACCAGCTGCACTATACCATCCATCTAGACTTCCAGAGCAGTGCAACCCTGGGTTAGGTAGAATGTGGTACAGAAAGACTCAGAATTCTGGGTTAGACAAATTGGAGAATTCTAGAATGTTCCAAAGATAGAATCTTGGACTCAGAACTTTCCAACAATAGGCTCTTTAGCTGAGGGGTTTAGGCTCTGTAGAACTTTAGTTACAGTCCTAAGGTCCTTACAGTTTGAAAGTCTGGGGCTCATAGAGATTAAAGGGGCCTTTCAGAATAGCTGATTTGGCCAGGTGTGGTGGCTCATGCCTGTAATCTCAGCACTTTGGGAGGCTGAGGCGGGAGGATTGCTTGAGCCCAGGAGTTCAAAACCAGCCTGAGCAACAAAGTGAGACCCCTGTCTCTACAAATTTTTTTTTTTTTTTTTTTTGGGACGGAGTCTCGCTCTGTCTCCGAGGCTGGAGTGCAGTGGCGCGATCTCGGCTCACTGAAAGCTCCGCCTCCCTGGTTCACACCATTCTCCTGCCTCAGCCTCCCGAGTAGCTGGGACTACAGGCGCCCGCCACCACGCCCAGCTAATTTTTTTGTATTTTTTAGTAGAGACAGGGTTTCACCGTGTTAGCCAGGATGGTCTCGAGCTCCTGACCTCGTGATCCTCCCGCCTTAGCCTCCCAAAGTGTACAAAATGTTTTTAAAAAATTAGCTGGGTGGCCGGGCGCGGTGGCTCACGCCTGTAATCCCAGCACTTTGGGAGGCCGAGGCGGGCGGATCATGAGGTCAGGAGATCGAGACCATCCCGGCTAAAATGGTGAAACCCCGTCTCTACTAAAAATACAAAAAATTAGCCGGGCGTAGTGGCGGGCGCCTGTAGTCCCAGCTACTTGGGAGGCTGAGGCGGGAGAATGGCGTGAACCCGGGAGGCGGAGCTTGCAGTGAGCCGAGATCCCGCCACTGAACTCCAGCCTGGGCGACAGAGCAAGACTCCGTCTCAAAAAAAAAAAAAAAAAAAAAAAAAAAAAAAAAATTAGCTGGGTGTGGTGGTGCGAGGCTATACCTATAGTCTCAGCTACTCAGGAGGCTGAGGTGGGAGGACCACTTGAGCTGGGAGGTCAAGAGGCTGTAGTGAGTCACAATTGTAGCCTGGGTTACAGAGCGAGACCCTATCTCAAAAAAAAAAAAAAAGGTGATTTGCCTTCTTCTTTGATGTTGGGGAGACTGAGGCCCAGGGAGTGGAGAGGACTCAACGCCCAAGGTCACACACTCCCTGTTCATCCAAATGAGCCGCCAGCCTGAACAGGTTCTGTTCCTTCGACTTCCCAGACAGAGGCGGGTATCAGCATGCCCCAGCCTGCCCTGCTGCCTATACTGCCAGAGCTAAGTGGTCGATGCAGCAGGGAGGTGGCAGAGCTGGTGGGTGTGGTGGCTAGCATGGGGATAGGGATGGTGCTGGCCTGACCGGTTCCTAGTGGCCTAGCTCCCTCCCACTGGGCCAGTGACCACAGCTGCCCCTCCACCCCTGGCCACCTCCCTGTTCCTCTTGCTAACAATGGGTCAGTGAGAGCCAGACCTCCACTGAATGGGGACCCTAGGGAAAGGAAGCTGAGCAGTCGCTTCCCTCTAGGACCCCTCTAATCTGGTAGAGATGACCCAGAATAAGTTAGATGCGGGTGTGAAACCGATTACTACCGACTTCTTGCAGGGTGACCTTGAACATATGTTTCTGAGCCATGCTTTCTTGCCTGCTAGGGTGGTTTTGACCATCAAATGAAGCTTTCGGTGCACGGCATTTCTCACCACTCTAGAAGGGAGTGGCCCCTCAATTAATTTTTTTTTTTTTAAATAGAGCCTCGCTCTGTCACCCAAGCTGCAGTGCAGTGACACAATCTATGCTCACTGCAACCTGTGCCTCCCAGGTTCAAGTGAGCCTTGTGCCTCAGCCTCCTGAGTAGCTGGGATTACAGGCACATGCCACCATGCCCAGCTAACTTTTGTATTTTTTTGTAGAGACGGGGTTTCACCATATTGGCCAGGCTGGTCTCCTGGCTTCAAGCGATCCATCCACCTCGGCCTCCCAAAGTGCTCGGGTTACAGGAGTGAACCACCGCGCCTGGCTGGTTATTGTTGTTGTTGTTTTAAACATATTTATTTATTTGTTTGTTTTAAGACGGAGTCTCGCACTGTCGCCCAGGCTGGAGTGCAGTGGCGCGATCTCCGCTCAGTTCAAGCTCCACCTCCCGGGTTCACGCCGTTCTCCTGCCTCAGCCTCCCGAGTAGCTGGGACTACAGGCGTCCATCACCACGCCTGGCTAATTTTTGGTATTTTTAGTAGAGACGGGGTTTCACCATGTTAGCCAGGATGGTCTCGCTCTCCTGACCTCGTGATCCGCCCTCCTTGGCCTCCCAAAGTGCTGGAATTACAGGCGTGAGCCACCGCGCCCGGCGGATATTGTTTTTACTACATTTACTACATTATACCCCAAGCAGTAGGCATGGGTTCTAGTACACAGCAGACAGCAGAATTATTATTAAAAAACAAAAACAAGGCCGGGCGCGGTGGCTCACGCCTGTAATCCCAGCACTTTGGGAGGCCGAGGCAGATGGATCACGCGGTCAGGAGATCGAGACCATCCTGGCTGACACGGTGAAACCCCGTCTCTACTAAAAATACAAAAATTTAGCCAGGCATGGTGGCAGGCGCCTGTAGTCCCAGCTACTCGGGAGGCTGAGACAGGAGACTGGCATGAACCCTGGAGGCGGAGCTTGCAGTGAGCCGAGATCGCGCCACTGCACTCCAGCCTGGGCGAAAATGCGAGACACCATCTCAAAAACAAACAAAAACAGGATCTAGCACAGTGCGTCCTGGTCCCTAGTAAACATTCAGTAATTCATAGTTATTCCATCCTATGTTTACCGGCACATTGTAGGTGATCAATAGATAATTGTTCAAGGAGTGATTCAGGTCTTAGGACTGAGATAAAGAGATGGACACGGCCGGGCGCGGAGACTCACTCCTGTAATCCCAGAACTACAAAAATTAGCCGGGCATAATGGCGCGCGCTTGTAGTCCCAGCTAGGCAGAAGATTTGCTTGAACCCGGGAGGCGGAGGTTGCAGTGAGCCAAGATCGCGTCATTGCACTCCCGCCTGGGCGACAGAGCGAGACTCTGTCTCACACACATACACAAAAAAAAAAAAAAAAAGAAAAGAAAAAAAGAAAGAGAAAGTGAATTCCGGAGGTTTTAGACTGGGTTTGGACTTCTCCGTGGCGCATGGACTTGGCTTTGGAGGAGTTGGCATTTCCCAGCTGGGGAGGTGAAAGGGTAAAGGGCTTCCAGGGGAAGGAACTGAGTTGAGGCGTTGTCCCGCTCCTGACGGCGTCTGACTCCCTGAGGGCGGGGTCTAGAGGGGCGGGGTCTTAGCCAGCTCCCTCCCTCCCCACCATGCAGGCGCCCGCTCCGGCCGGCACCATGGACAGCGAGGCATTCCAGAGCGCGCGGGACTTTCTGGACATGAACTTCCAGTGTAAGCTGGAGTAGGGGGCGGGGCTGGCGAGGCGGGGACCTCGGCAGCGGGCGAGGGGTGCTGAGGCCGGCCCCTGCCAGGAGGCCAGGTCCTTACCTCCACTCCCACCTTCCCAGCGCTGGCCATGAAACACATGGATCTGAAGCAGATGGAGCTGGACACGGCGGCGGCCAAGGTGGATGAACTGACCAAGCAGCTGGAGTCGCTGTGGTCAGACTCTCCCGCGCCTCCTGGCCCGCAGGCCGGACCCCCTTCTAGGGTAAGCCTGGTTCCCACCTTGATCTCCAAAGCCAGCCTCTCGCCACAGTCCAGACCAGAGGCCTGGATTTCAGGCAAAATTGCCCCATATAGTTATGCAGGTTGTGGGCTCTTCAAGGGAACTTGAAAAAAGGGGACCAGGCCAGGCGCGATGGCTCAGACCTGGAATCCCAGCACTTTGGAAGGCGAGGTGAGAGAATTGCTTGAGACTAAGAGTTTGAGACCAGCCTCTACAAATGATTTTTTAAAAATCTGGCTGGGCACGGTGGTTCACGCCTGTAATCTCAACACTTTCAGAGACAGGCGGATCACTTGAGGTCAGGAGTTTAAGACCAGCCTGGCTAACATGGTGAAACCCTGTCTCTACTAAAAATACAAAAGTTAGCCAGGTGTGGTGGTGCATACCTGTAATCCCAGCTACTTGGGAGGCTGAAGTGGGAGGATCACACTAAGCCAGGGAGGTTGAGGCTGCAATGAGCCGAGATAGAAAAGAAAGAAAGAAAGAAAGAAAGAAAGAAAGAAAGAAAGAAAGAGAGAGAGAGAAAGCAAGCAAGCAGGGAGGGAGGGAGGGAGGGAAGGAGAGAGAGAGAAAGGAAGGAAGGAGAGAGAGGAAAGAAAGAAAGAAAAGAAAGAGAGAGAAAGAAAGAAAGAAAGAAATAGAAAAGAGGGGACCAGTGGAAGTGGACATCTAAAGGGACCCTCAGAAGGAAAGAGGTGTTTACCTAAGTGGCATAAAGGTGACATAGAGTAATGGGCTAGCCACAGTGCTGATTCAGGGCTGTCTCCCCACCACTACTCACCTGGGCTCTCTGTGCCTGAATTTCCATGGCCGGTCAGCCTCCTCTGGGTTGACCTCCAGTGATCTCTCTTGACACCCCCGCCCACACACCAACCCTTCCACTAATGTCTCCTTTGATCCATCCCTCAATGCCCTGGCCTCCCCACAGCCGCCCCGGTACAGCTCCAGCTCGATCCCTGAGCCCTTCGGCAGCCGAGGGTCCCCCCGGAAGGCGGCCACCGACGGCGCAGACACCCCGTTCGGACGATCAGAGAGTGCCCCAACCCTACACCCCTACAGCCCGCTGTCCCCCAAGGGACGGCCGTCGTCGCCGCGCACCCCGCTCTACCTGCAGCCGGACGCCTACGGCAGCCTGGACCGCGCGACCTCGCCCCGGCCCCGCGCCTTCGATGGCGCAGGCAGCTCCCTCGGCCGTGCGCCCTCCCCGCGGCCCGGGCCAGGCCCGCTCCGCCAGCAGGGTCCCCCCACGCCTTTCGACTTCCTGGGCCGCGCAGGCTCCCCCCGCGGCAGCCCCCTGGCGGAGGGGCCCCAGGCCTTCTTCCCCGAGCGTGGGCCGTCACCGCGCCCCCCTGCCACAGCCTACGACGCGCCAGCGTCCGCCTTCGGGAGCTCCCTGCTAGGCTCCGGCGGCAGCGCATTCGCCCCGCCTCTGCGCGCGCAAGGTGAACCCAGGGGCCCCTCGCGGGGCCTTTGACTCGCGGGGTCAAAGCGGGCAGGATCCGGGGCTCGCCACCCCTCCCGTCTCATCCTCCCTGGAAACTTCTCCCCAGACGACCTGACGCTGCGCCGGCGGCCTCCGAAAGCCTGGAACGAGTCTGACCTGGACGTGGCGTACGAGAAGAAGCCTTCGCAGACAGCGAGCTATGAACGTGAGTGGTGGAGGCCCGGGGAATGGAGGACCCGGAGGAGAGGCAGCCCCACAGACCCTAATGATTCCCGCCCCGCAGGCCTGGACGTCTTCGCAAGGCCTGCCTCGCCGAGCCTGCAGCTGTTGCCTTGGAGGGAGAGCAGCCTGGATGGACTGGGGGGCACCGGCAAGGTGAGGAGGCGACGCCTGGGGAGGAGAGGCTGGGGAAGGTCGAGGAGTGGGGTGGGGGAGCGGGGTCAAGGCCAGTCTCCCCCTCGGGGCTGCGATCTGGGTCTCGGCGCCCGTTCCCACGCTCTCCCTTCACTGTGCTGGGTTTCTGCTCCTTCCTCACCCTTTCTTCTCCCTCACTCCCAGGGCTTCCCTCACCTCCTCTCCCTTCTCGTCTTTTGTCTTTACCTCCCCTCCACCTTCCCTCTCTCACCCGATCCCCTTCTCCCTTCCCTCTTCCCCAGGACAACCTCACTAGCGCCACCCTGCCGCGCAATTACAAGGTCTCTCCTCTGGCCAGCGACCGGCGTTCAGACGCGGGCAGCTACCGGCGCTCGCTGGGCTCCGCGGGGCCGTCGGGCACTTTGCCTCGCAGCTGGCAGCCCGTCAGCCGCATCCCCATGCCCCCCTCCAGCCCCCAGCCCCGCGGGGCCCCGCGCCAGCGTCCCATCCCCCTCAGCATGATCTTCAAGCTGCAGAACGCCTTCTGGGAGCACGGGGCCAGCCGCGCCATGCTCCCTGGGTCCCCCCTCTTCACCCGAGCACCCCCGCCTAAGCTGCAGCCCCAACCACAACCACAGCCCCAGCCACAATCACAACCACAGCCCCAGCTGCCCCCACAGCCCCAGACCCAACCCCAAACCCCTACCCCAGCCCCCCAGCATCCCCAACAGACATGGCCCCCTGTGAACGAAGGTGAGTCAGCAATGAGGGCCCTAGAGGACTGGGTGAAGGGAGGACAAATGGCAGGGGGACCAGACCAGCCCTGGGAGGTGGGGAGATCACAGCCAAATGCCTCTTTACAAGCACTGTCCCTGCAGAGAGCTAGGCCAGGTGAGTTTGGGAATTTGGGTAGGAGCCAGGGATAGCTCAAAGGTTAAGTGTGGACCCTGAAGCCAGACTGCCTGGTTCCACGCTGTGTGACCTTGGGCAAGTCACTTAACCTCACTGGGCCTCAATTTTCTTGAGTGTAAAAGGGAAATAATGGGCCGGGCACGGTGGCTCATGCCTGTAATCCCAGCACTTTGGGAGGCCGAGGCGGGCGGATCACAAAGTCAGAAGTTCGAGACCAGCCTGGCCAATATGAAACCCCATCTCTACTAAAAATACAAAAATTAGCCAGGCATGGTGGCGGGCGCCTGTAGTCCCAGCTACTTGGGAGGCTGAGGCAGGAGAATCACTTGGACCCGGGAGGTGGAGGTTGCAGTGAGCCGAGATTGCGCCACTGCAGTCCATCCTGGGTGACGGGGAGACTCTGCCTCAAAAAAAAAAAAAAAAAAAAAGGCAAATAATGATAGAATCGATCCTATTGACATATGTTATTAAATTCATATAAAGCCTTTAAAACAGCACCTGATGGGCCAGGTGCAGTTGCTCACACCTGTAATCCCAGCACTTTGGGAGGCCGAGGTGGGCAGATCACTTGAGGTCAGGAGTTCAAGACCAGCCTGGACAACATGATGAAATCCCATCTCTATCAAAAAAAAAAAAAAAAAAAAAAATTAGCTGGGCATGGTGGCTCACCACTGTAGTCCTAGCTACTCAGCTTGAGCCAAGGAGGCGGAGGTGGCAGTGAGCCAAGATCATGCCACTGCACTCCAGCACAGGTGACAGGGTGAGACTCTGTCTCAAAAATAAATAAATAAATAGGATCTGATACATAGTAAGCTATCAATAGCTACCATATTAGCCAGGCACCGTGGCTCACCCTTGTAATCCTAGCAGTTTGGTGGGCTAATGCAGACAGGATTGCTTGAGCTCTGGAGTTCAAGACCAGCCTGGGCAACATAGTGAAACTAAAATAGACTTTACTAAAAATAAAAGTACAAAAAATCTGCCGGGCATGGTAGTGGGCGCCTGTAGTCCCAGCTACTCAGGATGCTGAGGTGGGAGGATCATTTAAGCCTGGGAGATCCAGGCTGCAGTGAGCTGTGATAGCGCCACTGCACTCCAGCCTGGGTGACAGAGTGAGACCCAGTCTCAAATAAATAGCTACCATATTAGTTATAATAATTTATTAATATTTTGAGGTGTGAGATCAGTGAGTTAAGCAGATGGGCTGGAGTCTCTCTTCACTGCTAACTTGCTGTGTGACTGAAGATAAATTACTTGTCCGAAACTCTGTTTCCCGTCTGTGAAGAGAGATTAATAATATCTACCCTATAGAATTGTGACGGGGATTCAATGAAATAATGTGTATGTGTGTGTGTTTTGGGGTTTATTTATTTATTTATTTTTGAGACAGAGTTTCACTCTTTTTTTTTGAGACAGAGTCTCGCTCTTTCTTCCAGGTTGGAGTGCAGTGGTGCTTGCTCACTGCAAGCTCCGCCTCCCGGGTTCACGCCATTCTCCTGCCTCAGCCTCCCGAGTGGCTGGGACTACAGGCGCCCACCACCACCCCCAGCTAATTTTTGTATTTTTAGTAGAGACGGGGTTTCATCATGTTAGCCAGGATGGTCTCGATCTCCTGACCTCATGATCTGCCCACCTCGGCCTCCCAAAGTGCTGGGATTACAGGCGTGAACCACCGTGCCCAGCCAAGATGGAGTTTCACTCTTCTTGCCCAGGCTGGAATGCAGTGGTGAGGTTTCAGCTCACTGCATCCTACACCTCCCAGGTTCAAGCGATTCTCCTACCTCAGCTTCCCAAGTAGCTGGGGTTACAGGCATGCACCACCACACCCAACTAATTTTTTGTGTTTTTAGTAGAGATGAGGTTTTGCCATGTTGGCCAGGCTGGTCTCGAACCCCTGACCTCAGGTGATCCACCCACCTCAGCCTCCCAAAGTGCTGGGATTACAGGCATGAGCCACCATGCTCAGCCGTGTGTGTGTGTGTGTATTATTTATATGTATATGCATACTATATAAAAATATATATACACTATATATATAATGTGTGTGTGTGTTTGTGTGTGTGTGTGTATATATATATATTTTGAGATGAAATCTCACTCTTTTGCCCAGGCTGGAGTGCAGTGGTGCAGTGGTGCAATCTCGGCTCACTGCAACCTCCGCCTCCTGGGTTCAAGCGATTCCTGTGCCTCAGCCTTCCGAGTAGCTGGGATTACAGGCATGTGCCACCACGCCCAGCTAATTTTTTTTTTTTTTTTTTTTTTTTTGTATTTTTAGTAGAGACAGGGTTTTACCATGTTGGCCAGGCTGGTCTCAAACTCCTGATCTCAAGAGATCTGCCTGCCTCGGCCTCCCAAAGTTCTGGGATTACAGGTGTGAGCCACTCGACTCAGCCAATAATGCATATTTTTATTTCCACCTGCTTTACTGTCAGAATGAGTAAGACAGAGAAGAAATCATTAAACACCAGGATTCTACTTCCTGCTGGAGTTTTCTGCCTGAGATGTTAGGAGAGGAAACTCTCAGGATCTCAGAAAATCACATCTATCACGGTTGGTAGAAGTAGATTCTAGAGTCAGCCAGAACTGAGTTCAAGTCCCAACTGCATGGCTTTGGGCAACTGACTTGTCCTCTCTGAGGCCCAGATTCCCTTTCGGTAATGTGGAGATGGCAGTGTATCTACCTCACAAAGCAGTGGTGAGATTACAATAAGGTAGGCATGTAAAGCGCCAGGCACATACTAACTGCTCAATAAATGGGAGGCATCATAATTGTATATTATTCACAGCCCAAGGAAAGTGTAGCCCAGAGAGGGCAAGGAACTTCCCTGAGGTCACACAGAAAATCATGTGCTGGTTGTATGCCCTGGAAGTTGTGGAGAGGGAGTGTTGGGTGTCTCCTGGGGACCTGTCCTCTGATGGGCTCTTGTTCCGGCTAGGACCCCCCAAACCCCCCACCGAGCTGGAGCCTGAGCCGGAGATAGAGGGGCTGCTGACACCAGTGCTGGAGGCTGGCGATGTGGATGAAGGCCCTGTAGCAAGGCCTCTCAGCCCCACGAGGCTGCAGCCAGCACTGCCACCGGAGGCACAGTCGGTGCCCGAGCTGGAGGAGGTGGCACGGGTGTTGGCGGAAATTCCCCGGCCCCTCAAACGCAGGGGCTCCATGGAGCAGGCCCCTGCTGTGGCCCTGCCCCCTACCCACAAGAAACAGTACCAGCAGATCATCAGCCGCCTCTTCCATCGTCATGGGGGGCCAGGGCCCGGGGGGCCGGAGCCAGAGCTGTCCCCCATCACTGAGGGATCTGAGGCCAGGGCAGGGCCCCCTGCTCCTGCCCCACCAGCTCCCATTCCACCCCCGGCCCCGTCCCAGAGCAGCCCACCAGAGCAGCCGCAGAGCATGGTAAGTAATACAGGAGGAAACCGGGGTATGTTTGCTACATGAATCCAGGAGCTGTAGCAAAGAGCCCCCCAAATATAGTGGCTTAGATGAGATCGAAGTTTTCTCCTCTTTTGAGTAGAAGTCCAAGAGTTTGCAGCCCAGGACTGTAGGCACCTCACTGGAGTCAGGACCCAGGCTCTATCTACCTGGGGCTCTGCCATCCATCGGGGAGTAAGCCTGCCTTCATGGTCCTAGATGGCTGTCACCAAGTCTGCCCTCCAGCCAGGAAGAGAGAAAGAAGAAGAGAAAGTGCCCTTTCCTGTTTCAGGCAGAACCTGGGAGTTCCATACATCACTCTGCCTGCTCCCACTGGCCAGGAGCCTCATTGCAATGGGATGCTGGGAAATGTAGTCTTTAGGATAGCTGTGTGTGACTATATGGAGGGCCATCTGGGAGTCTTGGCCACATAGAGATGTTCTCTGCTCCTTCTCTCCAATAACCTGTGCCTGTGCCCTGCCCCGGGCATTCCTTCAGCAATCTCGAGTCATACACCTGGACATGACTGAGTCTTGGCACAACAGTGGGTTCATTCTGGGACTGAGAAGTCTTGCCTGAATCAAAGCAGTCACCCTCTCTTCTCTCCCTCTCTGTCTCTGTGTCTCTTGTGTCTGCTCTGCTCTCTCCTCTATTTTTTTTTTTTTTCCAGGCAGAGTCTTGCTCCATCACTCAGGCTGGAGTGCAGTGGCTTGACCTCGGCTCACTGCAACCTCCGCCTCCCAGGTTCAAGCCATCCTCCCGCTTTAGCTTCCCAAGTAGCTGGGATTATAAGTGTATGCCACCACTCCTGGCTAATTTTTGTATTTTTAGTAGAGATGAGGTTTCACCATGCTGGCCAGGCTGGTCTCAAACTCCTGACTTCAAATGATCCACCTGCCTCAGCCTCCCAAATTGCTGCAGTTAGAGGCATGAGCCACTGTTCCTGGCTTTGCTCTCTCCTCTTATAAAATAGTGAGTCTCGGCCGGGCGCGGTGGCTCACGCCTGTAATCCCAGCACTTTGGGAGGCCGAGGTGGGTGGATCATGAGGTCAGAGGTTCAAGTCCAGCCTGACCAACATGGTGAAACCCCCTGTCTACTAAAAAAATACAAAAATTAGCCCGGAGCGGTGGCGCGTGCCTGTAATTCTGTAGCAGGACGAGCCACAGACAAAACTCCTCAGACACCGGATTAAAGAAGGAAGAGGTTTTTATTCGGCCGGGAGCATCAGCGTCTTAAGAGCCGAGCTCCCCGAAAAAGAAATTCCTAGCACTTTTAAGGGCTTACAACGCTAAGGGGTCCACGTGAAAGGGCCACGATAGATCAAGTAAGCGTGAGGAACGTGACTGGGGGCTACAGACATCAGCTAACAGAACAAAACGTTTTACAGTGCTTTCTCATACAATGTCTGGAATTTACAGATAACACCAGTAGTTTTGGTCAGGGATTAATATTATTATTATTATTTTAACCACCAGGACCAGATGGTGGCGCCAAGGTCATCTAGCTATTTATCGTACTTCTGTTTTTTTCCAGCGTTTTGCTTTCTCCCTTTTTTTCCTGTCTTATAAACTAGGGAAAAGGGGAGGTGGGGGAGAAGCTGGGAAGGACAACAGGAGAAGTGGTGGTCTCATTCCAATCCCAGCTACTCAGGAGGCTGAGGCAAGAGAATCGCTTAAACCCGGAAGGCGGAGGTTGCAGTGAGCCAAGACTGCACCACTGCACTCCAGCCTGGGCGACAGAGCAAGACTCCATCTCTAAATAAATAAATAAATAGGCCGGGCGTGGTGGTTCATGCCTGTAATCCCAGCATTTTGGGAGGCCGAGGCGGGCGGATCACGAAGTCAGGAGATAAGACCATCCTGGCTAACACGGTGAAACCCCGTCTCTACTAAAAATACAAAAATTAGCTGGGGGTGGTGGCGGGCGCCTGTAGTCCCAGCTACTCTGGAGGCTGAGAGGAGAATGGCGTGAGCCCGGGAGGCGGAGCTTGTGGTGAGCTGAGATCGCGCCACTGCACTCCAGCCTGGGTGACAGAGCAAGATTCCGTCTCAAAAAAAATAAAAATAAAAATAAATAAATAAATAAATAAAAACAAGTGAGTCTCGGCTGGGTGCTGGACTCCACCTCCTGGGTTAAAGTGATTCTCCTGCGTCAGTCTCCCAAGTGGCTGGGATTACAGGCATATGCCACCACGCTTGGCTAATTTTTGTATTTTTAGTAGAGATGGGGTTTCACTGTGTTGGCTAGGCTGGTCTTGAACTCCTGACCTCAAGTGATCTGCCCGCCCTGGCCTCCCAAAGTGCTGGGATTACAGGTGTGAGCCACCACACCCCGCCAAGATTAAATACATTAATGTAGTGCTTAGCATAATACCTGGCACATAACTGTTAACTGCTCTTACTGTTGTCACCATTGGACCAGGGGATGGTCTCCTGCTGATCTTGGTCCCTGCATCTTGACTGGGAAGAGGGTTGTAGCCACATGGAACAGTCCTGAACACTCCGTGTGCGTAGACAGCGGGAAGAGATCACTTCTCAGAGAAGCAGGGGTCAGGTGGACCCCCCCAAAATGCCTATTCCTAGGCCCTCCTGAAAGTAAAGGCAAGGAACCTTGAGGCTCAGGATTTTGAAATCAAGAGGGGATGAATAACAACATGTTGAAATGGCTGAGCATCCCATTGTAGAATCACAGAGTCCTGGCCACAGAGAAACTTAAAAAATCATAGAATGTAAGAATCAAACGCTAGTGTCACCGTCTTAGGATAGTAACATTTTAGAGCCCTAGAGCATTTAAAGGTTTGAACACGATCTTAGAATTATAAAGTTAGGCTGGGCACGGTGGCTCATGCCTGTAATCCCAGCACCTTGGGAGGCCGAGGCGGGTGGATCACTTGAGGTCAGGAGTTCAAGACTAGCCTCGCCAACATGGTGAAACCCCGTCTCTGCTAAAAATACAAAAATTAGCTGGGCCTGGTGGTGCATGCCTGTAATCCCAGCTACTCGGGAGGCTCAGGCAGGAGAATTGCTTGAACCTAGGAGACAGAGGCTGCAGTGAGCCGAGATTGCGCCACTGCACTCCAGCCTGGGCAACAGAGAGAAACTCTGTCTCAAATAAAATAAAATAAAAGGAAACTCTTCTCTTAAAAAAAATAATTATAAAGTTAGTATCATAGACTGATTATTACTGATTCTTGAAGTCACCAAATCTGACAATTAAAGATGCTCATATTTTGAATTATAAAATCACAAATTCATGCACTGATATGTTGTAATAGAGGGTTATTATTATCGAGACAGAGTCTCACTCTGTTGCCCAGGCTGGAGTGCAGTGGCAAGATCATGGCTCACTGCAGCCTCCACCTACTGGGCTCAATTGATCCTCATGCCTCAGCCTCCCCTATGGCTGGGACTACAGGCATGCACCACCACTCCCAGATAATATTTAACATTTTCAGTAGAGACAGTTCTCATTATGTTGTCCAGGCTGGTCTCAAACCAGGCATGAGCCACTGTGCCCAGCTGAGATTTATACTTTAAATTTACACATTCCACTATAGAGAAATACACCAACACCATAGAGAGCTTGGGGAAAATAAATAAAAATAGAAGAAAGAGGACAAAATCACACCACTCACAGGGAACCATCATTAACATTTTGAATATTTCCTTCTAGTCTTTCTTTTTTTTTTCCTTTTTTGAGATGGAGTCTCACTCTGTCACCCAGGCTGGAGTGCGATGGTGCCATCTCAGCTCACTATAACTGTGCCTCCTGGGTTCAAGTGATTCTCATGCCACGGCCTCCTGAGTAGCTGGGATTACAGGCGTGCACCACCACGGCCACCTAATTTTTGTATTTTTAGTAGAGACAGGGTTTCACCACGTTGGCCAGGCTGGTCTTGAACTCCTGCCTGACCTCAGGTGATCCACTCTCCTCAGCCTCCCAAAGTGCTGAGATTACACACATGAGCCACCGCACCCAGCCATTTCCTTCTAGTCTTTTAAAATGAAATTCTAGGTCAGGCATGATGGCTCACACCTGTAATCCCAGCACTTTGGGAGGCCGAGGTGGGCGGATCACGAGGTCAGGAGAACAAGACCTTCCTGGCTAACACGGTGAAACCCCATCTTTACTAAAAATACAAAATAGCCAGGCGTGGTGGCGGGCGCCCGTAGTCCCAGCTACTTGGCAGGCTGAGGCAGGAGAATGGCCTGAACCCGGGAGGCGGAGCTTGCAGTGAGCTGAGATCGCACCACTGCACTCCAGCCTGGGCGACAGAGCGAGACTCTGTCTCAAAAAAACCAACAAAAAAAAGAAATTCTAACAGAAAAATATTAAAGTTCTCCATCATAGAATCTTTGGATTCCAAAGTCCTGGCCCCTCAGCAATTTGAAATAGCACAGCCTAGCATTTCTGCAATCACAACATATTGGAAACTTGAAATAACTGAGCATCTGGGAATTTTGAATTCAGTGGCTGTTGGGATCTCTGAATTCCAGAATCTTAAAATCACTGAAACTCTGGAAACAGCAAAGACCAGAATCACAAATGCTATGCACTCACACACTTGGAATAAATAAATGCATTTTTTTTTCTTTTGAGACTGGGTCTCACTCTGTTGCCCAGGCTAGAGTGCAGTGGCATGATCATGGCTCACTGAAGCCTCCTTCTCTTCCATTCAAGTAATCCTCCTGCCTCAGCCTCCCAAGTAGCTGGGACGACGGGTGTGCGCCACCATGTCAGGCTAATTTTTTATTTTTTGTAGAGACTGGGTCTCACTATATTGCCCAAGCTGTTCTCGAACTCCTGGGCTCAAGTGATCCTCCCACCTCAGCCTCCCAAAGTGCTAGGATTACAGACATGAGCCACCTCGCCCAGCCCAGAATAAATGAATCTTACAGGAGGAAAATTAAAAATAAGAAAGCCCATGAGGCTGGGCACAGTGGCTCACACCTGTAATCCTAGCACTTTGGGAGGCTGAGGTGGGTGGATCACCTGAGGTCAGGAGTTCGAGACCAGCCTGGACAACATGACAAAACCCTGTCTCTACTAAAAATATGAAAATTAGCCAGGCATAGTGGCGCATGCCTGTAATCCTAGCTACTCAGGAGGCTGAGGCAGGAGAATTGCTTGAACCTGGGGGATGGAGGGTGCAGTGAGCTGAGATCACACCACTGCACTGCACTCCAGCCTGGGTGACAGAGCGAGACTCCATCTCAAAAAAAAAAAAAAAAAGAGAAAAAGAAAAGGAAAATACAAGGAATAATAAAATGCTCAAATTCCAAACATCCGGAATGAACACTCCTGGTAACATTTTGTCATGTGTGTCTCATTGCATTCATTATTAACAAAAGAAATGTGAGACTGTGTGTGAATTGCATAACTGGCTTCCACAATCATTGTTTTGAACTGATAGAATTACTTTGCCACCAATCCCATGGCCCCCCAGCTTTCTCCCAAGTTTCAGGGCCCAAGATTCTCAAATCACAGGATTCCCTGTCTATGGCAGGGAACTGGAGGCTCTAGGAGGAGATCGAAGGCACCCCCTCACCCCATCCCGAGGGAATCCCAGTTCTACCCCTGTCTAGATGGGTGCCACAAGTCCCTGGACCTCTGTTTCCTACTCTAGATCATGGATATACTAACAATCCCTCCAAGTCGCTGACCTCTGCGCCCTGTCCCCCAGGAGATGCGCTCTGTGCTGCGGAAGGCGGGCTCCCCGCGCAAGGCCCGCCGCGCGCGCCTCAACCCTCTGGTGCTCCTCCTGGACGCGGCGCTGACCGGGGAGCTGGAGGTGGTGCAGCAGGCGGTGAAGGAGGTGAGCGCTGCTGAGCGGGAGGTGGGCACGGCGGGGGCATCGCAGATGCCAGCCGCGGGACTGAGTCTTCCCCCTCCCCCGGTGCACTCAGATGAACGACCCGAGCCAGCCCAACGAGGAGGGCATCACTGCCTTGCACAACGCCATCTGCGGCGCCAACTACTCTATCGTGGATTTCCTCATCACCGCGGGTGCCAATGTCAACTCCCCCGACAGCCACGGCTGGTGAGCCCCGACCCGCGCGGTGGGCTGGGTCCCCCGTGGGCGGACGCGCAGCCTCTCACGCATCGTTCCCCGCAACCCCCCACCCCCACGCCTAGGACACCCTTGCACTGCGCGGCGTCGTGCAACGACACAGTCATCTGCATGGCGCTGGTGCAGCACGGCGCTGCAATCTTCGCCACCACGCTCAGCGACGGCGCCACCGCCTTCGAGAAGTGCGACCCTTACCGCGAGGGTTATGCTGACTGCGCCACCTACCTGGCAGGTGCGAGGCAGGGCTGCTGGCGCCTGGGTACCTGGCGGGTGCGCAGGAGCGGGGAGGGGAGCAACTACCCCCTACTAGGGAGAGAAGGGTATGGGGGCTGTACCAACCACTTGGCAGGATTGCCGAGGAGGAGGATGAGGGATGGACCGCTTGCGGGGGTGGGGGGACTATGCCCTCCTAAGGGAAAAGGGGACATGGAGGCTGTGCTATGCGAGCTGGACACCTTTGGGGAGGAGAGTGGCTGTGAAGATTGGTCTGCTCACCTTTCACATCTTCAAGGGTGAGGAGCTGAACGTTTCAACCCTGCCATCTACCTGGCATAGGGCTCTGGGCAGGTGGGCTCTGCCACTTGTGGGAGAGGCATTGCCACACCACTGGCAGGTGAGCAGGCTACAGCTGCCAGAAAGGGGCTTGTAGGAAGACACAAGGCTGTACCCTATCTCTCCAGGGGGCAGGCTACATCACCTGGTTCCCCGACGGGCAGGGCGAAGTAGGCTGTGCCACGGGGATTGTGCACAGGGTCATTTCACACCTGGAGGAGCCAGTTGTATCTCGGTGTGGGCAAGGAACTTCACGGAGAGTTGGAGTGAGGCAGGTCCTAGGACTTATGGGTGAGACAGAGGGTTATATATTTGAAAGGTGAGCCTGGTCAGGCTACAAGACATTGTAGAGACCCCCTGTCTCTACAAATATTTATTTATTATTATTTTTGAGACAGAGTCTCACTGTCACCCAGGCTGGAGTGCAGTGGCTCAATCTCGGCTCACTGCAACCTCCACCTCCTGGATTCAAGCAATTCTCTGCCTCAGCCTCTTGAGTAGCTGGGACTACAGGTGCTCACCACCATGCCCGACTCATTTTTTTGTATTTTTAGTACAGAAGGGGTTTTGCAGTGTTGCCCAGGCTGGTCCCGAACTCTTGAGCTCAGGCAATCTGCCCACCTTGGCCTCCCAAAGTGCTAAGATTCAGGTGTGAGCCACCACACCTGACCTCTACGAAATATTTATTTATTTTTATTTATTTATTTTTTGAGACAGAGTCTTGCTCTGTCACCCAGGCTGGAGTGCAATGGCACCATAGCCCACTACAACCTCTGCCTCCTCGGTGAAAGCGATTCTCCTGCCTCAGGCTCCCGAGTAACTGGGATTACAGGCAAGGGCCCCACGGCCCGCTAACTTTTTTTTTTTTTTTTTTTGTATTTTTAGTAGAGACGGGGTTTTGCCATGTTGGCCAGGCTGGTCTCAAACCCCTGACCTCAGAGGATCCGCCTGCCTTGGCCTCCCAAAGTGCTGTGATTATAGGTGTGAGCCACTGTGCCCGGCCTACAAAATATTTAATAATAACATAAAGAATCAGGAGGAGGCTGAGGCAGGAGGATTGCTTGAATCTGGAAGTTCGAGGCTGCAGTAAGCTTGATCTCACCACTGCACTCCCGCAGCCTGGGTGGCAGAGTGAGACCTTGTCTGAAAAAAAAAAAGAAAAGAAAAGAAAAAGAAAGCCAGGCGCGGTGGCTCATGCCTGTAATCCTAGCACTTTGGGAGGCTCGAGGCGGGCGGATTGCATGAGCTCAGGATTTCCAAACCAGCCTGGGCAACACGGTGAAACCCCGTCTCTATTAAAAATATAAAACAATTTAGCCGGGTGTAGCGGCGTGGGCCTGTAGTCCCAGCTACTTTGGAGGCTGAGGCAGGAGAATTGCTGGAACCCAGGAGGCGGAGGTTGCAGTGAGCCGAAATCGCGCCACTGCACTCCAGCCTGGGCGACAGAGCAAGACTCCGTCTCCAAAAAGAAAAGAAAAGAAAAGAAAAGAAAGAGGCAGATGAGCCAACTTAAAGGACCCTATCATTCAAGGAAGGTGCGAATCTTCCTTAGAGACTGTACCACTTAAGCTAAGCGCCAGGGTAGGGCAAAAGACTGGACCTCTAGGGTTGACACGGGCATTCAGCAATGTACAAGAAGGAAATGAGGGCCGGGCCAGGTGGCTCACGCCTGTAATCCCAGCACTTTGGGAGGCCGAGGCGGGTGGATCACTTGAGGTCAGGAGTTTGATACCAGCCTGACCAACATGGTGAAACCCCGTCTCTACTAAAGATACAAAAATTGGCCAGGCATGGTGGCGCACACCTGTAATCCCAGCTACTTGGAAGGCTGAGGCAGGAGAATGGCTCGAACTCCGGAGGCGGAGGTTGCAGTGAGACCGCACCATTGCACTCCTGCCTGGGCGACAAGAGCGAAATTCCATCTCAAAAAAAAAAAAAAAAAAAAAAAGGCCGGGCGCGGTGGCTCACGCCTGTAATCCCAGCACTTTGGGAGGCCAATGTGGGCGGATCACAAGGTCAGGAGATCGAGACCATCCTGGCTAACACGGTGAAACCCTGACTCTACTAAAAATACCAAAAATTAGCCAGGCGTGGTGGCGGGCGCCTGTAGTCCCAGCTACTCGGGAGGCTGAGGCAGGAGAATGGTGTGAACCCGGGAGGCGGAGGTTGCAGTGAGCCGAGATCGTGCCACTGCACTCCAGCCTGGGCGACAGAGCGAGACTCTGTCTCAAAAAAAAAAAAAAAAGAAAGAAAAGAAATGGGAGCCTCTGACCCTGCCTCGGGAGTGGGTGGCCCACTGGCATGCCTCCCCCAGTTTCCTCGAACGCTCAAAGACGGCCAGTCCCGGCATCTGACTCCAGCTCCGGTTCCCATCCACAGCCATGGGCACACACAACATTTCAGGTGGTTGCTGGGACAGGCGCCAAATTCCAGGGTCTGTCCTGGACCCCACGTGGCCCCTGTTCCTGGACCCCCTGGGCCAGGCTCTCACCTTCCCCTCCGTGGCATGTTTCAGACGTCGAGCAGAGTATGGGGCTGATGAACAGCGGGGCAGTGTACGCTCTCTGGGACTACAGCGCCGAGTTCGGGGACGAGCTGTCCTTCCGCGAGGGCGAGTCGGTCACCGTGCTGCGGAGGGACGGGCCGGAGGAGACCGACTGGTGGTGGGCCGCGCTGCACGGCCAGGAGGGCTACGTGCCGCGGAACTACTTCGGGGTGAGCCCAGGGGAGAAGTCATGGGGACCTCCCGACAGTTGGGGGTTGGGGAAAAGGGGGATCCCACAGGAAAAAGAAGAGGCAACAGGAACAAACCGTTATATTGGGAGAGGGAGGTCTGAAAAGCTCATTATTGCTCATGGGGAGGAGACGAAAAGTCCGTTATATTTAATAGTAATGTCGGGGGTAAGGGTCCCTTATAGTTAGTGGAGTAGGTGAGGAAAAGCCCTTTATTTTATTTTTAAATTTCTATTATTTTTTTATTTTTATTTTTATTTTATTTATTTATTTCTGAAACGGAGTCTCGCTCTGTCGCCCAGGCTGGAGTGCAATGGCGCCATCTGTGCTCACTGCAACCTCGGGCCCCCCCCACCCGGGCTCAACCAGTTCTCCTGCCTGGGATTACAGGCGCCCACCACCACCACGCCCGGCTACTTTTTGTATTTTTAGTAGAGACGGGGTTTCACCATGTTGGCCAGGCTGGTTTTGATCTACTGACCTCAAATGATCCACCTGCCTTGGTCTCCCAAAGTGCTGGGATTACAGGCATGAGCCACCGCACCCGGCCAATTTGTATTTATTTATTTGAGATGGAGTCTTGCTTTGTCACCCAGACTGGAGTGCAGTGATAAGATGTGGGCTCACTGCAACCTCTGCCTCCCGGGCTCAAGTGATCCTCCCTCCTTGGCCTCCAGAGTAGCTGGGATGACAGGCGCATGCCACCACGCACGGCTAATTTTTTTTTTTTTTTTGTATTTTGTGTAGACAGGGTTTCATCACGTTGGCCAGGCTGGTCTTGAACTCCTGACCTCAGGTGACCTGCCCGCCTCAGCCTCCCAAAGTCCTGGGATTACAGGCATGTGCCACCGCACCTGGCTGGAAGCGCCCTTTATAAAGCTGTCAGGATGTAGGGTGCTCGCCAGTACTGCCTTACTAGTTATTTGATTGGTTTCTGCTCAATCCAATGTTTTTATTATCATCCCTGGTTGTATTGGTGGAGAGGTTAAAGAATAATCCATTTTAGCCAAGGGAAGCGACAAAGAAGAATCTCATTTTAATGATGGTGGGTGGGTTACAGAATTGTAGATTAAGGCTGGGAGAGGGCAAAAGACTGGACCTCTAGGGCTGACACAGGGATTCAGCAATGTACAAGAAGGAAGTGGAGGGCCCGGCCAGGTGGCTCACACCTGTAATCCCAGCACTTTGGGAGGCCAAGGCGGGCGGATCTCCTGAGGTCAGGAGTTCTAGACCAGCCTGGCCAACATGGTGAAACTCCATCTCTACTAAAAATACAAAAAAAAAAAGTTAGCCGGGTGTGGTGGCGGGTGCCTGTAATCCCAGCTCATCAGGAGGCTGACACAGGAGAATCGCTTAAGCCTGGGAGATTGATCCTGCAGTGAGCCCTGATGGTGCCACTGCACTCCAGCCTGGGTGACAATAAAAATATATGTTATATATAAATATATAATATATAAATATATAATATATATTTATATATAATATAACAGATGGAGAGGAAGCTTTCATTACACTGCATTGGGCAGAATGAGGAAAAATCCATTAATAAAATTACAGTGTAACTGAGGAAAATTCTCTATTAGGGTTAGGGGAGAAGGCAAGGAAGATTCCGTTACATTCCTGAGAAGGGAGATTTTTTTATTTTGGTTTTTTTTTTCTGTGTGTGTGTGTGTGTGTGTTTTGTTTTTGGAGACACAGCTTCAGCTGCGTCGCCCAGGCTGGAGTGCAGTGGCGCGATCTTGGCTCACTGCAGCCTCCACCTCCCGGATTCAAGTGATTCTCCTGCCTCAGCCTCCCAAGTAGCTGGGATTACGGGCATGCACCACCACGCCCAGCTAATTTTTTGTGTTTTTAGTAGAGACAGGGTCTCGTCATGTTGACCAGGCTTGTCTTGAACTCCTGAGCTCAGGTCATCCACCCACCTCGGCCTCCCAAACTGCTGGGATTATAGGTGTGACCCACTGCTCCCGGCCCTGAGAGAGGAGATTTTTTAAATATGGAGGTGGGACCCAAAAAGACAACCAAGGTGTTAGAGAGAGGTGGGCTTCTCCTTATGGCAGTTAGGAGACACTGGAAATATTCCATTTCATCAGTGGAGGCTCTGATTGGAAGGTTCCATCTGGTTCTTGGAGGTGACACAGAACTTGGATTCTGGAGCAGTTTGGGAGGTGCTGAGAGGTCCCCTTAGGAAGGGGTGGGAGGATAGAGACAGGCAGCGGATTTGCATGTGGGATGAGGAGGTGGGAGCTCCTGATGTCTGAAGATCCTGTCTCTCCCCAGCTGTTCCCCAGGGTGAAGCCTCAAAGGAGTAAAGTCTAGCAGGATAGAAGGAGGTTTCTGAGGCTGACAGAAACAAGCATTCCTGCCTTCCCTCCAGACCTCTCCCTCTGTTTTTTGCTGCCTTTATCTGCACCCCTCACCCTGCTGGTGGTGGTCCTTGCCACCGGTTCTCTGTTCTCCTGGAAGTCCAGGGAAGAAGGAGGGCCCCAGCCTTAAATTTAGTAATCTGCCTTAGCCTTGGGAGGTCTGGGAAGGGCTGGAAATCACTGGGGACAGGAAACCACTTCCTTTTGCCAAATCAGATCCCGTCCAAAGTGCCTCCCATGCCTACCACCATCATCACATCCCCCAGCAAGCCAGCCACCTGCCCAGCCGGGCCTGGGATGGGCCACCACACCACTGGATATTCCTGGGAGTCACTGCTGACACCATCTCTCCCAGCAGTCTTGGGGTCTGGGTGGGAAACATTGGTCTCTACCAGGATCCCTGCCCCACCTCTCCCCAATTAAGTGCCTTCACACAGCACTGGTTTAATGTTTATAAACAAAATAGAGAAACTTTCCTTATAAATAAAAGTAGTTTGCACAGAAATTGACTTTCTTCTCTTTTGATTCTGTTTTGACTCAATACATGCTCATCATTGTGGTTATGATTTTTGGCAAGGCAGTCTGAAAGTAGCCCTTTCTTCTTCTTCTTCTTTTTTTTTTTTTTTTTTTGATCTCACTCTAGTGCCCAGGCTGGGGCACGATAGCGCAATCTCAGCTCACTGCAACCTCTGCCTCCTGAGTTCAAGCGATTCTCCTGCCTCAGCCTCCCGAGTAGCTGGGATTACAGGCATCTGCCACCCCACCTGGCTAATTTTTGTATTTTCAGTAGAGACGGGGTTTCACCATGTTGGCCAGGCTGGTCTTGAACTCTTGACCTCAGGTGATCCACACACCTCGGCCTTCCAAAGTGCTGGGATTACAGGCCATTAGCCACCATGGCCAGCCTGAAAGTAGCCCTTTCTAAGGGATTCTTTTCACACAAGTCCAATCCTTTATTTTATATTTCGGATTCTTCTTTTGTGTCCTTTAGTTTCAAGTACATGCCTGATAATTCTATCACCTGAAGTTTGGAGGCAGCTAATCCTATAGTTTGTTGTGTCTGCTGGTTCTCACTCATGGTGGGCTGTTTCCTTGGGTGTTGAAATTGTAGGTTGAGAGGCCAGGCGCGGTGGCTCACGCCTGTAATTTCAGCACTTTGGGAGGTCAAGGCGGGTGGATCACTGGAGGCCAGGAGTTTAAGACCAGCCTGGCCAACATGGTGAAACCTCATCTCTACTAAAAAGCACAAAAATTAGCCTGGTGTGGTGGTAGGTGCCTGTAGTTCCAGCTACTTGGGAGGCTGAGGCAGGAGAATCTGTTAAACCCGGGAGGCGGAAGTTGTGGTGAGCCAAGATTGCACCATTGTACTCCAGCCTGGGCTACAAGAGCAAAATTCCCTCTCAAACAAACAAACAAAAATCTCTGCCAGCTTGGACAACATAGGGAGACCCTGTGTCGATCAAAAATAAAAAAATTAAGCCAGGTGTGTGGCTCACGCTTGTAATCCCAGCAATTTGGGAGGCTGAGGCAGATGGATCACCTGAGGTCAGGAGTTTGAGACCAGTCTGACCAATATGGTGAAACCTGGTGTCTACTAAAAATACAAAAATTAGCCCGCCGTGGTGGTGTGCACCTGTAGTCCCAGCTACTTGGGAGGCTGAGAAAGGAGAATCGCTTGAACCCGGGAGATGGAGGTTGCAGTAAACCGAGATCACGCTACTGCACTCCAGCCTGGGTGACAGAGCAAGACTCTGTCTGAAAAAAAAAAAAGAAAAAAAAAATTGCCGGGCGTGGTGCCTCACGCCTGTAATCCCAGCACTTTGGGAGGCCAAGGCAGGTGGATCACCTGAGGTCAGGAGTTCGAGACCAGCCTGACCAATATGATGAAACCCCGTCTCTACTAAAAATACAAAAATTAGCTGGGCGTGATGGCATGTACCTGTAATCCCAGCTACTCAGGAAGCTGAGACAGGAGAATCACTGGAATCCAGGAGGCAGAGGTTGCAGTGAGCTGAGATAGCACCATTGCACTCCAGCCCGGGCAACAAGAGCGAAACTCCGTCACAAAAATATAATAAATAAATAAATAATTAGCTGAGCGTGGTAATGTACACCTGAGGTCCCAGCTACTCAGGAAGCCAAGGTGGAAGGATCGCTTGAGCTCAGGAGGTAGAAGCTGCAGTAAGCTGTGATCACGCCACTGCATTCCAGCCTCTGCCACAGAATAGACTTTGTCTCAAAATAATTTTTATTTATTTTATTATTTTTATTTTTTTATTTTATTTTTATTTTTATTTATTATTTATTATTATTTTTTTTTTTTTGCGACGGAGTCTCGCTGTTTCGCCCAGGCCGGACTGCATTGGCACTATCTCGGCTCACTGCAAGCTCCGCCTCCTGGGTTCATGCCATTCTCCTGCCTCAGCCTCCCGAGTAGCTGGGGCTACAGGCTCCCGCCATGGCGTCCGGCTAATTTTTTGTATTTTTAGTAGAGATGGAGTTTCACTGTGTTAGCCAAGATGGTCTTGATCTCCTGACGTCATGATCCGCCTGCCTCGGCCTCCCAAAGTGCTGGGATTACAGGCGTGAGCCGCCGCGCCTGGCCTCAAAATAATTTTTAAAAATGAAAAATAAATAAAGACCAGGAGCCATAGCTCACGCCTGTAATCCCAACACTTTGGGAGGCCCAGGCAGGTGGATCATGAGGTCAGGAGTTCAAGACCAGCCTGGCCAAGATGGTGAAACCCCATCTCTACTAAAAATACAAAAAATTAGCCGGGCGTGGTGGTGGGCGTCTGTAATCTCAGCTACTCAGGAGGCTGAGGCAGGAGAATTGCTTGAACCCAGGAGGTGGAGGTTGCAGTGAGCTGAGATCGCGCCACTGCACTCCATCCTGGGTGACAGAGCGAGACTCCGTCTCAAAAAAAAAGAAAAAGAAAAATAATAAATAAAACCAAACCTCTGCACTCCGTGATTCATCATGAGAGAGATAATGATTCAAATGAAATATATTGCTATGATGACTGTTTCCAAATTGCTAACATAGTTTATGACCAATTTTTGGTTTGTCAAATTCATAATCTGTGAATGTGACCTTATATGGTAAAAGGGAGGTTGCAGTTGTGCTGACCTTGAGGATCTGAAAATGAGACAATAATCCTGGAGTATCTGAGTGAGCCCTAAACCTGGTCTCCAGTGTTCTTTTTTTTTTTTTTTTTTTGAGATGGAGTCTTGCATTGTCACCCAGGCTGGAGTGCAGTGGCACGATCTCGTCTCACTGCAACCTCTGCCTCCCAGGTTCAAGCGATTCTCCTGCCTCAGCCTCTCAAGTAGCTGGGATTACAGGCACCTGCCACCATGCCCGGCTACTTTTTTGTATTTTTTTAGTAGAGACGGGGTTTCACTGTGTTGGCCAGGCTGGTCTCGAACTCCTGACCTTGTGATCCGCCTGCCTCGGTCTCCCAAAGTGCTGGGATTACAGGCGTCAGCCACCATGCCTGGCTCCAATGTTCTTATAAGAGGAAGATTGGATAGGAAGACAGAGACAGGCCATGTGACACTTGAGCCAGAGGCTAGCTGCCAGCTTTGAAGGTTAGGGAAGGGGTTCCGAGCCAAGGAATGCAAGGTATGCAAAGAATTTGGCTCTAGAAACTGAAAAAGACAAGGAAATGATTCTCCCGTGGAGCCTCCCTGGAGATCATAGTGCAACCTAGCAGGAAGGGCCCTCCCACTACCCGCAAACCCCACTTTAGTTTTTTTTTCCTCTAGTGATCGCCATTTTTTTTTTTTTTTTGAGATGAGTCTCACTCATGGTTCACTGCAACCTCAACGTCCCAGGCTTAAATGATCCTCCCGCCTCAGCCTCCCAAGTAGCTGGGACTATAGGCACCACATCCCACTAATCTCTCTCTTTTTTTTTTTTTAATTTTCCGTAGAGACAGGATCTCACCGTGTTGCCGAGGCTGGCCTTGAATTCCTGGGCTCAAGTGATCCTCCTGCCTTGGCCTCCCAAAGTGCTGGGAATATAGACATGATTCACTGCACCCAACCAACATTGGATTGATATTCTCTTAAATTCTCCAACTTTTTCTCCCATTAAGGGACATAGTGCTGTTTATTAGATGGGTAATATCATAGATAATTCGACTTGGACCATGGAGTTCATTCAAATTGTGTATCTTGACAATTTTAGTATTGGCTGATGTAACATGACAATCTAGGAGAGTATTTCCTTGGTATTTAATTCATGTTCTGCTTGGTTTAGCAATTTTATAAACCAGCCTAGGCCTTGCACAGTGGCTCATGCCTGTAATCCCAGCGCTTTGGGAGGCCAAGGCAGGTGGATCACCTGAGGTCAGGAGTTCGAGACCAGCCTGGCCAACATGGTGAAACCCCGTCTCTACTAAAAATAAAAAAATAAAAAAAAAAATAGCCGAGCATGGTGGTGGGTGCCTGTAATCCCAGCTCCTGGGGAGGCTGAGGCAGGAGAATCACTTGAAACCGGGAGGCGGAGGTTGTGGTGAGCCAAGATCGTGCCACTGCAATCCAGCTTGGGCAACAAGAGTGAAAATCCATCTCAAAAATAATAAAATAAAATAAAATAAAATATAAACCAGTCAGTTTCTTCATTAGAGTTCTGGAAATTCTTACCCAGTCCAAACAATATGATCCTAAAATTTATCAGAAACCTATACTCAGGCTGGGTACAGTGGCTCACGCTGGTAATCCCAGCACTTTGGGAGGCCATGGCGGGCAGATCCCTTAAGCCCAGGAGTTCAAGACCAGCCTGGGCAACGTGGCGGAACCATGTCTCTACTAAAAATACAAAAAATTAGCTAGGCACGGTGGTGCACACCTACAGTCCCAGCTACTCAGGAGGCTGAGGTGGCAGGATCACTTAAGCCTGGGAAGTTGAGGCTGCACTGAGCCATGTTCTCACCACTGCACTTCAGCTGGAGCAACAGAAGTGAGACCCTGTCTCAAAAAAAAAAAAAAAAAAAAAAGAGAGAGAAAAGAAACTTTTATGCAACAGTGCTTGTCAGGGTCCTTCCATCCTTTCTCTCTTTCTCCCTTTCTCTCTCTCTCTCTGTCTCTTTCTCTCTTTCTCTCTTTCCTTCTTTCTTCCTTTCTGAGACGGAGTCTGTTGCCCAGGATGGAGAGCAATGGCGCGATCTTGGCTTACTGCAACCTCTACCTCCCAGGTTCAAGCCATTCTCCAGCCTCAGCCTCCCAAGTAGCTGGGACTACAGACATGTGTCACCACGCCCGGCTAATTTTTGTATTTTTAGTAGAGATGAGGTTTCACCATGTTGGCCAGGCTGGTCTCCAACTCCTGACCTCAAGTGATCCGCCCGCCTCGGCCTCACAAAGTGCTGGGATTATAGGCGTGAGCCATCACTCCTGCCATGGAGCTGACTTTTGTTTTTTTCGAGACAGAGTTTCACTCTTGTTGCCCAGGCTGGAGTGCAATGGCGCGATCTCGGCTCAGCGTTAACCTCTGCCTCCCAGGTTCAAGCGATTCTCCTGCTTCAGCCTTCTGAGTAGTTGGGATTACAGGCATGCGACACCACACCCAGCTAATTTTTGCATTTTTAATAGAGATGAGGTTTCACCGTGTTGGTCAGGCTGGTCTGGAACTCCTGACCTCACATGATCCACCTGTTCCAGCCTCCCAAAGTGCTGGGATTACAGGCGTGAGCCCCCGCGCCCAGCCAGGAGCTTTCTAAACAAAATAAATAAGTAAAATATTCAGCATGTCACATGGTTAAATGAGCTCTCAAGAACAATAAAGCAGGGAAAGGGGATATAGTGTGTGTGTGTGTGTGTGTGTGCGTGCGTGCGTGTGTGTGTGTGCGTGCGTGCGTGCGTGTGTGTGTGTGTCTAGGAGGTAGATTTAATTTGGTGGTCAGGAAGCCCTCATTGAGAAGGAGACTTTTTTTTTTTTGAGACAGAGTCTTGCTTTGTCACCCAGGCTGGAGTACAGTGGCATGATCTTGGCTCACTGCAGCCTCTGCCTCCCGGGTTCCAGCAATTCTCCTGCCTCAGCCTCCCGGGTAGCTAGGATTACTGGTATGTGCTACCATGCTTTGCCAATTTTTGTATTTTTAGTAGAGACGGGATTTCACCATCTTGGCCAGGCTGGTCTCGAACTCCTGATCTCAGGTGATCTGCCCACCTCAGCCTCCCAAAGTGGTAGGATTACAGGTGTGAGCCACCATGCCGGGCCGAGAAGTTGACAATTGAGCAAAGAGCTGAGGGAGGTGAGTGTGTCAGCCACATGGCTATCAGGGGAAACAGCATTCCAGGCAGACAAAATAGCTGGTGCAAAGGCCCTGAGATGGGATGTGCTTGTTATGTTTTAGAGACAGCAAGGAGACCAGCATAGCTGAAACAAAATGAGCTGGGGGAGAGAGAGGAGGAGATCAGAGCAGTAAGGTGGGTTGGTATGGGGATGATGAGCAGTAAGCTAGTTACAGAGGACTCTGTAGGTGACAGTAAAGATTTTGGATCTGGGCTGGATGCAGAGGCTCACGCTTGTAATCCCAGTACTTTGGGAGGCTGAGGGAACAGGATGGCTTGAGCCCAATACCAGCCTGGGCAACATAGCGAGACCCTGTCAATAACAAAATATATTTTCTTCCTGTAGGAGATAGAAAAGTAAACATAAAAAAATTTATGTAAATAAATTAAGCCGGGCACAGTGGCTCACGTCTGTAATCCCACCACTTTGGGAGGCTGAGGTGGGAGAATTGCTTGAGCTCAGGAGTTCAACCAGCCTGGACAACATAGTGAGATACCCTCGTCTCTACAAAAAATTAAAAAAAATTAACCAGGCGTGGTGTCGTGTACCCGCAGTCCCAGCTACTCAGGAGGCTGAGGTGGGAGGATCACTTGAGCCCTGGAGGTCAAGGTGGCAATGAGCCAAATTCACACCACCATACTCCAGGCTGGGACAGAGCAAGACTCTGTCTCCAAAAATACAGCCGGGAAGGGTGGCTCACACCTGTAATCCCAGCACTTTGGGAGGCTGAAGTGGGTGGATCTTTTGAGGTCAGGAGTTTGAGGCCAGCCTGGCCAACATAGTGAAACCCCGTTTCTACTAAAAGTATAAAAATTAGCTGGGCAGTAGTGGTGCGCACCTGTAATCCCAGCTACTAGGGAGGCTGAGGCCAGAGAATTGCTTGAGCCTGGGTGGCAGAGGTTGCGGTGCGCTGAGATTGTGCCACTGTACTCCAGTCTGGGCGAAAGAGTGAGACCTTGTCTCAAAAATAAATAAATTAAGAATTAATTAATTTAAAAAAGAGATTTCGATCTGCCCCTGCCTTCCCCTCCAGCTGCCCTTTCTCTGCTCCCTGTGCTCAACTCAGAGCTCCACCCCCACAGGCTTCCTTTCAGCACTCACAGGCCTCAGCTTTCTTCTGGCCTAGAGCTTTTGTGTATGATGGTCTCTCTCCCTGGAACACCTTTCTCACTTCTCTCATCCATCCCCTCTTGCTGGTTGATCTCTTCTAATTATTTTCTGGCTCTACTCAAACCTCGCTTCTTCCACGAAGCCTTCTCTGATCACTTGGCCAACACTCACACCCCACAGTTGACAGTAGACATCCTGTCATAATAAGTCTTTTTTTTTTTTCTTTTTCTGGGACGGAGTCTTGCTCTGTCACGCAGGCTGGAGTGCAGTGGCGTGATCTTGGCTCACTTCTGCCTCCTGGGTTCAAGCAATTCTCCTGCTTTAGCCTCCCGAGTAGATGGGATTACAGATGCATGCCACTATGCCTGGCTTTTTTTTTTTTTTTTTTTTTTTTAGTAGAGATAGGGTTTCACCATGTTGACCAGGCTGGTCTTGAACTCCTGACCTCGTGATCCATCTGCCTTGGCCTCCCAAAGTGCTGGGATTACAGGCATGAGCCACTGCACCCAGCCCATAATCAATCTTTATGGTGACTTGAAGTTTTCCTTCACAGCACTTTTGTACTTGTGATTATACACGTGCGCACACACACACACACACACACACACACACACATTTGAGATAGGTTTTCACTCCTGTTGCCCAGGCTGGAGTGCAGTGGCACAATCACTGCCCATTGCAACCTCTGCCTCCCAGGCCCAGGTGATTCTCCCACCTCAGCCTCCTGAGTATCTGGGACTACAGGTGCACGCCACCACGCCCAGCTAATTTTTGCATTTTTTGTAGAGACGGGTTTTCACCATGTTGCCCAGGCTGGTCTCTAGCTCCTGAGCTCAAGCAATGTACTCGCCTTGGCCTTCCAAAGTGTTGGAACCACAGGCACGAGCCACCACTCCAGGCTGTAATCATATATTCATTTGTATATTTAATATCTGTTCTTTGAGGCCAGGCCTGGTGCCTCACCCCTGTAATCCCAACAATTTGAAAGGCTGAGGGGAGAGGATCACTTGAACCTGCGAGTTTAACCAGCCTGGGCAACGTGGTGAGACCTCGTCTCTAAAAAAATTTAAAAAATAAAACTTAGCTGGGCTTGGTGGTGCACACCTGTGGTCCCAGCTACTCTGGAAGCTGAGGTGGGAGGATCGCTTGAGCCCAAGAGGTGGAGGCTGCAGTGAGCTGTGACTGTGCCACTGCACTCCAGCCTTGGCGACAGAGAAAGACCCTGTCTCAAGGAAAAAAATCTGTTCTTTGAGGGCAGGTGCTGAGGCTGTCATGGTCACCTTTCTGTTCCCAGGGGCCAGCACAGGATCAGACACATGGTAGATGCCACATAGCTATTTGTTGAAGAAACAAACAAAAGCTAGCATTTATGTTTTATTTATTAGTTATTATTATTAATATTTGAAATGGAGTTTCGCTTTTGTTGCCCAGGCTAGAGTGCGACGGCGCCATCTCTGCTCACTGCAACCTCTGCCTCCCAGGTTCAAGCAATTCTCCTGCTTCAGCCTCCCGAGTAGCTGGGATTACAAGCATTTGCCAGCACGCCCGGCTAATTTTGTATCTTTAGTAGAGACAGGTTTTCTCCATGTTGGTCAGGCTGGTCTTGAACTCCCGACCTCAGGTGATCCACCTGCCTCAGCCTCCCAAAGTGCTGGGATTACAGGCTTGAGCCACCGCGCCCGGCCTGCAAAGCCATTTCTAACTCTTGGGCCCAGAAAGGATCACCAATTTCCCTGTCATTCTCCGTTAGACTATTCGCTACTGAGACGATTTTTTTTTTTTTTTGAGACGAGGTGGAGGGGCGGGGGTTCTCGCTATCTTGCTCAAGCTGATCTCGAACTCCTGGGTTCGATCAATACTCAGACAATCTTGGCAGGCGCAGGAGGACCAAATTCTAGTGAATGAGATCGAGTCTCTCGGCTCTTTCCCTTCCATGTTTTCTTTTTGATTGGCCCTCGACGATCCTCAGTGACGCCTCCCGCACCGCCTCACCCGAGAGTCAGCCGCCCTCGCTTTTCCGTGCGCACGCGCAGTATCCCGATTGGCTCTGCCCTAGCGGATTGACGGGCAGGTTAGCCAATGGTCTCGTAATATAGGTGGAGCGAGCCCTCGAGGATGTCCACGACCCGGCCTCTCGCTGAATATTCATGAGGGAGGCGGGTCGACCCCGCTGCACAGTCCGGCCGGCGCCATGAAGTGAGAAGGGGGCTGGGGGTCGCGCTCGCTAGCGGGCGCGGGGGGTCTTGAAGATGGGGTCATCGGTGGGCGCGCCTGGGTCCCCAAGGGGGCGAGGGGAGGGTGAAGGGGTGGGACGGGGGCAGCCGCAGGGAGCAGCAGTGATAGCGAGGAGACACTGAGGGGGCCCCGAGGCTCCTGAGGACCTGAGGGTTACCGGGGGCGCCGGGCCCGTCACCCTTCTCTGGGCTCGACGACCGGGCACTGTGGAGGCGGGAGAGGGGCTGAGGGGACGGGAACTGACCCAGCAGCCCCTGCCGCCAGGCTCAACGTGGACGGGCTCCTGGTCTACTTCCCGTACGACTACATCTACCCCGAGCAGTTCTCCTACATGCGGGAGCTCAAACGCACGCTGGACGCCAAGGTGGGTGGCCGGTGGGCCCGACCCGCCCACTCGACCGGTGGGGCTGCCACGCCTGGGCCTAAGACAGATTGCAGGACGTCTGGATTTTAGAAGTCCGAGGTCCCTGGGAATCCAGGACCCCATAATCTTCCGTTATCTAAAACAATAATGGTGAATAGGCTGGGCGCGGTGGCTCGCGCCTGTAATCCCAGAGCTTTGGGAGGACGAGGCGGGCGGATCACTTGAGGTCAGGAGTTGGAGACCAGCCTGGCCAACACGGTGAAACCCCGTCTGTACTAAAAATACAAAAATTAGCCAGGTGTGGTGGCGGGCGCCTGTAATCCCACCTACTCGGGAGGCTGAGGCAGGAGGATCGCTTGAGGCCAGGAGTTGGAGGCTGCAGTGAGCCATGATTGTGCCACTGCATTCCAGCCTGGGCAATAGTGACACTTGTCTCTTAAAAAAGAAGGGAGAAAAGTTCACTATATATCAGCTACTGTGCCAAATATTTAACCTGCAATTTCTCACAATCCTCATAGTCATGTTATGAGGAAGGTTTTATTATTAGGCCCATTTTATTTTATTTATTTATTTTTGAGATTGAATTACAGGTGCGCGCCACCACATCTGGCTAATTTTTTGTATTTTTAGTAGAGACGGGGTTTCACCTTGTTGGCCCAGCTGGTCTTGAACTTCTGACCTCAGGTGGTTCACCTGCCTCAGCCTCCCAAAGTGCTGGGATTACAGGTGTGAGCCACCACGCCTGGCTTTAGGCTCATTTTAGAGATAGGGATACTGAGGTCTGGGGAGGTGAAGGTACTTGCCTAAGACCACTCAACAAGGAGGAGGCAGAAGTGAGGTTCAAACCCACTGCCCAATCTTAACTGCTGCTGTGTTATCCTGCTGTTCTGAGTTGGTGGCATTGGGGGTCGGGGAGAGTCCCCAGAGTTTGTGTGCCCAAGGTTCTGAGACCCTGTGTGTTGCCCCTCTGGTCCCCAACATGCAGGGTCATGGAGTCCTGGAGATGCCCTCAGGCACCGGGAAGACAGTATCCCTGTTGGCCCTGATCATGGCATACCAGAGAGTGAGTGATGCGCTGAACCCGTAAAGGCAGACAAAGGAAGGGGCGGGACAGGGACTGAGTCCGCTTGTTATCGGCAGGCATATCCGCTGGAGGTGACCAAACTCATCTACTGCTCAAGAACTGTGCCAGAGATTGAGAAGGTAAGCTGGGACTCATCCTGGTGCTCCAGCCCCACTGTTCCCTAGGCCCTATTGGTCCCCCTGGCGGTGGCCGTCACCAGCTTTCGGGGGTGTTTGGGAAGCTGGGGAAGAGACTGGGACCTGGCAGGGCAGGGGTTTGTGCCTCCAATGAGCACAAGCTCCCCCTGCCCCCCAACTTTGGAGTAGGTGATTGAAGAGCTTCGAAAGTTGCTCAACTTCTATGAGAAGCAGGAGGGCGAGAAGCTGCCGTTTCTGGGACTGGCTCTGAGCTCCCGCAAAAACTTGTGTATTCACCCTGAGGTGAGCACCTGTTCCTTCTCCTTGCCCTTAGCCCAGAGGTAGAGAAAACTCTTTCGTCCAACCACAAGTCCTGGATCCCCAGGCCATATCTCTTGCAAAGGCATGCAGTGGCTACACACAGAATTCCCGTCTCAGTGGTCAAATTCTCATTCATCGTGGCCCAGGCAAGCACACTTCCTCCAGGGAGTCTTCAAATTCTACCCAGGCCTAGGAGAGGTTAAAAAGGCAGCTCTTAGAGTCTCTGGCAAGCCTGGTTTCCTGGCTCTGAAACTTACTAGCCCAGTATTTATGGAGAGGCATTTTCTGCCACCTGGGCCTCAGTCTTCCTTTCTGTAAAATGGGGATAATTATGTACCTGCTTCATAAGGTTGCTGATGATAAAATTGGGTGAAATGTTGCAGCCGATGCCCTTAGCATGTACAAAGAGCTAAAAGAATGTTAGAAATTCTCATGATAGGCCAGGTGCAGTGGTTCACGCTTGTAGTCCCAGCACTTTGGGAGTCTGAGGTGGGCAGATCATTTGAGGTCAGGAGTTCGAGACCATCCTGGCCAACACGGCGAAACCCCATTTCTACTAAAAATACAAAAATTAGCCGGGGGTGGTGGTGTACACGTCGGTAATGCCAATCGCTTGTACCCAGGAGGCAGAGGTTGCAGTGAGCTGAGGTCATGCCACTGCATTCCAGCCTGGGTGACAGAGTGAGACTCTGTCTTAAAAAAAAAAAAAAAGAAATTGTCATGATATTTATATGCATAATGATATATGACAAATACAATATTAGTTATCATTAAATTATGCTATAAAATCATTGTACTTGGCTGGGCATGGTGACTCACGACTATAATCCCAGCACTTTGGGAGGCCGAGGCGGGTGGACACCTGAGGTCGGGAGTTTGAGACCAGCCTGGCCAATATGGAGAAACCCCGTCTCTACTGAAAAAAAATTGAAAAATTAGCTGGGCACATGCCTGTAATCCCAGCTACTTGGGAGGCTGAGACAGGAGAATTGCTCGAACTCCCGAGGGGGAGGTTGCAGTGAGCCGAGATCGCGCCACTGCACTCCAGCCTGGGCAACAAGAGTGAAACTCCGTCTCAAAAAAAAAAAAAAATTGTACTCACTGTGTGCCAGGCACTGTTCTGAATACTTTACATGTGGTAACCCACAGAATGTATATATGTGTATATATTATACTTACATATATATGTGTGTGTATATATGTTTTTATATGTGTGTGTGTGTGTGTGTGTGTGTGTGTGTGTATATATATATATATTTTTGTTTTGTTTTGTTTTTGAGACGGAGTCTCACTCTGTCACCCAGCCTGGAGTGCAGGGGAGTGATCTTGGCTTACTACAAGCTCCGCCTCCCGGGTTCAAGCAATTCTCCTGCCTCAGCCTCCTGAGTAGCTAGGATTACAGGTGCCCCACTACACCCGGCTAATTTGTGTGTTTTTAGTAGAGACGGTGTTTCACCATGTTGGTTAGGCTGGTCTCTAACTCCCGACCTTGTGATCCTCCCGCCTCAGCCTCCCAAAGTGCTGGGATTACAGGCATGAGCCATCGTGCCCAGCCTTATTTATTATTATTATTTTTGAAATGGAGTTTCACTCTTGTTGCCCAGGCTGGAGTGCAGTGGCGTGATCTCGGTTCACCACAACCTCCACCTCCGAGGTTCAAGTGATTCTTCTGCCTCAGCTTCCTGAGTAGCTGGGATTACAGGCACCCACCACCACGCCCTGCTAGTTTTTTGTATTTTTAGTAGAGATGGGGTTTCATCATGTTGGCCGGGCTGGTCTCAAACTCCCACACTGGGCCCACAGACTATATATTATATCACATTATTTGTAAGAATATGTGAGAAATAATACATCTAGTGGATGACAAAGAGCACAGGCCTCGGTGACTGATGAAAGGGGAAATGGAGAAGGAAGGGCTGGCTGCCTTGGAGCTTTCCTTTTGGCGTAGGAAAAGGATTTGTTCTTCAGAAAAAGCCTTAGGCTGTGATGGTGCCTTAGAGGGTACAGAGCAGGTCAGGGGTAAGGGGAGTCCCAGACTGTGTGGAACCTCCTTTGATTCTTAGGCCCTGCCAAGGTTCCATGCGTTTTGGCATTTCCAAGGATGAAGTAGTTATCTTCAACCTATATGCTAAAGATTTTTCAGGCTTATTGTTTTAAAATATTAGTTTTGGGCTGGGCACGGTGGCTCACACCTATAATCCCAGCACTTTGGGAGGCCGAGGCGGGTGGATCACCTGAGATCAGGAGTTCGAGACCAGCTTGATCAACATGGAGAAACCCTGTCTCTACTAAAAAGACAAAATTAGCCGGGTGTGGTGGCACATGTCTGTAATCCCAGCTACTCGGGAGGCTGAGACAGGAGAATCGCTTGAACCTGGGAGGCGGAGGTTGTGGTGAGCCAAGATCGTGCCATTGCACTCCAGCCTGGGCAACAGAGCAAGACTCCGTCTCAAAAAATAAAATATTAGTTTTGGCTGGCTGGGCGCAGTGGCTCAGCCTGTAATCCCAGCACTTTGGGAGGCTGAGGTGGGAGGATTGCTTGAGACCAGGAGTTTGAGACCAGCCTGGGCAACATAGCAAGACCTCATCTCAACTAAGAAGACAAAAATTAGCCGGGCATGGTGGTGCACACCTGTGGCCGCAGCTACTCGGGAGGCTGAGTGGGGGAAGGATCACTTGAGCCTGGGAGGTCAAGGATGTAGTGAGCCGTGATTGGGCCACTGCATTCCAGCCTGAGTAGCAGAGGGACTTGTCTCCAAAAATATGTATGTATAACTTGTAGTTGTAAGAATGTAACAATTTTGCTACTCTTTTTTTTTTTGAGAGGGAGTCTGGCTCCGTGGCCCAGGGTGGAGTACAGTGGCATGATCTCGGCTCACTGCAACCTCTGCCTTCTGGGTTCAAGGGATTCTCCTGCCTCAGCCTCCCGAGTAGCTGGGATTCCAGGTGTGCACCACCACACCTGGCTCATTTTTGTATTTTTATTTTTACTTATTTTTTTGAGATGGTGTCTCACTCTGTCGCCCAGGCTGGAGTGCTATGGCACGATCTCTGCTCACTGCAACCTCCACCTCCCGGATACAAGCGATTCTCCTGCCTCAGCCTCCCGAGTAACTGGGATTACAGGCATGTGCCACCACGCCTGGCTAATGTATTTTTAGTGGAGACAGGGTTTCACCATGTTGGCCAGGCTGGTCTCGAACTCCTGACCTCGTGATCTGCCCACCTCAGCCTCACAAAGTGCTGGGATTACAGGCGTGAGCCACCGCGCCCAGCCCAATTTTACTACTCTTGTATCCCTGCATTAAGTTCCCACGCGTCTTAACTAATAATGCAACAGACTGAGGTTCAAGTTGTCCAAAACCCCAGCCAGCTGGGAGGTGTGGAGACCAGGGTTTGAAGAGTGGTTGGGTTTCCACCCTGTCTGGGTGCTAAGATGCCCCACACCCCCAGGTGACACCCCTGCGCTTTGGGAAGGACGTCGATGGGAAATGCCACAGCCTCACAGCCTCCTATGTGCGGGCGCAGTACCAGCATGACACCAGCCTGCCCCACTGCCGATTCTATGAGGTTACTGGAGGGCAGGGCTGAGGGAGGGAGGCAGGACAGGTAGCCTGGGGCAGGCAGCCTCCCTGACCCCTGGCACTCTTGTCCCAGGAATTTGATGCCCATGGGCGTGAGGTGCCCCTCCCCGCTGGCATCTACAACCTGGATGACCTGAAGGCCCTGGGGCGGCGCCAGGGCTGGTGCCCATACTTCCTTGCTCGATACTCAGTGAGGAGGCTGGTGGGATGGGCAGAGGGGCGAGTGTGAGGGTGTGGGCTGCCCGCCCGTCTCCTGTCTGCCCATGTCTGTCTGTTGCTTGCTGTGAGTCTGCCTGTCTGCATCTCCCTGTTGGTGGGTGCCCGTATCTGTTGGTCTGTCTCTATCCATCTGCTCATACTTCTGCCTGGCCTGTGTCTGCCTGTGCAGGCCTGTGTGGGAGTGACGGGCCAGTGTGGCCAGGGGTAGGGGTAGGGGTTGGGGTGGCAGGGCCCTGGTAACCCTGCTCCCCGGCCCCCCAGATCCTGCATGCCAATGTGGTGGTTTATAGCTACCACTACCTCCTGGACCCCAAGATTGCAGACCTGGTGTCCAAGGAACTGGCCCGCAAGGCCGTCGTGGTCTTCGACGAGGCCCACAACATTGGTGAGGGGGGCGCCAGGGGCCAAAGGGATGCCAGCCCCTCTGAGTGAGGCCCCTGCAGGCCTGCCTGAGCCGGCTCTCTCCCCCTTCTCCAGACAACGTCTGCATCGACTCCATGAGCGTCAACCTCACCCGCCGGACCCTTGACCGGTGCCAGGGCAACCTGGAGACCCTGCAGAAGACGGTGCTCAGGTGGGGCCGGGGACGTCTGGCGGTGGTGCCCGCCCTGCCCCTGGGACCCTGGCCCCTGTCTGACTTGTCCCCAGGGTTGCCAGCCCCCTCCCAGCCCCAGCTCATCTCTCCGCAGGATCAAAGAGACAGACGAGCAGCGCCTGCGGGACGAGTACCGGCGTCTGGTGGAGGGGCTGCGGGAGGCCAGCGCCGCCCGGGAGACGGACGCCCACCTGGCCAACCCCGTGCTGCCCGACGAAGTGCTGCAGGGTGAGCCCCGACCCCCCGCTGCCCCCCAGTCCCTTTCCCGCCTCCCCGTCGCCGCTGATAGCGTCTCCTCGCAGAGGCAGTGCCTGGCTCCATCCGCACGGCCGAGCATTTCCTGGGCTTCCTGAGGCGGCTGCTGGAGTACGTGAAGTGGCGGCTGCGTGTGCAGCATGTGGTGCAGGAGAGCCCGCCCGCCTTCCTGAGCGGCCTGGCCCAGCGCGTGTGCATCCAGCGCAAGCCCCTCAGGTGCGGCCCCAGACAGCGCGCGGGGTGGGGGCCCGGCAGGTCCCGGTTATGCAGAGCCGTGTCCTCCACGCCTGTAGCCCCAGGTCACCACTGCAGCATCAGGAGTGAGTGAGCTGGGCGAGGCACGTGGGACCTTGTCTGGTCTGACCTGGGAGGTCCGGGAGCAAGGTTGGAGCTGATCCTGGGTCCGTGCGTCGGGCAGGGGCCTGGCAGGCAACACCTGGCTGGATTGGAGAATCTCCCCCACCCAAGAGAGAGTGGGAGCACCATTTACAGAGGGGCGGGCTGGGGGAGGAGCCAAGGAGGGTGGGAGGTGAGAGCTGGGAGCTAAGCCAGGCCACAGCGGCAGGGAGGGAGTGTGTTGAGAACCAACTGGTGGGGGCCTGGACAGGGGCTTCTGCTGGGAGCAGAAACCAGTACCAGGGCCTCGCAGGCTGGGAGCTGGAGGAGGTGTCCCCGGCCCATGTATCTTCCCACCGATGCCTCTAATCTTCCAAACCTGAGGGCAGGGGCGTCCCCATGGAGTAGTCTGGGCGCATTTTGGGGGAGTCAGTCTCTTGAGGCACAGGGCAGGCAGAGAATGACCAAGGGATACGAGGGGGCTTTTCCTTTGGGTAAGTCATGGGTCTTCTTTGAACTGCAGTTTCCTCCTTTGTAAAATGGCCAAGGAGTCGGGTCTTTACTTCACAGGGTTCTTTGGTGGGTTAATGAGAGAGCAGCGAAGCCAATCACCTACCCTGCCCTGAGCACTAAGGAGGAGCTAAGCCCTTTATGTTCCTTACCTCAGTTGCACCCCCAGTACAGCATCCCCACCCTGCAAATGAGGACACTGGGACTCCCAGAGGGGAAGCCTTTGCCCAGAGCCACACAGCACTGTGCCCGGTAGTTGGGGCTTGAAGCCATGCCTGTGGGCTCCAAAGGCCCTGGCTGCCCTGCCTCTGTGGGTGAGGCCACCTTCCATGTGGGTTTGCCCATCTTCCCCAGGATTGGAGACTTGTGAGGGCAAAGAGGGGATCTCAGTCACTCAACACACATTCCCCAAGTGCCTGCTTCATGCTGGGGACACAGCCGTAGAGGCTCCATGGCCCAGTGGAGGGGACAGACTCATCCTCAGCTAGCGACCAGCCGGGGTAGGCGCCTGGGGTTAGAGGAGCCAGGCTGGGAGGGCTGACGTGCGGGAGGCAGGTTTGCAAGTGTGACTGCCCACCTGGCTTCAAAGCCAGCTGCTCTATGACCCTGCCTCGGCCCTGCCTGTGTGTGGTTGTGGCCGAGTGGCCCTGCACATGCGTGAGTGTGTGGACGTGGTATCCGTGGGACTCTGTGGGATGTGGGTGTTGACTGCATTCCTCTGTGAGCCCATGGGGTTCCGACACCGTGTGTGTCCCCATAGGTGCGTGAGAGGCAGTGGGAGAGGCTCTGGGTGTGAATGCGTGACCATGTGGCCATGCGGGATTAATGCCATGACTGGGGGGTTCTGGGTGTGATTGTGCGTCTCTTGTTTTGATCAGAACCCACTTAGGGCCAGGTGCAGTGGCTCACACCTGTCATCCCAGCACTTTGGGAGGCTGAGGCAGGTGGATCACGAGGTCAGAAGTTCAAGACCAGCCTGGCCAACATAGTGAAAGTCCGTCTCTACTAAAAGTACAAAAATTAGCTGAGTGTGGTGGCAGGCACCTGTAATCCCAGCTACTTGGGAGGCTGAGGCAGGAGAATCATTTGAACCCAGGAGGCGGAGTCGAGATGGTACCAGTGCTCTCCAGCCTGGATGACAGGGCAAGACTCCATCTGAACAAAGAAAAAAAAGAAAAAGAAAAAAAGAACCCACTTAGGAGGTCGTGCTAGCAGGTGTGACAAGTGACCACATGACTCTGGAGTGTCTGATTATTGCTCTGTCTGTGCCATTATGCGGCAATGGCTATTTGTGACATGCAGGTGTACAGCGTGGGGGTGCAAGTTTCCAAAACAGGCCCAGTGCCCACCCTCACTGAGTGCTCATTGGCTGGGGAGACAGGCACGTGACCGTCGTGATGGCGGAGGCAGGGCTGCTGGTCCTGCTCATGCTTCCGTCTGCCCCCCGACCCCGTCTCTCCTCCCCGCCAGATTCTGTGCTGAACGCCTCCGGTCCCTGCTGCATACTCTGGAGATCACCGACCTTGCTGACTTCTCCCCGCTCACCCTCCTTGCTAACTTTGCCACCCTTGTCAGCACCTACGCCAAAGGTAAGCTCACCTTTTTCTGTCCCTGCTGGGCCTCCTAGCAGCTGGAATCAGGGTCCCAGCAGGGTCTAGAGGGTTGTTGGCAGGACACACAGGGCTTTGTGGGGTTTGGCTTGGAAGTGTGGGCCCTATTTTGAAGGCAGTGGGGAGCCATACATAGTTCTTGAGTAAGCCTTGTGCTCAGATTTACATTTTCACAGACTTCCTCGGGCTGCAGAGTGGAGAAGGATGGCATGGGCAGTGGTAAGGGAGGAGGCCAGAGAAATTCTATGGGGTCAGCTCACACTAGAGGGCACGGTAATGAGTTGATCTTTGTGCTCCTGAGGGCACTGGGGAGCCATGGCAGATTCTAGCAAGCAAGGTGCCAGGTCAGATTTGTGCTTTTTTTTTTTTTTTTGAGACGGAGTCTTGCTCTGTTGCCAGGCTGGAGTGCAGTGGTGTGATCTTGGCTCACTGCAGCCTCTGCCTCCTGGGTTCAAGCAATTCTCCTGCCTCAGCCTCCCGAGTATCTGGGACTACAGGCGCATGCCACTATACCCAGCTAATTTTTGTATTTTTAGTAGAGGTGGGGTTTCACCATGTTGGCCAGGACGGTCTCGATCTCCTGACCTCATGATCCACCGGCCTCGGCCTCCCAAAGTGCTGGGATTACAGGCGTGAGCCACCATGCCCGGCCCAGAGTTGTGCTTTGGAAAGATTTCTTCTGGGTGCTGAACGCAGTGGCTCATGCCTGTAATCCCAGCACTTTGGAATGGTTAGGCAGGCAGATGACCTGAGGTCAGGAGTTCGAGACTGGCCTGGTGAACATGGCGAAACCCCATCTTTACTAAAAATACAAAAATTAGCTGGGGCCAGACATGGTGGCTCACGCCCATAATCCCAGCAGTTTGGGGGGCCGAGGTGGGCAGATCACTTGAGGTCAGGAGTTTGAGACCAGCCTGACCAACATGGTGAAACCCTGTCTCTACTAAAAATACAACAATTTGCCAGGTGTGATGGTGGGCTCCTGTAATCCCAGCTACTTGAGAGGCTGAGGCAGGAGAATTGCTTGAGCCCAGGAGGCAGAGGTTACAGTGAGCCAAGATTGTGGCACTGCACTCCAGCCTGGGCAACAGAGCAAGACTTCGTCTCAAAAAAAAAAAAAAGGCCGGGCGTGGTGGTTTACGCCTGTAATCCCAGTACTTTGGGAGGCCGAGGCGGGCGGATCTCGAGGTCAGGAGATCAAGACCATCCTGGCTAACATGGTGAAACTCCGTCTCTACTAAAAATACAAAAAAAGTTAGCTGGGCGTGGTGGCGGGCGCCTGTAGTCCCAGCTGCTCAGGAGGCTGAGGCAGGAGAATGGCGTGAACCCAGGAGGCAGAGCTTGCAGTGAGCCGAGATCGTGCCACTGCACTCCAGCCTGGGCGACAGAGCGAAGACTCCGTCTCAAAAAAAAAAAAGAAAAAAAATAGGCCTGGCATAGTGGCTCATGTCTGTAATCCCAGCACTTTGGGAGGCTGAGGTGGGTGGATCACCTGAGGTCAGGAGTTCGAGACCAGCCTGACCAATATGGTGAAACCCCGTCTCTACTAAAAATACAAAAATTAGCTGGACGTGGTGGCACGCACCTATAGTTCCAACTACTCAGGAGCCTGAGACAGGAGAATTGCTTGAACCCGGGAGGCGGAGGTTGCAGTGAGCCGAGATCACACCAGCTGCACTCCAGCCTGGGTGAAAATGAGAGTCTGTCTCAAAAAAAAAAAAAGAGTTCTTCTGGCAGGGACTAGAGGCAGGAGACTGGGTGGCAGGCAGGGACCTGAGCAGGAGGGGAGGGGCCTTGGCCAGGATGTGGCCATGGGGAGAGAGAAAGGTATGGTTTGGAGAGAGATGTGGGAGGTAGAGAGGCTGGGATATGGGGAGCGTGGTGCCTGGGTTTTGGGACCAGGGACAAGAGGAGTAGAGGCTGATGTTCAGATTTTCAGGTTACGAGAGAGGGACATCATTCTGGAGGCTTTATGGGCCGGTGTTCCCTCCCCATCCTCAGCGTGAAGCTGACCAGGGGCTCAGTCTGCCTCCTGGGGGTTTCTCCTGTACCCAGGAAACCAGATCGGGCCTCATGTCCTGCGGCAGGGCCTGACAGGAGGATGGAGATCTGGGCCCTTGCCCTGGGGCTGGGTAGCGAGGCCGGCTGGCTGCTGCTTCTGCCTCTGTCTCTCTGTCCTGCCCCATCTTCCATCCCTACCTTTGTCATTCTCTACCCACTATTTCCCATCTGCCAACACCTCATGGTCTTTCACCTGGATCATCCTTCCTCATCTTCCTCATCCCCCAACCACCTCCCCCTCATCCTTAGGTTCTCAGCTTAGTAGAGATGTCTTGTCCTCCAGGAAGCCCTCCCTGACCCCCAGGCTGAGTCAGGCCCCTCCTCTGGGCACCTCTGTCCCAGCACTGCCCACTCTCAGTCATCACTATCTGAGGACAAGTCTGTCTCCTACTGGACTGCGAACCCATGCGAGCAGGGGCAAGGCTGGCTTGGTCACCACTGTGTCCCCAGCACAGAGGACTTGATTTTTTTTCACTGTGTGAAACCGAATATGTAAATTCATTCATTCATTTATTTCTTCAACAAACAGGCCAGGCTCAGCACTGTGGAAGCAGCAGGAACCAAAAAAGATCTCATCCCTAACCCCCCAGAACTTATATTCCAGATGGGAAAACCAGTAGCAAAGATGCAGCCAAATAAACAAGGAAATAATTCCAGAAAGTGACAGTTATCATGAAAAAAAATACATTGTTGTGTTGGAATATGTCTGCGTAGAAAAGGTGGCTGGGGAGGGCCTCTCGGAGGGGCTGACTTTTGAGCAGTCTCAGATGACCAAATGGAGCAGCCTTGGGAGGTTTTCCAGGCCACATGGGACCAGCAAGTATAAAGGCCCTGGGGGGACTGAGCCTGCTGATTTTTGAAGGTCAGGCACCAGGCCACTGGAGGCATGTGGGGGCCATGGGAGGCTTCTTGGGGCGGGGAGGTGACATGGCTGGACTCAGGGACTCAGGTTTCCCTAGGGTCCCTCTGGCTGCCGTGAAGCGAGCAGGGGATGATGGGTCCAGGCAGGAGGTGATGGTGGCTGGCCCCGCGTGGGGTCGGGGGCAGTGGGCGAATTGCAGGTAGGTTTTGGAGGCAGAGCTGCCCGGCTTTGCTGATGGCTTAGGTAGAAAGGTCGTGGGAGGCCAGGTGCAGTGGCTCATACTTGTAATCCTGGCACTTTGGGAGCCTGAGGCGGGTGGACCACTGCAGGTCCCCCATCTCTACTAAAAATGTAGAAATTAGCTGGGTGTGTTGTAGGGGGGTGTCCCTATAATCCCAGCTACTCAAGAGGCTGAGGCAGGAGAATCAATCACTTGAACCCAGGAGGCTGAGCTTGCAGTGAGCCGAGATCATGCCACTGCACTCTAGCCTGGGCGACAGCGCGAGGCTCCATCTCAAAAAACAAAAACAAGAAAAGGTCATGGGAGAAAGCTTGAGGCTCTGGCTCCTGGCTTTGGCGTGGGTGCTGGGCAGCCCATGCGGTGCTGGGAGAGTGAGCAGTGGGCGGGGCTGTGGGCTCTCTACTTGGGATCCTTCGTGAAAGTTTGCACAGGTGTGGGCCCGAAGCGGACAGGTTGGGGTGTATTTTGGACTCAGATGCCTGGTTTGGGGCTTAAGCAGTCATGTTTGGTCGCATTTACTCCCAGGCAGTACGGGGTGGAGATTGGGGTGAAGCGAGGGAGCAGGAGAGGGAATGACTGAGTGGGTGCAGCTGTGGCTGTAGTGGGGTAATCTCACCCCTCCTTGCCTGCCCTCTGCAGGCTTCACCATCATCATCGAGCCCTTTGACGACAGAACCCCGACCATTGCCAACCCCATCCTGCACTTCAGGTGGGACCCTGCCCGGTGAGGGTGTGAATGCTCTGTGGGTCGGGGGCCCAGCCCCCCGGGCCCTCACTGCCCTCATCTCTCTCCAGCTGCATGGACGCCTCGCTGGCCATCAAACCCGTATTTGAGCGTTTCCAGTCTGTCATCATCACATCTGGGGTAAGGACCCTTCCCCGTCCCCTCCTAGTCCCTGACCTCCCTCCATGGGCCTCCTGGTCCCTGCCCAGTCCTGCTGAGATCCCTCCCACTGTCCCGCCACAGACACTGTCCCCGCTGGACATCTACCCCAAGATCCTGGACTTCCACCCCGTCACCATGGCAACCTTCACCATGACGCTGGCACGGGTCTGCCTCTGCCCTATGGTGAGTGGGAGAGGCTAGGGCTGGGGCCGGGAGGGGAGATGGGGGCAAGGGGCCGCCCTCCTTCCTTGGCTTCCCCCACTGCTCAGGCAGGAGAGCTTTACAGCGAAGAGGCTGGGTTCGGGATTCAGACAGACTTAGGCTTGATTCTGCTTCTCTGTGGGCTCGACTCTCAAGCCTCAGTTTTCTCATCTGTGAAATGGGAATGTATCCTCCCTGATCTCCCAGGGTGGTTGAGAGGATTGAGAGAGAGAACTGGGGTAAACCACTTAGGTCGCCCAGGGCCTGGCACAGGTAGGCGCTTAGTCAGCATCTTAGCATCTTGCCGAGTACGTGGTCTGGCTGTGACCCAGGTAAGTGAGCCTTCCTCTCCGTCTCCGTCTCTGTAACACGTGCATGTCAACATGAGCCCTCAGTCCCTTATCTGAAGTCCCCAGGCTGGATGTGGTTTTTTGTTTTTGTTGTGCGACGGAGTCTTGCTCTGTTGCCCAGGCTGGAGTGCAGTGGCACGGATCTCAGCTCACTGCAACCTCCGCCTCCTGGATTCAGGTGATTCTGATGCTTCAGCCTCCTGAGTAGCTGGTACAGGCATGTGCCACGATGCCCAGCTAATTTTTGTAATTTTAGTAGAGACGGGGTTTCACCACGTTGGCCAGGCTGGTCTGAAACTCCTGACCTCAAGTGATCCGCCCGCCTGGTCCTCCCGAAGTGCTGGGATTACAGGTGTAAGCCACTGCGCGCAGCCATTTGTTTTGGAATTCAGAATTTTCCAGCCTTTAGAGACAAGGCCTATGCTGTGTGGTGTGTGATGCCCACAGTGGGGTCTGGGCAGCTCCCCCGAGTCAAACTCCCATTTCGGCAGTAAAAGATTGGGAAGCATCACACTAAGGAGTAAGTCAGGCCTCTGGAGAGACTCGGGGCAGGGCAGGTTTTGCTGCTTCATGAGTTTGTGCCAAACTTGAAAAAGAAATGTGTTCAGAGCTTTTGGCTTTTGGAGTTGCCTGTCAGAGGTTGTGGACCGGTAATGACCCCCACTGCATGGTGGTTGTGTGAGGTTGCCGGCTGGTGGGATGCCCGCCGGCATGGCGAGGGGTGTTCTTCGGGATCCGGCTGGCCCAGGGCCTGGGGCTGGCTAGAGTGTAGCTGCTGTTGGAGAGTGTGGACAGACTCGGGTCCGGTTCCATCTTTGCCACCTGTTTGCTGTGTGACCTTGGGCAGGCAACTCACCTTCTCTGAGCCCAGGTCATTTGTGCAATGCAGATAACAGGGTTGCTGAGGGTTCATTCAATGACACTGTGTTTATAAAAAGTTTAGAGCAGACTGGGTGTGGTGGCTCATGCTTGTAATCCCAGCACTCTGGGAGGCCAAGGCGGGATGGTCACTTGAGGCCAGGTGTTCAAGATCAGCCTGGGCAACATGGTGACACCCTGTCTCTCTTTAAAAAAAAAAAAAAAAAAAGCTTAGAACAGCACCAGCAGGTGGTCAGCACTCACGCTGGAGCAGTTGCTGCTGCCTCGCTTATCGTGACCTCTGTTGCTCTCCAGATCATCGGCCGTGGCAATGACCAGGTGGCCATCAGCTCCAAATTTGAGACCCGGGAGGATATTGGTATGCTGCCAGTGGGGCTGGTTTCTGTGGGTTCCAAGAGGGGAGGTGTATCAGTCAGGTGGGCTGAGTCATGCTGCTGTAACAAATATCCCTGGCCTTAGTTGCTCAGCCCAGAGTTTCCTTCTTGCCCGTGGTACACGTCCACTGTGAGCTGGTAGGGGCCTGCCCTGTGTCTCCTCACCTGGGAACCTCCACCGCTGGGTGTGTCAGAGGCAGCATAATGTGACAGGTGGGATCACAGTGGTCACAGTGTATTGTGCACTGGTTCCTAAGGGTGCTCCCCTGGAAGTGACACATGGCCTTTTTTTGAGACAGAGTCTTGCTCTGTTGCCTAGGCTGGAGTGCAGTGGCATGATCTCGGCTCACTGCAGTCTCTGCCTTGCGGGTTCAAGCGATTCTCATGCCTCAGCCTCCCGAGTAGCTGGGATTACAGGCCTCTGCCGCCACGCTGGGCTAATTTTTGTATTTTTAGTAGAGATGGGGTTTCGCCATGTTGGCCAGGCTGATCTCAAACTCCTGACTTCAGATGATCCACCCGCCTCGGCCTCCCAAAGTGCTGGGATTACAGGCGTGAGCCACAGCGCCCGGCCCCTTCTGCACTCATTTCATTGGCCATGGCAAATCACATAGCCAGGTGTGACTTCAGGAAGTGGCAAGGCGGGTCCTCAGACACGCCCGGGAGGAGGAGGAGGGGGATATGTGTGAAAAGCCTGACAGGCAGCCTCAGTGGGGTTTCCAGAAACTCCTAGTTCTAAGACAGAGAAGGGAGGAGGACCTGGGCCAGGAGAGGGCCCAACCTCTGACCCCTTGCAGCTGTGATCCGGAACTATGGGAACCTCCTGCTGGAGATGTCCGCTGTGGTCCCTGATGGCATCGTGGCCTTCTTCACCAGCTACCAGTACATGGAGAGCACCGTGGCCTCCTGGTATGAGCAGGTACGCCTGGCCACCCCCTCCCTGCACCTGCTCTCCTCAGTCCCTGGCACTGCACCGCTATGTCAGCTTCATTCCTCTCACACTCTGATGGTGACAGGTTTCCTGTGTGACAGGAGAGTGTGTGCAGCATGTAGGAATGGGGTGTAAGCAGCACACACCCCCATGCCCCGCCCCCAGTACATCAGGCTGAGAATGCAGATATAAGCCCCAATGTGGGCCCCTCCCTCAGAGGAGTACCCTGTGGCAGAGTCACCCCCACGTTCTAGGTTCCTTGCTTCTCTGCTGCTTTTGGGGTTACCCATCCCTGTTATCCTCCAGCACAGATGGCCTGGTGGGGAGGCCCAGATAGCAGGCGTGGCTCTAGCTGGGTTAGAGGAATTCTAGAGAATTAAGGCTGGACCAAGACTCGGGGCGAGCCTCTCAAGGGTCTGCAGGAGCCCCTTCAGGGAAGCAGCTAGAGGAGGTCGTGGGGCATTCTGGAAACAGGGCTCACCACAGCCAGGCCCTGGGTGACCAGCAGGACATGGGTGGGAGGGGAGGCCACTCTGCACTTTGTGCCTCTGAGCACACCATGGCCGGGCTCTCAGGAGTGGGTGAAAGCACTTTGGGGTGAGGTGAGTGAACTTGGCTAATCCAGGTATTGGAAAGGCACGCATGGGAGGCGGGAACGTCATCCTCACAGCCAGGACATCGGCCTTGTGCTTCAATAGGCGGCTTCCACGCGGCGGGAAAGGTGACCCAGTCCCCACAGCGCAGGTGCCTTTTGTGTCCTACTTAAGACACCTTTGCCTACCCCAAGGTCATAGAGAGAGGCTCCTTTGTTTCCTTCTAGGAGCTTGTGGTTTTAGCTTTCACATCCAGGTCTATGAGGTACCTCAAATTCATCTTTCTATGTGGTGTGAAGTAGGGGGTCAAGGTTCATTTTTTGGTTCCATTTGAAAATCCACTTGCTCCAGTAAAAGCTCTCCCCACTGAACTGCACAGGTGGCTGTGTGTTTCTGGACTCTCCATTCTGTCCCAGTGGTCTGTCCTTGCATTGGCTCCACACTGTCTCTATTGTAGTGTCATATGGGAAGTCTCAGGGCAGCCTCTGATTGGCTCTGCCTGCCTCACAGTCAGCCCCTCCACCAATCGCTGGCAGGGGTTGGGGTGCCCTGATTGGCCACCCGCTTGGGCCACATGCCTGCCCCACTTATCCAGCAATGATTGGTTCCCCACCCAGATCACTGTTTCCCCAAAGAACTGAGGTTGGACAATTCCACCCTCCCTCACCACATCTCAGATGAGCCAGCTGAGGCCCAGAGACATGGTGATGTGGGAGTCCCCAGAAGAGTTGGATGTAACCAGGATGGCTGTGCCCTGAACCCACCCTGACCTCCCTGGGTCCTTCCCCAGGGGATCCTTGAGAACATCCAGAGGAACAAGCTGCTCTTTATTGAGACCCAGGATGGTGCCGAAACCAGTGTCGCCCTGGAGAAGTACCAGGAGGTGGGTGTGCGAGGCCAGCGTGGAGAGGGGTCGGGGAGGTGGCTCTGAGGAGTGACCTAACTTGCGTCTCGGTCTCCCCACCTCAGGCCTGCGAGAATGGCCGCGGGGCCATCCTGCTGTCAGTGGCCCGGGGCAAAGTGTCCGAGGGAATCGACTTTGGTGAGTGGACTGGGCTCTTCCTCCCCAGGTGTCTTCCCAGAGCTCTCTGGAACACCTGCCCGCTCTGCTGTCTGCTCCCGCGGGGAACCACCCACCCCCAGCCTAGGTGCACAGAGGGGCCCTCCCCTCCCCTCTGTCCCTAGGCACCCGGCGGGAACACACCCTCTCCCCCCAACTCAGACACAGCATCCTGGGTCGCGTGAGGCTGTCCCTGTCCCACCAGCCACACTTGTAACCCCCCTCGCCCCCTCTCCTCTGCCCACCAGTGCACCACTACGGGCGGGCCGTCATCATGTTTGGCGTCCCCTACGTCTACACACAGAGCCGCATTCTCAAGGTGAGTAGCTCTGTCTCCCAGGGAGTCCCACAGTGTTAGGATCAAGGGAGGAGTGGCTCCCCCACCTCCCCAGCTTCTCATCCTCCGTATCTGCAGGCGCGGCTGGAATACCTGCGGGACCAGTTCCAGATTCGTGAGAATGACTTTCTTACCTTCGATGCCATGCGCCACGCGGCCCAGTGTGTGGGTCGGGCCATCAGGGGCAAGACGGACTACGGCCTCATGGTCTTTGCCGACAAGGTGCAGCTTCAGGGGTGCCCCTGTGCTCCCATCCCAGGCTCCAAGAACCAGGCTGTTTCCCGTTCATTTCCCAGGTGGGGTGGGTTGCAGGGTGGAGAGTGGCCCAGGCTCCCCGAATGACCTTCTGTCCCTGGCCTGCGCTTCTGCCCACAGCGGTTTGCCCGTGGGGACAAGCGGGGGAAGCTGCCCCGCTGGATCCAGGAGCACCTCACAGATGCCAACCTCAACCTGACCGTGGACGAGGGTGTCCAGGTGGCCAAGTACTTCCTGCGGCAGATGGCACAGCCCTTCCACCGGGTGAGGCCTGCGTCCCCCTCCCGGCACCCTCCCAGGCTGAGCTTCTCCTCCAGAAAGTCCCCTTGGATTCTCCCCACTCCCCACCCTCAGCCTGCCTGTCCTCCTGCCCTCAGCAAAGAGAAGTTTATCGTGCATCTACGTGCCAGGCTCTGGGGGGAAGGGGGAGATTCGAGGGGCCACAGATGCCAGCAGGTGGCCCAGGCACGGCAGGGTGAGAGAAGTTGGGGTGAGGAGGCATTGGGCGTTTTCAGGAGAGACGGTGCTGGCCTGGAGAAAGCCGGTCCTTCTCCGACTCCCTAGCTGGCTCCTCCCTCAGCCCCATCTTATGTTGACAGGGATGGCCCGCTCTGGATTATACGGACATCTCCAAATTCATTCAAACATCCTGTCCCTACTGGCCATTCGGGGGGGTGGTTGGGGAAGTGCAGCAGCTGCCTGGGCCCCTGCCCAACAGTGCCCCCCTCTCCCTTTCCTCTGTTCTCTGCAGGAGGATCAGCTGGGCCTGTCCCTGCTCAGCCTGGAGCAGCTAGAATCAGAGGAGACGCTGAAGAGGATAGAGCAGATTGCTCAGCAGCTCTGAGTGGGGCGGGTGGGGCCATAAACGGTTCCTGGTGACTCCTGAGTCTTGCCTGGCCCTGGTTCCCAGCGGCGGTGGTGCTAGAAGGTCTTATGAAGTCAGGTGACATTTCTCACTGTCACGTCCACAGCCTTTAATCGCAGGAGAAGGCAGCTATCCACCAGGTACCCAGAGGCAAGGGGGGGCCAGGAGATGATAGACCCCCTCTCACCCCACCAGCCCATCCCTCCTGCACTGTTCCCAAGAAGCTGCGGCCAGCGCAGTTCACTGGACGTTAGTGGGGGCTCAGGTCCTGGGTGCTGGCGCTGAGGGTCCGAGGGGCCTTGTCCAGGTGCCAGCTGGGAAACTGGAGACAGGCACAGGGGATGGTTGGAGGGGAGGTGAGGGGCAAGTGTTACATCCACCCTCCAGCTCCAGGTCCAGCCTGGCAGCCAACTATCCAACCCCCTCGCCTCTACCCCAAGTAAAACCCATCTTTGCTCCTGTCCTGGGTCTCTTCTGACACCAACCCACCACCTGCTGACTCCACCACTGGCCCGACCGCCCTGCCTTTGCCTCATCTCTGCACCTACCCACATGGCCTCCTCTATTTTTGACCCAGATGTCCCCCTCACCTGAGTCCCAGGAGCCCTTGGAGCATCCACGTTCAGTGTGTTGAGTGACATGGCTCTCTTCATTCTGCAAAGAGGGCAGCAGGGAGGAAATGAGTGAATCCAGGAGTGGCCCCCCTCCACGAGGGACCTTTCCAGCACAGGGTTTGATCTGTGTGTATCACAGGGGAGATGGGAGCCATGGAAGGTTCTTGAGCAAGATGGGGGTGGGGGTGGGGTGGGCTGTGGATTCTGCTGATGTCAGGGCTCTTTGCCGACCTGATCAACACTCACCCGGCTGCTCCTGCCGCCGCCTCGCCTCGGAGCCGGGAGACCAGCTTCTCACTTCCTCGCCTGATAGACTCACGGATCTTGGAGAGTGAGCTGCTGCGGCGAAGGGCCTGGGGAGGGGCCGGGGATGCTGCTCAGTCCCCCAGGCCCATGCAGTCCCCACGCCCACCCCAGGAGCCGAAGCACAGCCCATCCTCACCTGTTCTGCGTCACCAGCTGTGCCTGTGTTGGGGGCACCTAGGGGGAAAGATGGGGGACACTGAGATGGGGACATAGAGAAGCCACCAGGAGGGAAGACAGACAGGGGCTAGGGGCTCACCGAGAGGGGCGGGTAGGTCCTCCTTGTGGAGGATTTCTTTGTACAGCTCTTCCGCTTGTTGATACTTGTTCTGTTTCAGGTAGGCTGAGGCCTGCGGAGAAGGGAGTGTCTGGGAACTTTTCGGACCCCAGTTCCCAACACTGCATCCAGTCCCGCCTTTTTTTTTTTTTTTGTAGAGACAGGGGTCTTGGTATGTTGCCCAGGCTGGTCTTGAACTCCTAGCCTCAAGTGATCCTCCTGCCTTGGCCTCCCAAAGTGTTGGGGTTACAAGCGTGAACCACCACGTCTGGCCCCACTTTCTAATGTGCTGACCTGGCCGTATCCTTCCCCTGCCTAAAGCCTTGCCCTGGGGCAGAGTGGGTTTGGAGCTCGGCCTTACTTCCTGCCCTGGGGATGGAGGACAGGCAGCCTCCTGTTTCTGAGCCTGTCTGCTGTACTTTGGGCTGGTGGCATGGCCTCGGTGCCTCAGTCTTCCCACACGCAAAGTGGAGCGACAGCTCCCACCTCATAGGGACGCTATAAGAACTAGCGATGTGGGGACCGGGCTAAGAGGGGAGCCGGCCACAGTGAGCTCAATAAATGTCTGCTGCTGCCACCTGTGCCTGCCAGCTTCCGCTTCACTGGCTGTCCTCTGGCTGCCGTGGACTTACGCGTTTCCTGATTCCGTGTTCTGTGCTGAGCCAGCTCCTGTGTCTGACACTTGCTCCAAGGGCCCGGCCTGGGGGGCCCCCCCCCACCCTCACGTTGCTCACCCTGTATCCAACCAATGGGTGCCTCCCCAGGGCAGGACCCTCCACTCTTGGCCCACTCTGAGCCCCAGGGGCCTCACCAGGTTGTTCTTGGTCTTGGCCACGTTGGGGTCATGGGGCCCGCCCAGTGCCTCATAGATGCTCAGGGCCCGGGCATAGTGCCGCTCCACGTCCTCAAACTTGCCCTGGTTCTGGCACAGCAGGGCCAGGTTGTTGAGCTGCTTGGCCACATCTGGGTGGTCAGCACCCAGGACCTGGGGGCCAGGGGTCACAAGTCAGAGGGATCATACAGGATTGGTGGGACACGTGACATCACTGCTGTATGGTGGTCATGAGTTGGGGATTACAGGGTCAAAGCAGAGAGTGACCTGAGAGGTTGGGGGCTGGGGACACAAGTTATACCATCTAACGGGATTACCAAGGTCAGAGGTCATGGTGGTCCAGAAACGTGGGGCACAGGGTGAGATGGGTAGGTCAGGGTTGGGCTTGTGCTGGTGGCCATGAGGGGTTGGAAAGGCTATGGGGGGACCCAGTTGGAGGGTGATGTGTGAGGTAAGGCGAGAGGTCAGTCAGGGTCAAGACCAAACTGGGATCTCAGAAGGTCAAGGGTGATGGGTTGGGTGATCTAGGCTCCAACTGGGGTCTCCCAATACCAAACGCAAGGGGCCCGAGGGTCAGGGTCACGATGTACGTGCTCAGCATCCCTGGGGAGGGCTACATGGGACAAGGGGTTCCTCGGGGTGGGGTGAGGGGGATGGGACCTTCTCTCGGATCTCCAAAGCGCGCTGGCACAGGGGCTCTGCCTCCCGGTAACGCCCACGCTTCCCATAGAGGACAGCCAAGTTGTTGAGCGTGGCGGCCACCTGCGGGGTTGGGGGAGGCACAGGTCAGGGATGGGCAGGTGTGGCCCCACTTTGACCCCACTTCGTCTCCCTGGGGCCCCACTCACCGCGGGGTGCTCAGGGCCCAGCGTCTGCTCCCGGATCTGCAGGGCATCATGGAGAAGGTCTGTGGCTTCTTTGTACTTGTTCTGGTCCCTGTGGGGGGCGCCCCAGGAATGGAGGGGGTTAGCCAAGGGTTGGGGCAGCTGCAGCCACAGGGGCTGGGCCAATCCTGACAGGCCCAGGGAACCTGGCTGAACCAAGCATGGGTGGCACACCCTTTGAGGGCCTTTTGTGGGCCCCTCCATATTTCGCAATTCTCTAACACTGGGCCCTGTACCCCCAGACCTCTGCCAAGCTTCTAGCCACCCCAGGTCTCCTGCCTGCTCTGTTGGGGTCCCTGGTGTCCGTGCTCTCTGACTCCTCTCTGCCTGGCTCAGTGGCCCCCCCAGATCCCTGTCCCACTCCCTCTTTGCCGTTCTCACAGCAGGAGCCTTCCCTTCCTTTCCCATTCTTGCTGTCCCCTCCCCTGACCTCCCTAGGTGCTCCATGGTGACAGAGGGGGCACCAGGATCCTTCCACTTGCACCCAATGGGTCCCTGCCGTTCCTGCCCCCAGCCATGGCTGGCCGCAGTGCTCACCGGTACACCAGCGCCAGGATGTTGAGCATGGTGGCCACGTCAGGGTGGCAGTGGCCCGAGCTGCGCTCCAGGTCCTCCAAGGCCTGGCGGCACAGAGGCACCGCCACCTCATAGCGGCCCTGCCCCGCGTACTGGATCACGAGGTTATGCAGGGTCCGAAGGCGGGCAGGGATCTCATAGCCACCCTGCTGAGCAGCTGCTGCTCCTGCGGCCTCAGGACCTAGGTGGGGTGGGGTGGGCTCTGGGTCACTGCAAGCCTCCTGCCCCTCCAGCCTCGCATGAGGGGACACGTGCCTCAGAACTGCCGGACTGCCTAACTGGCCCCTGGGACTATGGGCCCCCACGCTAACTTCTGAGATAGGAGTCACTAGCATCTAACCAGCTGGTGGGATGCATCCTGGCCTCGGGACAGGAACACGGCAGCCCACCTGCCCTGTGGGATGTGAATACGGGGCCTGCCAGGCTCATAGCGGCTACCCTGTCTTTGTGGCTCCCAGCCTCACCTGCACTGTCACATTCAGGGTCCTCCTCACCCTGCCCTCACCTCCCCATCCCCTGGCTCAGAGATTTTGGGGTCCTGCAGCTCAGAGCCCCCTCCCCACCCTGGCCTGCCATCCTCTGTGGCATGTACTCCCAACACCCACCTTTCCTCTCCTCCTCCTCGCTGGGGAACAGGGAGGCCAGGCTGTCTCGGCGAGGCGGGGACTCAGACTGCTGCAGAGACAGGAAAGTGGGGGGCCGGGGTGGTGGGGGCTTGTTTCAGAGACCGGGGCCCTGGCTCTATCTCAGGTTTTTGTTTTTTTGTTTTTTTTTTTTTTTTGAGACGGAGTTTCGCTTGTTGCACAGGCTGGAGTGCAATGGTGCGATCTTGGCTCACAGCAACCTCCACCTCCTGGGTTCAAGCCATTCTCCTGCCTCAGCTTCCGGAGTAGCTGGGATTACAGGCATGTGCCACCACACCCGGCTAATTTTGTATTTTTAGTAGAGACGGGGTTTCTCCATGTTGGTCATGCTGGTCTTGAAATCCGGACCTCAGGTGATCTGCTCGCCTCGGCCTCCCAAAGTGTTGGGATTACAGGCGTGAGCCACCGCACCCAGCCTATCTCAAGGTTTGAGGGAGGTGGTGGTCACGAGCGTCAGAGGCCCCCTGGGGGTCTGGCGAGGCTCGGGGGCTTCGTGGAGTAGCTAGTGGGGGCGTCTGTGGAAGTTCTGGTGGGTCTGGGGGCTCTGTGGAGGGTTGGGGGACTGTGGCATTCTAAGGAGGGTCTGGGGGACTGTGGGATTCTAAGGAGGATCTTGGGGACTGTGGGATTCTAAGGAGGGTCTGGGGGACTGTGGGGCTCTATGAAGGGCCCAGCACCCCCCGCCTCGCCCTGCCCGTGGCACCTGGCTCTCCGCCGGTGGGTCGTACTGTCGCAGCTGCCCCAGGAACTCCAGGTGGCGCTTCTCCTCCTCCAGCTGGGCCACGGACTCCTCGCTGGCCCGAAGCCGCCGCTGCGTCTCCTCCAGTTCCTCCCGCAGCCACACGTTCTCCTGGGCCAGCCGCCGGGCCTGCGAGCGCAGCCGCTGCTTCTCTGCCTCCAGTGCACCCACATGTGCCGACAGGGCCAGCAGCACCTGCCCGGGGTGGGGGTCCCAAGTCGAGGTTGGTTCCTGCCCTGCCAGACGGCCCCTGACCCAGCCCAGGCCTCGAGTCAGGCCGTAGCACCCCACTACTATGCACGACACCCCCAGATTCTGCAGAGACTCTGCCAACATGGCCCCAGTGCCCTCAGAGGCTCCCAGGGGCCCCTCTGATTTTACCCCCAAACTTGCCCTAGGACCCACAGTTTACTGAAGAATGCCATCTGGTTCAGGGGTCCCTGTCACACACAAGGACCCCCTAAAGCTGCCAAGGGACTCCATCTCTGACCTGGAGCCTCCCCTTCCCAGGCCTGGTTCCCCTAGGCCTCCCCCTGCCCCGGATGTGCCTCTCTGCCATACTTTTTTCTGTTGTTTTTTGGGACAGTCTCTCTCTGTCACCCAGACTGGAGTGGAATGGCACGATCTCCACTCACTGCAACCTCCGCCTCCCAGGTTCAAGCGATTCTCATGCCTCAGCCTCCTGAGTAGCCGGGATTACAGGAGCCCTCATGCCCAGCTACTTTTTGTATTTTTAGTAGAGATGGGGTTTTCCCATGTTGGCCAGGCTGGTCTTGAACTCCTGACCTCAAGTGATCTGCCCACCTCAGCCTCCCAAAGTGTGCCCCTCTGCAATAGTGAACCCTCTCCCAGTCCCCTACATACCTGTCCCCCTCATGCCTGGCCCTCCCTCCGCCCTCAGCTGACCTTCCCCCAGCTCCCCACCTGGCCCCCTCATACCTGGGCCTCGCCCAGCCCCAGCTCGATGGCCTCCAGCGAGTGGCTCACCACCTGCTGCTTTTCCTCCAGCATCTCCAAGCCGGCTGCCGGGCCCTGTCCCGCCAGGGCCTCCGCCAGGTGCCCAGCCAGGCCATGGTGCTCTGCCCGCAGCGCCTCCAGCCCCTGGACCACTTGCCGCGTCTGCCGCACCAGCTCCTCAGGGCTCAGGCGCTCTGGGCCCAGCCCTGCACTTCCAGGAGCCGCTACCTGCACAGACATTGCTGCTCCTGGGGAGCAATGGTGAGGGGTTTGGGGAATCATTGCCCGGGCCAGTCAGTTGGCCCCCAGCCTCTATTCCCATAATGGCCATCAGGACCCCTAACTTCTCCCCATCCTGGCTCTTCCCTGCTCCACCCATCCTGGCCAGCCCTCTGCCTCCACACCCTCTCCATCCCAGTCTCCACACCCATCCCAGCCAGCTCTCATCTGGAACAGTCTTGTCTACCTTCGTCTGTCCTCCCAACCCAGGGTTCTGCCCTGAGGACAGTTCCCAAATCCTATGTGTAATTAACCAAGAGAAAGCAAACAGCTAGCCTGGGGTCCCCCATCTGCCCTCAGCTCACCTGGCCAGCCTTCCCCACCCCAAGGCCCTTGGATCCCCTGGCCCAGAGCTCCCGGTTGGCCGTGTGACCTGGGACCAGAGGCACCCTCCTCTGCCGGCAGAGTGAGGCGGGGCGTGTGGAGGCGGCAGCCTCTGCGTGAGCTCATTCTTAGGGTGTTTTTGTCGGGAACCAGTCAGACCACTGGGGGTGGGTGGGGTGGGAGGAGAGGGCCGAGGGGCCAGGGCCCCCAGAAGCCCAGGAGGCCTCTAGGTTGGGGGGAATGAGGATGGGGCCATGTGTTGGCTCCCAGGCAACAGATGGACCCTGGGGGAACAGGGGCTCCGCCCTCCTCCATCGGACAAGCTTAGCCAGCCCAGGGCCTGTCGGGACACACGTGTGATAGGTGTGGTCCAGGTATGTCACACTGGCCATGTGACAGCTGAGAGTCTGAAGCCCAGCTCATAGTGGGTGGGGGCCCCCCTCTATGGGACTTCATGTGGTTGTATGTGGGTGACAAGGTCACAGAAACTTAGCTGGTGGTGCCTCTGGGGTCCTCATATACACACAAACACACTCCTCAGAAACACCTCACACACCCGCACCCTCCCTTCTTAAAGACACAATGCAACATACACATTTTCCTCTCCGAAATACAATTTGACACACACACGCACTCTCCCTTCTCTCCAATACAACATGGGGCCAGGTGTAGTGGCTCACGCCTGTAATGCCAGCACTTTGGGAGGCCAAGGTGGGTAAATCACTTGAGGCCAAGAGTTCAAGACCAGCCTGGCCAACAGGGTGAAACCCTGTCTCTACTGGAAAAAAAAAAAAAAAAATAGCAGAGCATGGTGGCGCATGCCTGTAGTCCCAGCTACTTGGGAGGCTGAGGCAGGAGAATTGCTTGAACCCGGGAGGCGGAGGTTGCAGTGAGCCAAGGTCGCACCACTGCAATCCAGCCTGGGCAACAGAGTGAGACTTCATTTAAAAAAAAAAAAAAAAAAGACGGTACACACACACACCCTCCCAGAAATACAGTTACACACACACACACACACACACACTCCCTCATTAGAAACACAATGTAGGCCGGGTGCGGTGGCTCACACCTGTACTCCGAGCACTTTGGGATTTTGGCTGAGGCAGGAGGATCACTTGAGCCCAGGAGTTCAAGACCAGCCTGGGAAACATAGTGAGACCCCATCCCTACAAAAATAAAAATAAAAAAATTAGCTGGGTGTGGTGATGGTGTACCTGGAGGCTGAGGTAGAAGGATTGCTTGAACCCAGGAGGTTGAAGCTGCAGTGAGCCATGATAGTGCCACTGCACTCAGCCTGGGTGAAAGAGTAAGACCCAGTCAAAAAAGAAAGAAAGAAAGGACAGCATAATATACATTCTCCTCTTAGAACACGCACTCACTTTCTCCTATTAAATATACAACTCAGTAAAAACATTTACATTTTCCTTTTAGAAATACAACCTAAGACAACACACTGACTCAGGCACACACATATACTATTCTTTCAAAAACAATCTGTATACACTCCCAACACACAGGTATATTCTCTTAGAAATAAAAACCAAGCCTGGGCGCGGTGGCTCACGCCTGTAATCCCAGCACTTTGGGAGGCCGAGGTGGGTGGATCAGTTGAGGTCAGGAGTTTGAGACTGGCCTGGCCAACATGGTGAAACCCCGGCTCTACTAAAAATACAAAATTAGCCAGGCATGGTGGTATGCGCCTGTAGTCCCCAGCTACTCATGAGGCTGAGGCATGAGAATTGCTTGAACCTGAGAGGCGGAGGTTGCAGTGAGCCAAGATCACGCCACCACACTCCAGCCTGGGTGACAAGAGCAAAACTCCGTGTCAAAAAGTGATAATATTATTTAAAAAAAAGAAAGAAAAGCCAACCCACGCAGAAACTAACTCTGTCTCTCCCACTCCCCAAATCACTCACATTCAGACCATCTCCTTGCACTTGACCGTGACACTCGCTGTCCCCCGAACTCACATGGCTCCCAAGCAGCCAACTCCCCACAATGTGCCCAACGCACCTCCAGATGCACACACTCCCAAGATTCACTATGGATCCCTCGCCAGTTTCCCTACTTCCTCTCCCTCCCACTCCAGGCCTGGCCAGCAGGGACTCCCACACCTACACGCCATGCACACACAAGTACTCAGATTCAGCTCCACTGTCGGAACAGAGAGCTGTGAATACGCGTGGAGGGATGCCACGTTCTCGCACACTTCACTCAAGCCACTGCATCCACCATAAGCAGCCCAGCGGTTTTTGCACATGTTGTACATGCACGATCACATACAGTAAGGGTCCTGTACGTTTTGTGCACCACAGACTTGATCGTCATTGATCTCTCCCTCTCTCTAGATATATGTATGTGTATATATGTGATGTATATATCAACCTTTAAAAAATTTAATTTTATTTTTTTGAGACTGAGTCTCGCTCTGTTGCCCAGACTGGAGTGCAATGGCATGATGTTGGCTCACTGCGATCTCCACCTCCCCAGGTTCAAGCGATTCTCCTCCCTCACCCTCCCAAGTAGCTGGAATTACAGGTGCCCGCCACCACACCTGGCTAATTTTTGTATTTTTAGTACAGACGGGGTTTCACCATGTTGGCCGGGCTGGTCTCAAACTCCTGACCTCAAATGATCCACCCGCTCCCCCCTTGGCCTCCCAAAGTGCTGGGATTACAGGCGTGAGCTACCGCGCCCAGCCAACCTTTTTTTAATTTTTAAAAAACTAAACTATGCCCAGCTAATTTTTGTTTTTGTAGAGACGGGGTATCACCATATTGCCCAGGCTAGTCTAGGATTCCTGGGTTCAAGCAATCCCCGCCGCCTCAGCCTCCCAAAGTGTTGAGATTACAGGTATGAGCCACTGCACCCGGCCAATCTGTGTGCTTGTGTATATCACACCATACCTATTCTCACACCTCACACACAAACATCATAAATGGTTGAACTCACAACCACACAGGTTCAAGAGTCATCCTGACAACCACAACCATTCTTCACACAATTTTGCCGATGTAAAACCTCCCTCTATAACCTCAGACACAGCCTTACACACACCACTCCACAGCCAGATTGACAACCACAGCAACAAACACGGCTCAACCACAGCCATCCAGCACTCGGGCTGTGTCCCAGACACACAGCAGCTCCCACACTCACACAGAGCCCCGGGTGCACAACCGCACAGCTGATAATCATAGGCACAGTCCCACACACTGATCCCTGACGCGGACCCCCTTTTCCATCCTGTCACCCGCTTGGAGGAGCATCCCACTTAAATGTCCACGTCTCCACTCCCATCTCCCACAAACTCTCCGTTGCACACCACTGCCAGCCACGGTATCAATGCAGATCACACACCCTCTAGTTCCTCTCTACACACACACACACACACACACACACGCACACACGGCTTCACACACCTCCACACCTCACTCATCCAACCCCAAGGTTCCACGCGCACCGTCCCATGAAACAGCTCCACTTCTGGACACAGTTCCGCCCAGCCCCATGCACCATCACAGTGACACACAATCAAAAGTCAATCATAGTCACCTATCACTGATCCAGTGCCACACTGTCCACCACACGCGCGCGCGCACACACACACACACACACACACACCAACAGGCAGAAAGACAACCACAGCCGCACAGCCTCTTGGTCAATCACACCTAATCCTACAACCAGTTCCACTCTCTGCCATGAAGACAGCCACACACACAGCCACACACATGCACATCAGGCCAAGCAGAAAGTCGACTACAGTCGCACTAGCTCTTGGTCGTAAAGTGCTACCAGCAATCCAATTCTACACACACACCATTCCAGTCAGAGGTCGCCCACGTTTTCACATTGCTAAAAGTGTCACATCATACACACAGTCCCATCACAGGGTTACACGGACAGTCGCTTTCACCCTCATACCCACAGCCTGACACACTCTCTTACACACACGCAAAGCCACACACACACACACACACACACACACAAACACAGGCAGGCAGGAGACTCCCATCGTGGCCCAGCCCCGCAAGCCGCACCAACTTACCCTGGCCTGCCCAGCCCCGCGCACCAGGCTCACCCGCAGTCACAAGGGCCCCCTCCCTCTCCCTCCCAGGCCCCGCCCCGTCCTCGCTGTTTACCTGCGCTGGGGTGGGGGGCATGGGACCCCAGCCAGGCCTCCAGATCCCGGAGAGCCCCAGGACGGGGCAGGGGGCATCCGGGAGCCCCAAGGCCCTTCCCCGTCTCAGGGCGAGCGGGCCCAGGGTTGCCCCCGCCCCCCATCATCGCGGCTCTCCGAGAGTCCCGCGCCCCACTCCCGGCACCCACCTGACCGCGGGCGGCTCCGGCCCCGCTTCGCCCCACTGCGATCAGTCGCGTCCCGCAGGCCAGGCACGCCCCGCCGCTCCCGCTGCGCCGGGCGTCTGGGACCTCGGGCGGCTCCTCCGAGGGGCGGGGCAGCCGGGAGCCACGCCCCCGCAGGTGAGCCGGCCACGCCCACCGCCCGTGGGAAGTTCAGCCTCGGGGCTCCAGCCCCGCGGGAATGGCAGAACTTCGCACGCGGAACTGGTAACCTCCAGGACACCTCGAATCAGGGTGATTGTAGCGCAGGGGCCTTGGCCAAGCTAAAACTTTGGAAACTTTAGATCCCAGACAGGTGGCTTTCTTGCAGTGCCTGCCCCAGAGCCTTTTCCTTGGTTGTGTGGCCTGCTTCGATCTCTCTTCCCACAGATCTCATCGTCTTTAGGTCTCTTCTCAAAGGCCACCTCCTCCGGCAGGCCTTCCCTGATTGCCCCCTTCTAAATGGCACCCTTCCACCAAAACATTACATACTCCTCTTGATTTTGTTCACAAAACTTTTCAGGGCCTAAAATTACCTTATTTATTTATTGAGAGGGAGTCTCGCTCCGTCACCCAGGCTGGAGTGCAGTAGCGCGATCTCGGCTCACTGCAACCTCCACCTCCCAAGTTCAAGCGATTCTCCCATCTCAGTCTCCCGAGTAGCTGCGACTACAAGTGTCTGCCACCACGCCCGGCTACTTTTTATATTTCTAGTAGAGACGGGGTTTCGCCATGTCGGCCAGGCTGGTCTCAAACTCCTGACCTCAAGTGATCCTCCCGCCTCGGCCTCCCAAAGTTCTGGGATTACAGGAGTGAGCCACCGCCCCCGGCCCCTAAAGTTATTTTATATAACATATATCACATCATTATGTTATGTTATATATTATGTTATTGGCAAGGGAATGTGATATCTAAGAATTGGGCTCAGGGTTCAAATTTGATTCCGGCACTTACTTGCTGTGCAGGCCTTGGGCAAGTAACTTAACCTCTCTGTGCCTCAGTTTCCCTAGTCAATAAAATATAAATAGTCTAAGGCTTTGAGAATTGAATGTTAACTAATACAGGGACAGTACTTTTTTTTTTTTTTTTTTTTTTTTGAGACACAGTCTCGCTGTGTTACCCAGGCTGGAGTACAATGGCGCTATCTTATCTTGGCTCACTGCAACTCCTGGGTTCAAGTCATTCTCCTGTCTCAGCCTCCCGAGTAGCTGGGATTACAGGCGCCCGCCACCATGCCCAGCTAATTTTTCCATTTTTAGTAGAGACGGGGTTTCCCCATGTTAGCCAGGCTGATCTCGAACTCCTGACCTTAGGTGATCTGCCCACCTCGACCTCCCAAAGTGCTGGAATTACAGGCGTGAGCCACCGCGCCTGGCCAGGACAGTACTTTTATCAGGGCCTCGCAAATAGAAAGTACTTAGTAAATACTCGCTACTGACTGTATATTATGGGTTCACTTTTTCTCCTCTACTATATAAGCTCTGAGGGCAGGGCTGTATATTGTCAGCACTGTTATCTTCAGCAAGAGCTTGATGCAAAGTCGGTGCTCAATAAATTGTGACTGAATGAAGGAATCAAGTCCTAGAATAGTAAGCTGGCCAAAGCTGGGAGGACACGATTCTAATATAACTTGAGGACGGCGCAGTGGCTCACACCTGTAATCCCAGCACTTTGGGAGGCCGAGGGGGCTGGATCACTTGAGGTCAGGAGTTCGAGACCAGCCTGGCCAACATGGTGAAACCCTATCTCTACTAAAAATACAAAATTAGCCGGGTGTGGTAGCGCACGCCTGTAATCCCAGCTACTTGGGAGGCTGAGGCAGGCGAATCGCTTGAACCCCAGAGGCAGAGGTTGCAGTGAGCCGAGATCACACCATTACACTCCTGCCTGGGCAACAAGAGCGAAACTCCATCTCAAAAATAAATAAATGCATACATACATACATGGCTCAATGCGCGCGGTACCCCGGTCACTACACTATGAAATGCTTCCAGCAGAGGGCGCTGCTGGTCCGTGGACCAAACTCCAGACTCGGCACAGCTCCGCGCTCCCTCCGAATTGCAGCCAACGTGCCCTCTACTTCCCTGTTGTCTGAGCCCCAGTGCTGATGCTTCCTCCTCCAGGAAGCCCTTTCTTATTTCCCAGGTTTCCAGGCTCTTGGGCTCCCACATCCAGCCCTGCCAACTCTGGGTCATCAGTGTGGGGAGACAGGTCAGTCCCATATTAGACTATGAGCCCCAAGAAGGGAGGAGGCGGCCAGGGGCCATGTCAGTCTCCACTGTGTCCCCAGTGCCACCTAGCACAGGCCCAACGCAGAGAAGGCATTTGGGAGAATAGGTGCTGATTGAATCATGGAAATAAAAATTCAAACTCATATCCTAACTACTCCAGCATTTTTTTTTTTTTAAGACAGTCTTGCTCTGTTGCCCAGGCTGGAGTGCAGTGGCACGATCTTGGCTCATTGTGTAACCTCCGCTTCCCAGGTTCAAGCGATTCTCCCGCCCCAGCCTCCCAAGCAGCTGGGATTACAGGCACCCACCATCATGCCTTGCTAATTTTTATATTTTTGTAGAAATGGAGTTTCCCATGTTGGCCAGGCTGGTCTTGAACTCTTGACCTCAGGTGATCCACCCACTTCGGCCTCCCAGAGTGCTGGGATTATAGGCGTCAGCCACCATGCCCGGCCTACTCTAGCTTTTTTAAAAGACAGGTGTCACTCTGTCACCCAGGCTGGAGTGCAGTGGCAGTCGTAACTCACTGCAGCCTTGATTTCCCGGGTTTAAGCAATGCTCCCTCCTCAGCCTCCCAAGTCCCAGGTAGCTGGGACTACAAATGCACCACCATACCCAGCTACTTTTTGTTGTTTTTTGTAAAGATGGGGGTCTCCCTATATTGCCCAGGCTGGTTTTGAACTCCTGACCTCAAGCGATCCTCCTGCCTTGGCCTCCCAAAGTCCTGGGATTACAGGCATGAGCCACTGTGCCAAGCTCCAGCTATTTCTTTCTTTCTTCCTTTTTTTAATTAAGACAGCATCTCACTGGGAGTGGTGGCTCATGCCTATAATCCCAGCACTTTGGGAGGCCTAGGAGGGCGGATCACCTGAGATCAGGAGGGCGGATCACCTGAGATCAGGAGGGCGAGACCAGCCTGACCAATATGATGAAACCGTGTCTCTACTAAAATTACAAAAATTAGCCGGGCTTGGTGGCATGGGCCTGTAATTCCAGCTTGTCAGGAGGCTAAGACAGGAGAATCACTTGAACCAGGGAGGCGGAGGTTGCAGTGAGCCAAGATGGCGTCATTGCACTCCAGCCTGGGCAACAAGAGCAAAACTCCATCCCCTAAAAAAAAAAAAAAAAAGACAGTGTCTCTGTTGCCCAGGCTGGAGTGCAATGGCATGATCTCGGCTCACTGAAACCTCCATCTCCCGGGTTCAAATGATTCTCCTGCCTCAGCCTCCAGAGTAGCTGGGATTACAGGTGTGCACCATCACGCCCAGGTAATTTTTATATTTTTAGTATAGACAGGGTTTCGCCATGTTGGCCAGGCTGGTCTCGAACTCCTGACCTCAGGTGATCTACCCGCCTCGGCCTTCCAAAGTGCTAGCTCCAGCTATTTCAACAGCACAGGATCGAGGGGCAGCAGAGCCTTCCCCCTGCCCCCCATTTTTTTGGCCTCACGACGCTGGACATTGGATCTGGATCTGCTACACGCTTACCACAGGCAGTGCAGGGACTGGAGCCAGGCCAGCAGGGACAAATCTCAGCTGGGTCATTTGCTAGCTGTGTGACCCTCTGAGCCAAGAAGTAACCTCTCTGGACCTCAGATTTCTAGTCTGTCAAACGAGACTCACAGGGTACCCTACTTTAAGGCTGTGGTGAGGATTACTGTATAATCCCCCAGAAAAGGCTTAGAACAGGGTAGCACCCGGTAAATACTATGTGTGTTGGGGGAGGGCAGGGGATGGAGCCGGGCGGGGAGCCAGGCAGATCTAGGTTTAAATCCTGGCCCTGCCATTTCTGTTCCATGTAAACCGGGGGAACAATGATCTCTGGCTGAGCCTCTGTCTCCTCGTCTAGTAAAATGGGGATGATCACACTCATCACACAGCATTGAGGTGAGACTTAAATGAGATAAAGATTGAAAGAAGAAGAAAGTGTTAACTAAGGAAAACCTTTCTTGCTTTTGTTGCTGCTGTTGTTGTTTTTGTTTTTTTGAGACGGAGTCATGCTCTTTCTCCCCGGCTGGAGTGCAGTGGCACAATCTCGGCTCACTACAACTTCCGCCTCCCAGGTTCATACAATTCTCCTGCCTCAGCCTCCGGAGTAGCTGGGACTATAGGCACGTACCGCCATGCCCAGCTAATTTTTGTATTTTTAGTAGAGACGGGGTTTCACCGTGTTAGCCAGAATGGTCTTGATCTCCTGACCTCGTGATCTGCCTGCCTCGGCCTCCCAAAGTGCTGGGATTACAGGCGTGAGCCACCACACCTGGCCAGGAAAACCTTCCTTTAGGCCAGCGGTGTTCCAAGTACTTTTGCACAACGCCAACAATGGCTGATGTTTGAGTTCTTACCCCAGACTGGCCCTGTGCCAACTCCTATATACAAATTGTTAATCTTCACACCAGCTGCGATGATTCGCTCCATTCCACAGGTGAAAAAGATGAGGCACAGAGAGGCTGAGTAACTTGTCTTAGGTCACACAGCCAAGGAGTAGCAGAGCCCCAGAATCTTTGTAGCTGACCCCCCAAGGTAGGCACTATTACCAGCCCCACCTAAAAATGAGGAAACTGGCCGGATGTGGTGACTCATACCTGTAATCCCAGGGCTTCAGGAGGATTGCTGGAGCCTAGGAGTTTGAGACCAACTTGGGGAACATAGGATGAACCTATCTCTACAAAAAAAAATTTATTTATTTATTTTTTTTGAGATAGAGTCTTACTCTGTCGCCCAGGCTGGAGTGCAGTGGCGTGATCTTGGCTCACTGTAACCTCCGTGCCCTGGGCTAAAGCAATTCTCCTGCCTCAGCCACCTGAGTAGCTAGGATTACAGGAACCACACCTGGCTAATTTTTTTGTATTTTTAGTAGACATGGGGTTTCACCATGTTGGCCAGGCTGGTCTCAAACTCCTGACCTCAAGTGATCTGCCCACCTCAGCCCCCCAAACTGCTGGGATTATGGGCGTGAGCCACCGGGCCCAGCCTGTTTATTTTTTTGAGATGGAGTCTTGCTCTGTCGCCCAGGCTGGAATGCAGTGGCACGATATCAGCTCACTGCAACCTCCGCCTCCTGGGTTTAAGCAATTCTCCTGCCGCAGCCTCCTGAGTAGCTGGGACTACAGACATGCGCCACCACCCCCGGCTAATTTTTGTGTATTTTTAGTATAGACAGGGTTTCACCATGTTGGTTAGGCTGGTCTCCAACTCCTGACCTTAAATGATCTGCCTGCCTTGGCCTCCCAAAGTGCTGGAATTACAGGCGTCACCCACCTGCCAAAAAAAATTAAAAAAAAAATTAGCCATGTGTGATGTGTCACACGTGGTCTCAGCAACTCAGGAGGCTGAAGCAGGGGGATTGCTTGAGCCCAGGAGTCTGAGCCTGCAGTGAGCTATTATCATACCACTGCACTCCAGCCTGGGTGACAGAGTGACAGCCTGTCTCAAAAAATAAATAAAAAAGGAAACTGAGGCTCAGAGAGGAGAAATTGCTTGCATATCCAACAAATACTCCACCCTATCCCTTAAGGCCTTAGTTTGCCACGTCAGGAAAATGGGTACATAGGATGGGAGCTTTTCTATTTTCACCTTCTGGCCATAATTTTTTAATTTAAAAAATAATGGCCAGGAGTGGTGGCTCACGCCTGTCATCCCAGCACTTTGGGAGGCCAAGGCAGGTGGATCACTTGAGGTCAGGAGTTTGAGACCAGCCCGGCCAACATGGTGAAACCCCGTCTCTACTAAAAATGCACACAAAGGCCGGGCGCAGTGGCTCACGCCTGTAATCCCAGCACTTTGGGAGGCCGAGGCGGGCGGATCACGAGGTCAGGAGATCGAGACCACGGTGAAACCTCGTCTCTACTAAAAATACAAAAAATTAGCTGGGTGCAGTGGCTGGCGCCTGTAGCCCCAGCTACTCGGGAGGCTGAGGCAGGAGAATGGCATGAACCCAGAAGGCAGAGATTGCAGTGAGCCGAGATCGCGCCACTGCACTCCAGCCTGGGGGACAGAGCAAGACCCCGTCTCAAAAAAAAAAAAAAAAAAAAAAGGCACACAAAAAATTAGCCGGGCATGGTGGCACGTGCTAGTAGTCCCAGCTACTCGGGAGGCTGAGGCAGGAGAATTGCTTGAACCCGGGAGGCAGAGGTTCCAGTGAGCCAAGATAGCACCACTGCCCTCCAGCCTGGGCGAAAGAGTGAGACTCCATCTCAAAAAAAAAAAAAAAAAAAAAAAAAGGGAATGCAGTCAGAAAAAACGTTCATAGACACAGAGAATAAAAGACTACAGAGTGAAAGTAAGCGTTCTCTCTCCCTGATCCCCGGACACCCTTCCCGCAAGCAAACCTGATGACCGTTTCCAATATACTTCCAGAGATATTCCATGAATATGATCGTGTGTGGATGTACGAGTGTGTGGACCCATTTAAGAAAAGCACACCTGATATAATCCTTACCTGTGGAGGACGACAAAATGATGGGCCTTGAACTTTTGGTGTGGCCATGTGACTTGCTTTGGCCAATAGCAGAGGGGCACAAGTGACAGTCGTGTCAGTTCTGAGCTTAGGCCTCAAGAGACCTTGAACATTTCTTTTTGCATCTCAGCATCACCATGAGACGGGCTTCCCCTGAGAGCTTCCTCTCCCCTCAGCCTGCACTCCACAAGGTTCCCATATGAAGCAGAACTTCCCATCTGAGCCCGGCCTGGATTGGCCAACTGTCAGCCAACCCCACATCCATTTTAGAGCTATTGACCAGGCATGGTGGCTCACACCTGTAATCCCAGCACTTTGAGAGGCCAAGGCAGGAGGATTGCTTGAGACCAGGAGTTTGAGACCAGCCTGGGCAATATAGCAAGATCCCCATCTCCACAAAAAAAAAAAAAAGTTAAAATGAGCCAAGTGTGGTGGCGCACACCTGTAGTTGCAGCTGCTTGGGAGATTGAGGTGGGATCCCCAGAGGTCAAGGTTGCAGTGAGCTATGATGGCACCACTGTATTCCAGCTTGGGTGAAAAAGAGTGGGGCAAGAGGTAAGAACCTGTCTCCAAAATAAAATTGTACCAAAATAAAATGTAAAAAACCATGAACCAAAAATAAAATGTAAAAAAATAAAAATAAAAATAAAATGGCCAGGCGCAGTGGCTCACGCCTGTAATCCTGGCACTTTGGGAGACCGAGGTGGGTGGATCACCTGAGGTCAGGAGTTTGAGACCAGCCTGGCCAACATGGTGAAACCCCGTCTCTACTAAAAATACAAAAATTAGCCGGGTGTGGTGGCAGAAACCTGTAATCCCAGCTACTCAGGAGGCTGAGGCTGGAGAATCACTTGAACCGGGGAGGCGGAGGTTGCAGTAAGCCGAGATCACGCCATTGCACTCCGGCCTGGGCAACAAGGGCGAAACTCCCTCTCAAAAAAAAAAAAAAAAAAAAATTAGCTTTTTTTTTTTTCTGATTGCAGCACCACGTGGTGAGGGTCTCTAGTTCACGCTCGCAGCCATGCGGTCCGAGGGCCAGCTGCAATCTGTGCAGGTCTTCGGTGGCAAGAAAACAGCCACAGCTGTGGTGCACTGCAAACACGGCGATGGCCTCATCAAGGTGAATGGGCGGCTCCTGGAGATGATCAAGCTGCGCACACTACGATACAAGCTGCTGGAGCCAGTTCTCTTTCTCGGTCCCGGCAAGGAGCGATTTGCTGGTGTGGACATCCATGTCCATGTGAAGGGGCCTAGATTTATGCTGTCAGTCCATCTCCAGAGCCCTGGTGGCCTAGTACCAGAAATATGCGGATGAGTCTTCCAAGGAGATCAAAGACATCCTCATCCAGTATGACCAGACCCTGCTGGTAGCTGATCCCCGTCGCTCTGAGTCCAAAAAGTTTGGAGGTCCTGGTGCCCGTGCTTGTTACCAAAAATCCTACCAATAAGCCCATCATGACGATCAAAATTCACCTGTATAAGTTTTTGAGAGATTTTAAAATTTCAAGAAAAAAAAATTAGCTGGGTGTGGTGGTACACACCTGTAACCCAGCTACTCCGGAGGCTGAGGAAAGAGAAACGCTTGAACCTGGGAGGTGGAAATTGCAGTGCGCCAAGATCGCACCACTGCACTCCAGCCTGGGCCTCAGAGTGAGTCAAAAAAAGAAAACAAAAAAAAGTTATTAGGCCGGGCGCGGTGGCTCACGCCTGTAATCCCAGCACTTTGGGAAGCTGAGGCGGGCGGATCACGAGGTCAGGGGATGGAGACCATCCTGGCTAATGCAGTGAAACCCCGTCTCTACTAAAAATACAAAAAATTAGCCGGGCGTGGTGGCGGGCGCCCGTAGTCCCAGCTACTCGGGAGGCTGAGGCAGGAGAATGGCGTGAACCCACGAGGCGGAGCTTGCAGTGAGCCGAGATTGCGCCACTGCACTCCAGCCTGGGTGACAGAGCGAGACTCCGTCTCAAAAGCAAACAAACAAACAAAAAGTTATTGCATTTTGGGGTAGTCTGTTTCAATAAAAAGAAAAAGGAAAAAAAGAACGAAGCAACAGAAGACAAAGCAGAGATTTATCCAAGACAATTCACAGAGTGGGAGCGGGCTGGAGCACCTCCCCAATTAGGGTTGTCTTTGTTTTTTTTTTGAGACGTAGTCTCGCTCTGTTGACCAGGCTGGAGTGCAGTGACATGATCTCAGCTCACTGCAACCTCTACCTCCCGCGTTCAAGCGATTCTCCTACCTCAGCCTCCTGAGTAGCTGGGACTCCTAGCACGAGCCACCACGGATGCGCCACCACACCCGGCTAATTATTGTACTTTTAGTAGAGACGGGATTTCACCATGTTGGCCAGGCTGGTCCGAAATTCCTGATCTTGAGTGATTTGGCCGCCTTGACCTCCCAAAGTGCTGGGATTACAGGCGAACCACCGCGCCAGGCCTGCCAGTTAGGGTTTTTATTAAGCTAAAAAGGACCCGGCAACACCCCTAGGTGCCCTTCAGAGGCCTCCAATTGGTTACACTCTATGAAGGGTTGGCTCATGACCAATCAGAGCCCAAGTGGAGACCTGGCTCGCAGTCAATCAGAGGCTGGAGTGGCTTATTATCATGGGAGGGAGAATAGAGCCTGTATGCACCTGTGGCTCTCCTGCCTCCATGAACTGACTGCACCTGCTATTCTGTTGCTTATGCAAACTGGCTGTACCTGATGAACCCCCAGTTACCCTAATTCCCTATTCTCTGCCACACCAGCGCTTTGGGAGGCTAAGCCTGGAGCCCTGGAATTGGAGGCTGCAGGCTCACTTGAGGCTGAGAGTTCAAGACCAGCCTGGGCAACATAGCAAGACCCACCCCATCTGTACAAAAAGAAAAAAAGAAAGAAAAAAAGGAATCCGAAGAGAAAAAAAGTTGAGCAAAAGAAATTAGACAAATGGGCCGGGCGCGGTCACTCCTGCCTATAATCCCAGCACTTTTCAGGCTGAGGTGGGCAGATCACAAGGTCAGCAGTTCAAGACCAGCCTGACCAACATGGTGAAACCCCGTCTCTACTAAAAATACAAAAATTAGCCAGGCGTGGTGGCACGTGTCTGTAATCCCAGCTACTCAGGCGGCTGAGGCAGGAGAATCGCTTGAACCCAGGAGGCAGAGGGTGGCCCGGCCTTCTTCTTTTCTTTGAGATGGAATTTCACTGTTGTTGCCCAGACTGGAGTACAGTGGCACTATATCGGCTCACTGCAACCTCTATCTCCCGGGTTCAAGAGATTCTCCTGCCTCAGCCTCCCAAGTAGCTGGGATTACTGGTATGCATCACCACGCCTGGCTAATTTTTTGTATTTTTAGTAGAGACGGGGTTTCACCATGTTGGTCAAGCTGGTCTCGAACTCCTGACCTCAAGTGATCCACCCACCTAGGCCTCCCACTGCGCTCAGCGAGAACATTTTCTTGGAGGAGAGAGAGACATTCACTGGGAGGGGACATGAGAGAGTTTCTTTGGGAGCTGGTAGTAGTCTCTGTTTAGATCCTGGTGATGCTTATTCACATGTACACGAATATAAAAGTTCATTGATTTTAAGATTAGGGCACTTCACCAAATAGAAATTATGCCTCAATAGGCCGGGCATGGTGGCTCACACCTGTAATCCCAGCACTTTGGGAGGCCTGGGTGGGCAGATCACGAGGTCAGGAGTTCGACCAGCCTGGCCAACATGGTGAAACCCCGTTTCTACTAAAGATACAAAAAATGAGCCAGGTGTGGTGGCGCGCACCTGTAGTCCCAGCTACTCTGAAGGCTGAAGCAGGAGAATCGCTTGAACCCGGGAGGCAGAGGTTGCAGTGAGCCGAGATCACGCCATTGCACTCCAGCCTGGGTGACAGGGTGAGACTCCGTCTCAAAAAAAAAAAAGGAGGGAGGGAGGAAGAGAGGAAGAGAGGGAGGAAGGAAGGAAGGAAGGAAGGAAGGAAGGAAGGAAGGAAGGAAAGAAAATAAATTATGCCTCAATAAAAACAGTAAATTTGGCCGGGCGCAGTGGCTCACGCCTGTAATCCCAGTACTTTGGGAGGCCGAGGCAGGAGGATCAAGAAGTCAGGAGTTTGAGACCAGCCTGGCCAACGTGGTGAAATCCTGTCTCTACTAATAATACAAAAATTAGCCAGGCATGGTGGCACATGCCTATAATCCCAGCTACTCGGGAGGCTGAGGCAGGAGAATCGCTTGAACCTGGGAGGCAGAGGTTGCGGTGAGCCGAGATCCGCCATTGCACTCCAGCCTGGGCAACAAGAGCGAAACTCGATCTCAAAAAAAAAAAAAAAAAAAAAAGAGTAAATTTGAGAAAATAAAATATGAATAAGTGTGAACATCCATACACTCCAAATATAACAGTTCCAATAAAAATACATTTGAAATGATAATAGAATATAAAAACAGGCCAGGTATGGGCCGGGCCGGTGGCTCACGCCTGTAATCCAAGCACTTTGCGAGGCTGAGGCAGGTGGATCACGAGGTCAGGAGATCAAGACCATCCAGGCTAACACAGTGAAACGCTGTCTCTACGAAAAACACACAAAAAATTTAGCTGGATGTGGTGGCAGGCACCTGCAGTCCCAGCTACTCAGGAGGCTGAGGCAGGAGAATGGTGTGAACCCGGGAGGCAGAGCTTGCAGTGAGCCGAGATCACACCACTGCACTCCAGCCTGGGCAACAGAGCGAGACTCCGTCTCAAAAAAAAAAAAAAAAAACACGCCAGGTATGGTGGCTTACACCTGCAATCCCAGCACTTTGTGAGGCTGAGGCAGGAGGATTGCTTGAGGTCAGGAGTTCAAGACCAGGCTGGGCAACATAGCAAGACTGTGTCTTTACAAAAGATACAAAAATTAGCTGGGCATGGTGGCACACATCTGTGATCCCAGCTACTGAGGAGGCTGAGGTGGGAGGATCGCTGAGCTCAGGAGATGGAGGCTGCAATGAGCCAAGATCATACCACTGCATTCCAGCCTGGGAGACAGTGAGATCCTGTCTCTAAACAAACAAACAACATCAAGAAAAAAACAAAACAAAACAAAAAACAACCTGGGATAAACCTAAAGCAGCACCTAGAGGGAAATGTATAGCTAATTTGATAAAATTGATTGATCTGGGGCTGGGTGCAGTGGCTCATGCCTGTAATCCCAGCACTTTGGGAGGCTGAGACGGGCGGATCACTTGAGGTCAGGAGTTGAAGACTAGCCTGGCCAACATGGTGAAACCCCATCTCTATTAAAAATACAAAAATTAGGCCAGGCGCAGTGGCTCCTGCCTGTAATCCTAGCACTTTGGGATGCCAAGGAGGGCAGATCATTTGAGGTCAGGAGTTGGAAACCAGCCTGGCCAACATGGTGAAACCCTGTCTCTACTAAAAATACAAAAATTAGCCAAGGCTGGTGGATGGCAGCTGGAATCCCAGCCACTCAGGAGGCTGAGGCAGGATAACGGCTTGAACCCGGAAAGCAGAGGTTGCAGTGAGCCGAGATCGAATCAGTGCACTCCAGCCTGGGTGACAGAGCGAGACTCCCTCTCAAAGAAAAAAAAAAAGATTGATTGATTTGGAGAGACTGGGGCAGGACAAGTTGGGAGCCATGAAAGACGTTATTTTATTCACCACCCACTACCCTATGGACCAGACCCTGGTCAGCTGATTATGGGGCTGCAGGCTGGCCTGGCTCTCCAGGAAGAGAAAGGAGGAATGGGCAGGGTCTCAACTCCCCAGCCCTGGGTCTGGCCTTGATTTACAACTTGTCTTCTATGAATCAAATGGCATCGTAAATGGCCCGGTTTGGGAAAGGGATTTGAGGAGTGCATGGGGGAGGGCATTACAGGGTGGTGGGCCATGGGGGTGGAGTGCTGCCCTCCCAGAGTCTCTCCTGGAGGTGGCAGCCTCTTCCTGAGGGTAGGGACAGAGACAGATGAGATGCTTAAGAGTAAGACAGGGTTTGAGGGCAGGGCTGCCTTGGGAATGGAGGGAGAAGAGTGTAGACTGTAATTCCAGTTATACTGGCTGTGACCTTAGGTAACTCCCTTGCCCTTTTCGGCCCCAGCGTTCGTCCTCTGTGAAAAGGGGGTTCGACATGAAGAAGTGGGGATCAGGAAGAGATTAGGAAGACAAGCTCCAGGACTGACAGCCTAGTCCAGTCTTGTTCTGCTACTTCCCTGCTGTGTGACTTTCGATAAGTGTTGCAACCTCTCTGGGCCAGCCTTACTTTCCTGATTTGTAAAAACGGCAGTACCTTCTAGACTCCCAGAAGAAAAGTAAATTAAAAAAAAATTGGCAGTACTCACTTCATAGGACTGTTGGAAAATTAAACTAGTGAATACCCATTAAAGTCCTTGGACCCTGAAGTCAGATGGCTGGGGTGATGGGAGATGGGTTGGGGAAGTGGGTACACTAGAGCCTGATGACCTAGAAAGAGGCTGACAATACAGTCTGACGTCGGGGAGAAGCCTGGAAGTTATTTCCACCAAAGCCTGAATCCATTCTTGGCAGCCTTGTACCTGTTTGATTCCCAGTTCTGCCCCCTTCCAGCTGTGTGACTTTGGGCAAGTCACTTAACCTCTCTGAGCCTTATTGTTGGGGACGTTAAATAAGTCAACATATGTAAAGCACTTAGCACAGTACTTGACATACAGGTGTATTCAATAAAAGTTAACTGTCAGGGCCTGGAGTGGTGGTGCGCGCCTGTAGTCCCAGCTACTCGGGAGGCTGAAGCGGGAGGATTGCTTGAGGCTTGGAATTGGAGGCTGCAGTGCACTCTGATTGTGCCTGTGAATAACTACTGTGCTCCAGCCTGAGCAACATAGCGAGACCCCATCAAGAACCCATGTCTAAACAAACAAACAAACAAACAAAAGCTTCTTTGTGGAGTGGCTGTTTAATGTCCATGTTAACCTCCTTCGAGCACATTCTCCTGTCAATGAAGAGGCTGGAAAGCTAAAGACTAGATTTTCCAGAGGGAAAGTAGGAAAGTAGTTCTGGGGCCCGAGCAGTGTTCCTTCAGCCCTTCCAACGATTTTGTCAGTGCCTAATACATGATAGTACAGTCCTTTTTTTTTTTTTTTTTTTTGAGATGGAGTCTCGCTCTGTCGCCCAGGCTGAAGTGCAGTGGTGCGATCTCGGCTCACTGCAACTCCGCCTCCCGGGTTCACACCATTCTCCTGCCTCAGGCCCCGGAGTAGCTGGGACGACATGCGCCTGCCACCACGCACGGCTAATTTTTTTTTTTTTGTATATTTTTGTAGTAGAGACAGGGTTTCACCGTGTTAGCCAGGATAGTCTCGATCTCCTAACCTCGTGATCCGCCCGCCTCGGCCTCTCAAAGTGCTGGGATTACAGGCGTGAGCCACTGCGCCCAGCCAATAGCAGAGTCCTTTCTATTTAAGCTGGGTAGTGGTTACTCTCGCCTACATCTGCCAGATACAGTTACTATTATTTATTTAGTCAACAAATACTCATTTACCTTGAGGGCACTGGGGAGCCATGGCAAGCTCTGAGGAGGGGAGGTCAGCAGGTAGGGTTTAGGTGGGAATGGCAAAGACTGGGACAGGAGTCCAGGGAGGAAGTTGGGTCAGGAGGGACAGTGGAGGCGGTCTTGAGCTAGAGTGGGCAGTGGAGGGGCAGAGGTCGGATTGACAGTCGGGCTCTGGGGGGTGGGATGAAGATACGTGATGAGGGTTGTAAAGCTCCCCAAGGCCAACTGTTTCTTTAAGACTCAAAGCAGAGGGAGCTCACGGCACAAGGTCCTGCTGGAGCGTTTGATTGGCTCAGCCCAGGTCACTGGCCTGGACCATTGCTGCAAGGGATTCTGGGAAATTGAGTTTCTGGCATCTTTGGCTTCTCCAAAGGAGGAGGGCTTACAGTGGGGAATCCCCGAACATAGAAAAGGCTTCTGGCACTGTGTGGCTAAAAAGAATGTGCAATGGGCCCGGCAGGGTGCCTCACGCCTGTAATCCCAGCACTCTGGGAGGCCGAGGTGGGTGGATCACCTGAGGTAGGAGTCTGAGACTAGCCTGGCCAACATGGCAAAACCCCTTCTCTACTAAAAATATAAAAGTTAGCAGAGCGTGGTGGCCCATGCCTGTAGTCCCAGCTACTCGGGAGGCTGAGGCAGGAGAATCGCTTGAACCTGGGAGGCGGAGGTTGCAGTGAGCTGACATCGCACCATTGCACTCCTGCCTGGTGATAGAGCAAGACTCCATCTCAAAAAAAAAAAAAAAAAAACAAACCCTCCCACAAGGTGTGGCTGGACCGTGCCACCCAAAATGCGTGTGGCATGGATCCAGCCTCTTCCCTGCTTATGACCCTCAGTGCCTCCTGTCAGTCTCACAGTGGGATGATGATGATGATTTTTTCCATTTAATATTTTAAAAAATTATTCTAAAAAATTTTTTGTAGGTATTTAGTAGGTGTGTATATTTATGGGGTATATGAAACGTTTTGTTCTTTTTTTTTTTTTTTTTTTTGAGATGGAGTTTCACTCTTTTTGCCCAGGCTAGAGTGCAATGGCGCGATTTCGGCCCGCAGAAACCTCTGCCTCCCGAGTTCAAGCGATTCTCCTGCCTCAGCCTACCGAGTAGCTGGGATTACAGGCATGTGCCACCACCCCGGCTAATTTTGTATTTTTAGTAGAGACAGGGTTTCTCCACGTTGATCAGGCTGGTCTTGAACTCCCGACCTCAGGTGATCTGCCCACCTCGGCCTCCCAAAGTGCTGGGATTACAGGCGTGAGCCACTGCACCCGGCCATGAAATGTTTTGATACAGGCATGCAACTTGTAATAATCACATCGTGGAGAATGGGGTATCCATCTTCTCAAGCATTTATCCTTTATATTACAAACAATCCAATTATACTCCTTTAGTTATTTTAATTAATTTTTGTGTGTGTGAGACAGGGTCTCACTCTCTTGCCCAGGATGGAGTGCAGCAGTGGCTCGATCACAGCTCACTGCAGCCTCGACTGCCTGGGTTCAAGCAATCCTCCTGCCTCAGCCTCCTTGTTTTGATTTTTAGATCCCACAAATAACTTGTGATGTTTGTCTTTCTATACCTGGTTCATTTAACATTTTCTTTTTCTTTTCTTTTCTTTTTTTTTTTTTTTGTGAGACTGAGTCTTGCTCTGTCACTCAGGCTGGAGGGCAATGGTGCCATCTCAGCTCACTGCAACCTCCACCTCCTAGGTTCAAGCAATTCTTATGCCTCAGCCTCCTGGCTAGCTGGGATTACAGGCGTGTGTCACCATGCCAGGCTAATTTTTGTACTTTTAGTAGAGATGGGGTTTCACCATGTTGGCCAGGCTGGTCTTGAACTCCTGGCCTCAAGTGATCCACCCGCCTCCGCCTCTGCCTCCCAAAGTGCTGGGATTACGGGCCTGAGCCACTGTGCCCGGCCCATCTAACATTTTCACTGTCAATCACAATGGGATTAAAACTCCTCCCACAGCCCCTAGGGCACCATGGGTCTGCTCCTGTCTCCCCTCCAACCTCATCTTCTTCCTCCCACTCTCTCCTTGGCCCCATCTGCTCCAGTCCCCTGGCCTCCTTCCTGTCTGTCCTCAGATGTGCCCAGCCATTCTCACCTCAGCGCCTTTGCACCTGCTGTTCCCCCCAGAGCCGCACATGGCTGGCTCCCTGTTCTCCTTCAGGTCTCTGCTCAGATGTCATCTTCCCAAAGAGGCCTGCCTCGACCTCCCCTGCTGCTGTGCCGTCCCCTCATCTGTGACCCTCTTGCACTATCACCTCCAGGACGGCGGGGGTTTTGTGTTTTGTTGTAGCCTCAGGAAGTGCCTGATAGATCCCTGTTTCGAGACCAGTTCCATTTGGTTTTCTGGGCCTCAGTTTCCGTAACCGTGAAGGAGACCCTCGGCAATCTGAGCTTGCTGGGAAAGGGCTGGGCCCCATGTAAATATTTCTAAAGCACCCCTCTCCCCTCCCCCCTCAGATCAGGAGTCTGAGGGAGAGGCACAGAGGCTCCCTTTCTCTAAGCCAGTCCTCACCTGCCTAAGAAGATGTGAAGGAGACCCAGGAGACCCTGGGATAGGGAGGAACTCAGAGGGAAGGGACATTCTTTTCTTCGTCGCAATCCTGGGAGCTCCCTGGAGGAGGAGACCCGATCAGCCTGCAATCCTGGCGCGTCCCAGGAGGAGAAAGCGGCTTCCTCTATACTGTACTCTCCTCCACAGAACCCCCCTCTCAGCCCTGGAAGTCCTTGCTCACAGCCGAGGCGCCGAGAGCGCTTGCTCTGCCCAGATCTGCGCGAGTCTGGCGCCCGCGCTCTGAACGGCGTCGCTGCCCAGCCCCCTTCCCCGGGAGGTGGGAGCGGCCACCCAGGGCCCCGTGGCTGCCCTTGTAAGGAGGCGAGGCCCGAGGACACCCGAGACGCCCGGTTATAATTAACCAGGACACGTGGCGAACCCCCCTCCAACACCTGCCCCCGAACCCCCCCATACCCAGCGCCTCGGGTCTCGGCCTTTGCGGCAGAGGAGACAGCAAAGCGCCCTCTAAAAATAACTCCTTTCCCGGCGACCGAGACCCTCCCTGTCCCCCGCACAGCGGAAATCTCCCAGTGGCACCGAGGGGGCGAGGGTTAAGTGGGGGGGAGGGTGACCACCGCCTCCCACCCTTGCCCTGAGTTTGAATCTCTCCAACTCAGCCAGCCTCAGTTTCCCCTCCACTCAGTCCCTAGGAGGAAGGGGCGCCCAAGCGCGGGTTTCTGGGGTTAGACTGCCCTCCATTGCAATTGGTCCTTCTCCCGGCCTCTGCTTCCTCCAGCTCACAGGGTATCTGCTCCTCCTGGAGCCACACCTTGGTTCCCCGAGGTGCCGCTGGGACTCGGGTAGGGGTGAGGGCCCAGGGGGCACAGGGGGAGCCGAGGGCCACAGGAAGGGCTGGTGGCTGAAGGAGACTCAGGGGCCAGGGGACGGTGGCTTCTACGTGCTTGGGACGTTCCCAGCCACCGTCCCATGTTCCCGGCGGGGGGCCAGCTGTCCCCACCGCCAGCCCAACTCAGCACTTGGTCAGGGTATCAGCTTGGTGGGGGGGCGTGAGCCCAGCCCCTGGGGCGGCTCAGCCCATACAAGGCCATGGGGCTGGGCGCAAAGCATGCCTGGGTTCAGGGTGGGTATGGTGCGGGAGCAGGGAGGTGAGAGGCTCAGCTGCCCTCCAGAACTCCTCCCTGGGGACAACCCCTCCCAGCCAATAGCACAGCCTAGGTCCCCCTATATAAGGCCACGGCTGCTGGCCCTTCCTTTGGGTCAGTGTCACCTCCAGGATACAGACAGCCCCCCTTCAGCCCAGCCCAGCCAGGTACTGCACGGGGCGGGAATCTGGGTGGGGGCCAGAGTAGGGGATTTCTGTGGGTGCTAGAGGCTTGGCTTGGGAAAGGGTCTGTGTGTCACCCCTTGCTCCACCAACATCCTCCTATACAAAGGCAGGTCGGTGCGTGGGAAGGTTGACCCTTGTGTGTCTGGGAGGCCCCTCCATCTGTGAGGCTGCCTGAACCCCCCACTGGGACCTGTGATTTCTGCGGCACAAGTCTTGGGTTATGGGGAGGGATCCGAGATGAAAGGGGTCCTGACAGCTGCCAACTGTCACCCCCTGCAAGGGGCTGTTGAGCCAGGCCTGTGTTCATTACAGTTTGTCGCCAACACTGGCGCCACAAGCCGTGGGAGGTGTGTCTGTCGCCTAGCAGAGTCTGCAAGAGCAGGTGTCGCAGGCTTTCTTTGCGTTTGCTACTGTGTGGGTCCCTGTGACCTTGTTTCTGACTTAGTAGCGGACACATGAGTGTCCTGGGCATGTCCTTGAGTTTGGAAGTGTGACTGTGTGACTTAGTTTACAGTGTGATCTGGGGAGTCTGCGGTGGTGGGGGTGTGTGGCTCTGGGGCTTTCTGCTTATGTCTCTTGTGGGGGGGGTCACCACCCTGCCTCAGTGCCCTCTCCTGGGGTGTCCCTGGCAGGGATTAGGGGGGCATCCTCTGAAGGGAGGGGGTCTGGGCTGCCATCCCAGGATGTCCTTGAGCCCCGAGGCCTGGACCCGTGTCCTCCCAGCCACCCTGGCCCACCTGTCTTGGGCCTGCTGACTTGGTGCAAGCCGAGCCCCGGAATGTGGGGGTGGGGCGGGGCAGCAGCTGGGGGTGGGATGGCAGGCAGTTGCCAGATTCTAAAAATAACCACCCTGGACAGCAGCACCCAAGGTCTTTGGCGGGTCCCTGTTCCTCTTCCCTGGCTTCAGCTCACCGTGGTCCCAATCTCCCTCCCACAATCCCACCTGCTTCCCATCCCCGTCTCCCACCGCTGCTGGAGGCCCCTTCTCCTTTCTGGGTCCCTTCTCCTTTCTGGGTCCAGTGAATAAAATAATAATAACAGTAGGACCTGGCGCAGTGGCTCACACGCATAATCCCAGCATCTTGGGAGGCCGATGCTGGAGGATCACTTGAGGCCAGGAGTCCCAGACCAGCCTGGGCAACATAGTGAGACCCCATCTCTGCAAAAAAGTAGTAATAACAAATAACAATAATAGCAGCCACCAGGGTTCCAGGCTCCAACTCCATGCCAGGGCCTGTGCTCAGCCAACCTCATGGCCAAGCTCAGAGGATCCTGGCAATCCTACGGGGCAGGCTCAGTTCACAGGAGACAGAGGTCCAGAGAGGCCTAGTGACTGGCCTGGGGTCACACAGCAGGGAAATGGCATAGGTGGGATTTGAACCTGCCTCTGACGACCCAGAGGCTGAGCTTTTCTTCCCTTCTGAGCCCTGTGGGAGAACTGTCAGCAGGCAGAGGTGGGGGCAGCTACCCAGCCCTCCCCCGACCCAGCCCTTTGTCTTTGGATTGATAATCCAAGAACCTGCTCACATACTCCCAGCAGCACCCTCACCTCCACCTTCTCACCAGCTCCTCGCACGAACCTTTAAAATAACAACAACAGGCCAGGTGCCGTGACTCATGCCTGTAATCTCAGCACTTTGGGAGGCAGAGGTGGGCGGATCACTTGAGTTCAGGAGTTCAAGACCAGCCTGGCCAACATGGCGAAACCCCAACTCTACTAAAAATACCAAAAAAAAAAATAGCCAGGTGTGGCACACGCCTGTAGTTGCAGCTACTCAGGAGGCTGAAGCAGGATAGTTGCTTGAACCTGGGAGGTGGAGGTTGCAGTGAACTGAGATTATGCCACTGCACTCTAGCCTGGGCGACAGAGCGAGACTCTGTCTCAAACATAATAATAATAATAATAATAATAGCAGCTAAGTGAAATAATGCTTATTGTGTACCAGGCACTGTTCCGAGAGCTACACCTGTATTCACACATTTAATCTTTTCAACACTCCCATGCGGCAAGTGCTGTTAGGATCCTCATTTTCTAGATGAGTAAATTGAGGCACAGAGGTTAAGCAACTTGCCCCTGGCCACACAGCTGGTTGTAGGTAGCAGAGCTGGGAATCAAACCCTGGGCTGATTCCAGAACCTACACTCTTACCCACACAAAATATTTTTCCAGCCTCCGGGAGGGGCCCGTTTTCCACCTGGGGAAATTGAGTTTCCAGCAAGAATGACTAGTCCAGGCTCACCCAACTGGGATACGGCAGAGCCAGGCCCTTGATCTAAGACTCCGGATGCCTTCCTGCTGAGACACAGGGGCTCAGAGAGAGGATTTCTCTTGCTCCAAGTTACACAGCCTGCCTGACCCCAACGCCTTGCCCAGTTCTCTTGCTGCTGTCTGCAAGATGCGAGCTAGGCGGGGCACAGTGGCTCACGCCTGTAATCCCAGCACTTTGGGAGGCCGAGGCGGGTGGATCACTTGAGGCCAGGAGTTCGAGACCAGCCTGGCCAACCAGTAGAGATGGTGAAACCCCATCTCTAATAAAAATACAAAAAAATTAGCCAGGCATGGTGGTGTGCGCCTGTAATCCCAGCTACTCAGGAGGCTGAGACAGGAGAATCTCTTGAACCTGGGAGGTGGAGGCTGCAGTGAGCCGAGGTCTCGCCACTGCACTCCAACCTGGGTAACAGAGTGAGACTCCATCTCAAAAAAAAGAAGAAAAGGCCGGGTGCAGTGGCTCACGCCTGTAATCCCAGCACTTTGGGAGGCCGAGGCGGGCGGATCACAAGGTCAGGAGATCAAGACTATCCTGGCTAACATGGTGAAACCCCGTCTCTACTAAAAATACAAAAAATGAGCCGGCGTGGTGGCGGGCGCCTGTATTCCCAGCTACTCGGGAGGCTGAGGCGGGAGAATGGTGTGAACCCAGGAGGTGGAGCTTGCAGTGAGCCGAGATCGTGCCACTGCACTCCAGCCTGGGTGACAGAGCGAGACTCCGTCTCAAAAAAAAAAAAAGAAGAAGAAGAAGAAAAAAGATGCCAGCTAATCTTCAATCTTCCCCTCCTGCCCTGCCCATCAGGTCTCCTACACCGCCACCATGCCATTCGGTAACACCCACAACAAGTTCAAGCTGAATTACAAGCCTGAGGAGGAGTACCCCGACCTCAGCAAACATAACAACCACATGGCCAAGGTACTGACCCTTGAACTCTACAAGAAGCTGCGGGACAAGGAGACTCCATCTGGCTTCACTGTAGACGATGTCATCCAGACAGGAGTGGACAACCCAGGTGAGCCTCCCCAGTGGAGCACTGAAGGGGCTACATGGGGGCTCTGGAGGCTGCCGGCCATGCCCCAATCCCACCACCCTTGAAGGGGGGGGGGCCTCAGTTTTCTCATCTGTAAAATGGGGCTGTTGTGGGAATCAATGCATTAATATACATAAAGGCTTGGGACAGTGCGAGGTACTCAGCAAACCACGCAATAAACATGCACGAGAATAATGTGAGATCCCCAAGGAGGTCGGTTCACCTCCTGAACCTCAGTCTCCTCATCTGAAAAATGGGCGCCCACGTTGTGAAAACACAAGTCAATGGCTGTGCAGTGCTTAGAGTGGCACCTGGCACCAAGTGAGTGCTCAAGCTCTGACAGGGGGGCCAGGTGCAGTGGCTCATGCCTGTAATCCCAGCACTTTGGGAGGCCCAGGTGGGAGGATCACTTGAGGCCAGGAGTTTGAGACCAGCCTGAGCAACATAGCAAGACCCTGTCTCTACAAAAAATACAAAAAAATTAGCCAAGTGTGGTGATGAGGGCTTGTGGTCCAAGCTACTCAGGAGGCTGCGGTGGGAGGATCGCTTGAGCCTGGGAGGTGCAGGTTGCAGTAAGCCGAGATCGCGCCACTGTACTCCAGCCACAGAGTGAGACCCTGTCTCAAAAAAAAAAAAAAAGAATCTGACAGGGGATGTTATTAATGTTATGGTTGTTTCTCAAAGGACATTGCAAGGCGAAGAGAGCTGGGAGTGGAGGGGAGGCTCTAGTGCCCCTCACATCCAGCTCACTGTGTGATGCCGGGGAGAAGCCCCTCTCTCCTGGCCCCTGTTTTTCCACTGGGAAACAAGAGGGTCTTTCAAGTCTCTTACCCTCCTGACCCTCTGTGGTACGGTGGTAGCCTGAGATCCTAACATTTCAGGCTAAGATGTCATGACTTTGGGTGCTAATGTTTCCGAGGTGCTGATGCTTTTAGCACCATGTACCCTCTGAAGCTCCCCTTTCTCCTTTGACCCCGCCCCCAGCACTCTTTCTTCTCTCCCACCTTGACCCCTCCCAGCCACCTTGACCTCTCCCAGCCTTCCCTCCCAGTTCCCACCAGTCCTCAGTGTTCTCTCTTTTTTTTTTTTTCCTTTGGAGACAGAGTCTTGCTCTGTCACCCAGGCTGGAGTGCAGTGGTGTGATCTTGGCTCACTGCAACCTCCACTCCCTTGGTTCAAGCAATTCTCATGCCTCAGCCTCCTGAGTAGCTGGGATTACAGGTGTGTGCCCCACACCCAGCTAATTTTTGTATTTTTAGCAGAGATGGGGTTTCACCCTGTTGGCCAGGCTGGTCTCACACTCCTGACCTCAAGAGATTCACCCGCCTCACCCTCCCAAAGTGCTGGGATTGCAGGCATGAGCCACTGTGCCCAACCCTTATGATTCTCAATTCCCACCCAGAGGTATTGAATGTACCCGCCCCCATCCCGACACACATGTCCACACAGGCTCCACTGAGCCCACAAGCCCACGCCCTGTTTGCTGGGGACAAGCAGCTCTGACCTCACCCCCACCCCTCCAGGTCACCCCTTCATCATGACCGTGGGCTGCGTGGCTGGTGATGAGGAGTCCTACGAAGTTTTCAAGGAACTCTTTGACCCCATCATCTCGGATCGCCACGGGGGCTACAAACCCACTGACAAGCACAAGACTGACCTCAACCATGAAAACCTCAAGGTCGGTGTCTGCGCAGGAGGGGAGGGCCGAGGGGTGAGGAGGAGAGAGATCACAGGAGAAATGGGGGGAGACAGAGAAATACAGAGACAGAGAGAGACACAGAGGTGTGGAGAAGCAGAGAGATGGAAAGAGAGAGGGACATTGGGAGGCTGAGGCGAGCGTATCACTTGAGGTCAGGAGTTCAAGACCAGCCTGGCCAACATGGCAAAACTCTGTCTTTAAAAAAAAAAAAAAGGGCTGGGCACGGCGGTGGCTCACGCCTGTAATCCCAGCACTTTGGGAGGCCAAGGCGGGCAGATCACCTTAGATTGAGAGTTTGAGACCAGCCTGACCAACATGGTGAAACCCCGTCTCTACTAAAAATACAGAATTAGCTGGGTGTGGTGGCACATGCCTGTAATCCCAGCTACGTGGGAGGCTGAGGCAGGAGAATCGCTTGAACCTGGAAGGCAGAGGTTGTGGTGAGCAGAGATCGTGCCATTGCACTCCAGCCTGGGCAACAAGGGCGAAACTCGTCTCAAAAAATAAATAAATAAATAAATAAAATAAATTAGCTGGGCATGGTGGCGCGTGCCTGTAATCCCAGCTACTCAGGAGGTGGAGGCAGGAAAATCTCTTGAACCCAGGAGATGGAGGCTGCAGTGAGCTGAGATCATGCCACTGCACTCCAGCCTGGGTGACAGAGCAAGATTCTATCTCAGAAAATAAAAAAAGGAAAGAGAGAGGGACAGAGAGACACAGAGACAGCCAAGGAGACACAGACAACCAAGGAGACAGACAGACAAAGGAGAGGGAGAGGGAGAAGAAAGGCACAAAAGCATGTAGAAAAGGAAGAGGCATAGCCGGGCACAGTGGCTCACGCTTGTAATCCCAACACTTTGGGAGGCTGAGGTGGGCGGATCATAAGGTCAGGAGTTCGAGACCAGCCTGACCAACACGGTGAAACCCAGTCTCTATTAAAAATACAAAAATTAGCTAGGCATGCTGGTGTTCACCTATAATCCTAGCTATTCAGCCTGGGTGACAGAGCGAGACTCTGCCTAAAAAAAAAAGGGTGGGGGGAGAGGCAGAGACACAGAGGGAGACAGAAGGGAGCATCAGAGAAGGCAGGAGAGACAGGGAGAGAGAGACACACGCAGTTGCAGTCAGACACAGACAAGGAGAGTGGGAGAAAGGGAGACAGGAAGAGAAACAGAAATGGGCAGAAAGGCTGGGTGCAGTGGCTATACCTGTAATCCCAGCACTTATGGAGGCTGAGGTGTGAGGATCACGTGAAGCCAGGAGAGTTCACGACCAGCTTGGGCAACATAGCAAGAACCCGTCTCTGCCCAAAAAAAAGAAAAAAAAAAGCCTAAAAATTTAGCTAGGCATGGTGGCTCATGCCTGTAATCCCATCACGTTGGGAGGCTGAGGCAGGAGGACTGTTTGAGCCCAGGAGTTTGAGACCAGCCTGGGCAACATAGTGACACCCTGTCTCTATTTTTTTTTTTTTTTTGAGACAGAATCTCACTCTGTCACCCAGGTTGGAGTGCAGTGGCTCGATCTCAGCTCACGGAAACCCCTGATCCCCAGGTTCAAGTGATTCTCGTGCCTCAGCCTCCTGAGTAGCTGGGATTACAGGCGCGCACCACCACGCCCAGCTAATTTTTGTATTTTTAGTAGAAATGGGGTTTCACCATGTTGGCCAAGCTGGTTTCGAACTCCTGACCTCAGGTGATTGGCTCACCTCGGCTTCCCAAAGTGTTGGGATTACAGGTGTGAGCCACCGCGCCCAGCCCCTGTCTCTATTTATAAAAAATTTATTTTAAGTTAGCCGAACATGGTGGCATATACCTACCTGTTAGTCCCAGCTACTTGGGAGGCTGAGGCAGGGGAATTGCTTGAGCCCAGGAGTTTGAGGTTGCAGTGAGCTATGATGGCACCACTGCACTCCAGCCTGGGCGACAGAGAGAGACCCTGTCTCGAAGAAAAAAAAGGAAAAGAAATATACGAAGATGGGGAGAGAGAGGTATAAAGAAAAACAGAGATAGGAGAGGGGAGAGAGACAGAGAAGGGAGAGACAGAGCCCAGGTATGGGTGGCGGGGAGAGGCTCCACACACCCAATCAGTGAGGATGCAGAAGGCAAAGGAAGCAACAGGGAGACTGAGGGGAGCATCTGGGGGAGACCTGGGCTTGCTGGAGAGGGCGGAGGATCTGCCTGGTCCTGATCTCCCACCCGCTCTCCAGGGTGGAGACGACCTGGACCCTAACTACGTGCTCAGCAGCCGCGTCCGCACTGGCCGCAGCATCAAGGGCTACACGTTGCCCCCACACTGCTCCCGTGGCGAGCGCCGGGCGGTGGAGAAGCTCTCTGTGGAAGGTGAGCGCCCCTACCCCGTCCACTGCTGGGGTCACCCAGCCCTGGCTCTGTTCCTCCATGGGCAGGTCCTCGGGTCTCTTTGGGCCCCCGCTTTTCAAAGTAGGGGAAGAGCTTGGTAAATCGTGGGGGCTTGGGGAATGGCGCGGGCTGTCAGCATTACCTGCTGTGTTGGAGATTCAGGGATGCTGTCCAGACCCGACGGCCCCTGAGAAGACCTACGCAGACACCTGGCTGCCCCCAGCGTCCTGCCATCCGTTCATCCAGCACACATTTCCAGGGGTTCTTGCCCTGTGTGGGGAGATAGGGGTCCCTCACTGTTCTCACAGAGTGTTCAGCTGGTGGGGAGACAAGAGGAAATACAGAAACCCACAGATGAACAAGATAATTCAAAAGTGCCATGAAGCCAAGACATGGGTGTGGTGGAGAATGACCGAGGGGAGCCACCTCAGATAGGAGGAGTTGAGGCCGGGCACAGTGGCTCCCACAGCAGTGCGGGAGGCCTAGGAGGGAGGGTCGCTTGAGCCCAGGAGTTCAAGACCAGACTGGGCAATACAGCAAGACCCTGTCTCTACAAAAAAGACAAAAATGAGCCAGGAGTGGTGGCACACACCTGTCATCCCAGCTACTCAGGAGACTGAGGTGGGAGGATCACTTGAGCCCGGGAGGTTGAGGCTGCAGTGAATCGTGATTGTGCCACTGCACTCCAGCCAGGGTGACAGAGTGAGAACCTGCCTCAAAAACAAATAAAAAGAGGCCAGGCACAGTGGCTCACACCGTAATCCCAGCATTTTGGGAAGCTGAGGCAGGTGGATCATTTGAGGTCAGGAGTTTGAGACCAGCCTGGCCAACATGGTAAAACCCCATCTCTACTAAAAATACAAAAATCAGCTGGGTCTGGTGGCACACACCTGTAATCCCAGCGACTTGGGAGACTGAGGCAGGAGAATCGCTTGAACCTGGGAGGCAGAGGTTGCAGTGAGCTGAGATCACGCCACTGCACTCCAGCCTGGGGGACAGAGTGTGACTCCATCTCAAAAAAAAAAGTTATGTTTATCCTATACTGTAGTCTGTTAAGTGCACAATAGCATTATGTCTAGAAAAAAAAAAGTACATACCTTAATTTTAAAATCCTGCTAAAAATGTTGTGATCATTTGAGGACTCAGCAAGTTGGAACCTTTCTGTTGTGTAGGGCCTTGCCTTGATGTTGATGGGCTGCTGACTGATCAGGGCGGTTGTCGTTCAAGGTTGAGATGGCTGCGGCAATTCCTTCCTTCCTTCCTTCCTTCCTTTCCTTTCTTTTCTTCCTCCCTTCCTTCCCTTCCTTCCCTCCCTCCCTTCCTTCCCTTCCCTTCCCTTTTCTTCTCCGTCCTTCCTTCCTTCCTTCTTTCCTCCCTCCCTTCCTCCCTTCCTTCCTTCCTTCTCTTTCTCTCTCTCTTTTCAAGACAGGGTCTTGTTCTGTTGCCCAGCTGGAATGCAGTGGTGCAATCATGACTTACCATAACCTCCAACTCCTGGGCTTAAGTGATCCTCCCATGTTGGTCTCCCAAAGTGCTGGCATTACAGGTGTGAGCCACAGTGCCTGGCCAGCAGTAATAGTTTGAAAAGAATCTCTTTTTTGAGATGGAGCCACACTCTTGTCGCCCAGGCTGGAGTGCAGTGGTGCAATCTTGGCTTACTGTTACCTCCACCTCGTGGTTCAAGCAATTCTCGTGTCTCAGCCACCCAAGTAGCTGAGATCACCGGCATGCGCCACCACGCCTGGCTAATTTTTGTATTTTTAGTAGAATCGGGGTTTCGCCATCTTGGCCAGGCTGGTCTCAAACTCCTGATCTCAGGTGATCTGCCTGCCTCAGCCTCCCAAACCACTAGGATTACAGGCGTGAGCCACCGCACCTGGCCTATGAAGCTTTTTATTTAAAGTGAAAAATGTTGACTCTTCCTTTCACTTGAACACCTCGAGGCCATTGTAAGGTTATGAACTGAATTGGCCTGATTTCAAAATCATGTGTCTCAGGGAATACGGAGGCTCAAGGAGATGGGGAGAGATGAGGGAATGGCTGGTCAGTGGGGCAGTCCGAGCACACACATTTATCCATTAAGTTCACCCTTTTATATGGGCAAGGTCGGTGGCACCCCCCAAAATTAAAACAGTAACATCAGAGATCACTGATCACGGATCGCCATGACAGATATAGTAATAATGAGAAAGTCTGCAGTACTGTGAGAATTACCCACATGTGACACAGAGACACGAAGTGGCACATGCTGTAGGAAAAATGGCTCCAATAGACCTGCTGGACAAAGAGTTGCCACAAACCTCCAATTTGTAAAAAACACAGTATCTGCAAAATGCAATAAAACGAGGTATGTCTGTATATTATATGAATATGTATAAGATATATAAATATTATAGATTTATTGTACATATGCACAAACACAAATTCATTATACACATATTTTATACATGAATATACAAATAAACACACAATTTTTTTTCTTTTTTTTTTTTTTAGACAGAATCTCACTCTGTCACCCAGGCTGGAGTGCAGTGGCAAAATCTCAGCTCACTGCAACCTCCACCTCTTGGGTTCAAGTGTTTCTCGTGCCTCAGCCTCTTGAGTAGCTGGGATTACAGGCGTGTGCCACCATGGCCGACTAATTTTTGTATTTTTAGTGGAGACGGGGTTTCACCATGTTGGCCAGGCTGGTCTCAAAATCCTGACCTCAAGTGATCTGCCTGCCTTGGCCTCCCAAAGTGCTGGGATTATAGGCATGAGCCACTGCGCCCAGCCTACAATTTTTTTTTTTTTAAAGATTGGGGTCTTGGGCCAGGCGCCCAAGTGGAGAAACCCCGTCTCTACTAAAAATACAAAATTAGCCGGGCATGGTGGCGCATGCCTGTAATCCCAGGTACTTGAGAGGCTGAGGCAAGAGATTCGCTTGAACCCGGGAGACGGAGGTGGCAGTGAGCCAAGATCGCGCCATTGCGCTCCAGCCTGGGCAACAAGAGCAAAACTCCGTCTCATAAAAAAAAAAAAAAAAGATGGGGGTCTTGCTATGTTACCCAGACTGGACTCGAACTCCTGGGCTTAAGTGATCCTCCTGCCTCAGCCTCCCCAGTATCTGGACTACAGGCTCGTGCCAGTGCACCTGGCTACCATTCTACTTTATAATAATTTTTACTAATGGCCTCTCAAAGTCCTGAGACTTCAGCCATCTGTGTTGCCAGCCATTAGGAGCAGGCACCAGCACACTGTGGCCTGCAGGTGGATTGGATGTGAGGGTCCCTCAGGGGAAGAGGTGGGTCTGTTTTCCAGATTGAGCACATGGGGTGGCCATTCCTGGGGGCCTGGACAGATGGCAGGAACAGATTTTGGGGAGCCGTCACAAGTGTGGGTTTAGACACAGGGTTCAGGTGCCTTTAGGACATCCAGGGGGCCAAGGCCCAGGCCCGTTAGGAGCAGCAGCAGGGGAAACCCTGGGCCTCCACACCCTGGTTGAGGTGGGACAGGCTGCTGACCACTCCCTCGTGTGTCCCCATAGCTCTCAACAGCCTGACGGGCGAGTTCAAAGGGAAGTACTACCCTCTGAAGAGCATGACGGAGAAGGAGCAGCAGCAGCTCATCGATGACCACTTCCTGTTCGACAAGCCCGTGTCCCCGCTGCTGCTGGCCTCAGGCATGGCCCGCGACTGGCCCGACGCCCGTGGCATCTGGTGAGGCCCCTCCCCGCCCCCTGGCTTCCTCTTCCCCCAGCCTCCTCCAGTCCTGCAACGGCCCTCCTCACTCCTCCACCAAAACCAAGGCCATATACGTAATTATGATCTTCTAAATGCCACGGAAAATGATCTTGCCCTCCGCCCCTGCCCATCCTGTGGTCTGTGTGTCAGATTTTGGGATATCTGGACCGGAGAAGTGGTAGTTAAAAACTTAAGACTTGGCGGGGCACGGTGGCTCATGCCTGTAATCCCTGCACTTTGCGAGGCCAAGGCGGGGGGATCACTTGAGGTCAGGAGTTTGAGACCAGCCTGGCCAACACGGTGTCTACTAAAAATGACAAAAATTTAGCTGGGCGTAGTGGCAGGCGCCTGTAGTCCCAGCTACTTGGGAAGATGATGCAGGAGAATCGCTTGAACCCAGGTGGCGGAGGTTGCAGTGAGCCGAGATCGTGCCACTGCACTCCAGCCTGGGCGACAGAGCCAGACTGTCTCAAAAAAAAACAAACAAAAAAGAAAGAACTTAGACTTGGCCGGGCACAGTGGCTCACACCTGTAATCCCAGCACTTTGGGAGGCTGCAGCAGGAGGGTCGCTTGTGCCCAGGAGTTCTAGACCAGCCTGGGCAACATAGGGAGACCACGTCGCTACAAAAATTAAAAAAAAAAAAAGCCAGGCGCGGTGGCTCACGCCTGTAATCCCAGCACTTTGGGAGGCCAAGGTGGGCGGATCACGAGGTCAGGAGATTGACACCATCCTGGCTAACACGGTGAAACCCCGTCTCTACTAAAACTACAAAAAAAAAAAAAAAATTAGCCCGGCGTCGTGGCAGGCGCCTGTAGTCCCAGCTACTTGGGAGGCTGAGGCAGGAGAATGGCCTGAACCCAAGAGGCGGAGCTTGCAGTGAGCTGAGATCGTGCCACTGCACTCCAGCCTGGGCGACAGGAGACTCCGTCTCAAAAAAAAAAAAAAAAAAAAAAAAAAAAAAAAGCCAGGCGTGATGGCGTATACCTGTGGTCCCAGCTACTCGAGAGGCTGAGGATCAGCTGGGCCCAGAGGATTGAGGTTACTGTGAATCATGACCGAGGTACTGCACTCCAGCTACCTGTCTCAAAAATAAGAACTCAGACTTGAACCGTACTCCCTAGGTTCAAATCCCAGCTCTACCATTTACTAACTTTACTAGCTTTGTGACCTTGGGCAACTTATTTTATTTTTCTCTACCCCAGTTTCCTAGCTATAGGATAGGGATCACAATAATTTGTAGTTTCTGGTGTTCTTGTGAGGATTAAATGAGTTAATTTATGTAAAGTATTAAAAGCAGTGCCTGGGCCAGGCGCGGTGGCTCACGCCTGTAATCCCAGCACTTTGGGAGGCCAAGGCGGGCGGATCACGAGGTCAGGAGATCGAGACCATCCTGGCTAACATGGTGAAACCCCGTCTCTACTAAAAATACAAAAAATTAGCTGGGCTTGGTGGCAGGCGCCTGTAGTCCTACTTACTCGTGAGGCTGAGGCAGGAGAATGGCGTGAACCCGGGAGGCGGAGCTTGAAGTGAGCCAAGATCGCATCACTGCACTCCAGCCTGGGCGACAGACCAAGACTCTGTCTCAAAAAAAAAAAAAAAAAAAAAAGCAGTGCCTGGTATACACTAAGTGTTCAGTACATCTTGGTTATTCGTCTTATCTTTATTATAAAGTATTATTGCTAGACTTGTTTTGACTCTTTGAATCCCTGATTCAGATAGTCAAAGATTTAGAGAACCTAGGTTTCAATCGATGAAGGGAGCCTGGGTGCTAAGATATACAGATGGGATGATTCTAAGATTTCAAGATTTTAAATATTTTTAGGTTTTAAGATTCCACTCATTTATTTATTTATTTATTTTGAGATGGACTCTCACTCTGAGGCCCAGGCTGGAGTGCAGTGGGTTGATCTCGACTCACTGAAACCTCCATCTCCCGGGTTCAAACGATCCTCTCACCCTCCGCCTCCTTAGTAGCTAGGACGACAGGCATGTGCCACTGTGCCCAGCTAGTTTTCGTATTTTTGGTAGAGACAGCGTTCTGCCATGTTGCTCAGGCTGGTCTCGAACTCTTCACCTTAAGTGATCCGCCCACCTCAGCCTCCCAAAGTGCTGGGATTACAAGCGTGAGCCACCATGCCTGCCCTCAGGTTTTTTTTTTTTTTTTTTTGAGACAGGGTCTTGCTCTGTTGCCCAGGCTGGAGTGCAGTGGTGGGATCATAGCTCGCTGCAGCCTGGACCTTCCAAGGTCAAGTGATCCTCCCGCCTCAGCCTCCCCAGTGGCTTGGACTACAGGCATGTGTCCCACCATGCCTGCTAATTTTTTAAATTTTGTAGATATGTGGGTCTTGCCATGTTGCCCAGGGTAGTCTTGAACTCCTGGGCTCAAGCAATCCTCCGGCCTTGGCCTCCCAAAGTGCTGGGATTACAGGCATGAGCCACCACACCCGGCCATTTCCGGATCTTAATATTTTATGTTCTTTTTTTTTTTTTTTTTTGAGATGGAGTCTCGCTCTGTTGCCCAGGCTGGAGTGCAGTGGCGCGATCTCGACTCACTGCAAGCTCCACCTCCCGGGTTCTCGCCATTCTCTTGCCTCAGCCTCCTGAGTAGCTGGGACTACAGATGCCCGCCACCATGCCCAGATTTTTTTTTGTATTTTTTAGTAGAGACAGGGTTTCGACGTGTTAGCCAGGATGGTGTCGATCTCCTGACCTTGTGATCCGCCCGCCTCGGCCTCCCAAAGTGCTGGGATTACAGGCGTGAGCCACCGCACCCAGCCTTAATATTTTATGTTCTAAGATCCTGCTTCTGAGATGCTAGGATTGGGAGCTAACACACTACGATGGGAAGATTTTCTGGTCCTGAAACCAGATGTAGGATTACCAAGTGTTATCAGTTCTGATCCCAAGCTTCTGTTTGTCAAACATCCTGAGATCCCAAGGATCTATAATAATACTGTTCAAAGACTTAAGTCCCTAAAAGTCCTTGATCCCAGGATTCAGCGTTTTGCAGATCCTGTGACATTAGAGTCTACAGGTTTAAGCTTCTGCGTTTTGAGGAGGCAGATGCCACCCACCTCCCACCCCTCAGGCCCTCTTCCCCCATCGGTGGGCAGATGTTTTGGGGGAGGGCTGGGAATGGGGTTCCCACGGGGCTGACACCTTGGCCTCTTGCTGCGGCACCTTACTCTAGGCACAATGACAACAAGAGCTTCCTGGTGTGGGTGAACGAGGAGGATCACCTCCGGGTCATCTCCATGGAGAAGGGGGGCAACATGAAGGAGGTTTTCCGCCGCTTCTGCGTAGGGCTGCAGAAGGTGGGTGTCTGCCCTTAGCTGCTGACTTCTGACTCCACCTTGAACGCCCCACCTGCTTTCCGAGGCCCCGCCCCTTCCCCTATACTAAGCCCTGCCCCACCCATTTTCCAGGGCCCTGCCCCCCGGACCTGGCTCCACCCCATGCCAAACCCCGCCCCCCAAAACTAGCCCCACCCGCTTTTCAGGGCCCCGCCCCTGGACCCAGCTCCACCCTATGCCCAAGCCCCGCCCGTAAGGATCCGCCTTCAGGCCGGGAGCGGTGGCTCACGCCTGTAATCCCAGCACTTTGGGAGGCTGAGGAGGGTCAGGAGTTCAAGACCAGCCTGGCCAACATGGTGAAACCCCGTCTCTATACTAAAAAATTAATAAATAAATAAATTATCCAGGCGTAGTGGCGCGCGCCTGTAGTCCCAGCTACTCGGGAGGCTGAGGCAGGAGAATCGCTTGAACCTGGGAGGCAGAGGTTGCAGTGAGACGAGATCACGCCATTGCACTCCAGCCTGGGTGACACAGAGAGACTCTGGAAAAAAAAAAAAAAAAAACCCGCCTTCAAAGCGTTCTTAGTCCCCGCCCCTCAAAATCCTGCCTTGGTCCCCATTGTCTAGCCAGCACCCTCGGAATCTCCTACCTCCCTGTTCCCCTCAGAATCCCACCTCCACCACGTTCCCACGCCCTGTCCCTCCGGACCCTGTCCATGTTGCGGGTGCATTTGGGGGTGCCTGCCGGCGCTGACCCCTGGTCCTCTCTCTGAACCTCAGATTGAGGAGATCTTTAAGAAAGCTGGCCACCCCTTCATGTGGAACCAGCACCTGGGCTACGTGCTCACCTGCCCATCCAACCTGGGCACTGGGCTGCGTGGAGGCGTGCATGTGAAGCTGGCGCACCTGAGCAAGCACCCCAAGTTCGAGGAGATCCTCACCCGCCTGCGTCTGCAGAAGAGGGGTACAGGTACGGCTCCCACATCCTTTGCACCACGACGGAGGGGGAGCGAGGGCCCTTTGCAGGGATGCAAGGAGAGGTGCGACATCCCTGCGAGTTCTGGGGATCCGGCAAGGGCTGACCCTCTGTGAGCTTGCATTTCTTCCTCTGTAAAATGGGTGTCAATATGCCTATGTGATAGGAGTCAATGTGGGATTTTCATGATTATATAATATGCATTGCACATGCCCTTGGACCTCCCTCGGGGCCTCAGTTTCCCCATTTATAAAGCGAGGAGTGGTCAGGATTCGACCCTAGGCCGCCTGGCTCCAGAACCCACTCTCTTACCCACTATACTATGTTTGATAACTGAGTGGCGTGGTACCCCATCTGAAGTCAGAGACTCGTGAGCTCACGAATGAACAGGCATTACCTGTGTGCAGGTAACCTGTTACACAGTAGGCACTCACTACATGCGGCTGTTGCATTTGGCACGGGGGCCACGTCCCAGCCCCTCTGCACCTTCGCTGCCTCTTCACGCCCCTGTCCCTTGCTCCCACAGGTGGCGTGGACACAGCTGCCGTGGGCTCAGTATTTGACGTGTCCAACGCTGATCGGCTGGGCTCGTCCGAAGTAGAACAGGTGCAGCTGGTGGTGGATGGTGTGAAGCTCATGGTGGAAATGGAGAAGAAGTTGGAGAAAGGCCAGTCCATTGACGACATGATCCCCGCCCAGAAGTAGGCGCCTGCCCACCTGCCACCGACTGCTGGAACCCAGCCAGTGGGAGGGCCTGGCCCACCAGAGTCCTGCTCCCTCACTCCTCGCCCCGCCCCCTGTCCCAGAGTCCCACCTGGGGGCTCTCTCCACCCTTCTCAGAGTTCCAGTTTCAACCAGAGTTCCAACCAATGGGCTCCATCCTCTGGATTCTGGCCAATGAAATATCTCCCTGGCAGGGTCCTCTTCTTTTCCCAGAGCTCCACCCCAACCAGGAGCTCTAGTTAATGGAGAGCTCCCAGCACACTCGGAGCTTGTGCTTTGTCTCCACGCAAAGCGATAAATAAAAGCATTGGTGGCCTTAGCTTTGTGCGATAGTTATTGAGGGAGGACGTGCAATTGGCCACTGTGTGGTCTCAGAGTGGTTTGTCCTGTCTAGGCATGTACTAAACATGTCTTATCCCGGGTCTAAAATGAGGCAAAGTTAGGTCACAGAATCTAGTCCAAAAATTAGAAGGCTCTATGGGGAATCTGAGACCCAGAGAGACACTGAGCCCAGTGTCACTCACCCAAAGCATGGGCCCTTTCCAACTATGGCTTTGAATTAGTCATGCTCAGATCTCAAACACGAGGTCCACGCTGGGGAGGAATGCAGCCAAACGAAATGTCTGAAACTTGAATTTAGCCCAACGGTCTCCAGTTTTGAGACCTCCCATGCAGCTCGTCACATCTACCTATATTCTGCTTCTCAGTGGCCTCCTTCTGTCCCGTCTGACTTCATCCCTCTGTAGCTGCTGCCAGTCCCTTACTTTCTCAAGAACCTGCCATGGCTCCCCATTTCTCCTAGAAAGCTTTTCTGTTATTTTGCAACTCAAGGCCACACTGAAATGCATACCATTTGCTGGAGGCTCACCTTTCCAGTTCTTTCCCCATTACTCCTCTGATTCTTTCACACCTGACACCCTCCAATTCCCACCTCAATGTCTTTGACCAAGCTGTTTCCCTCTCCAATCTGTGAGTCTGAGCATCCCCATGAAGTCTTTAGGGATAGGCCTTTTGGAGAACTCAGTCCCAGGAAGGAACAGGAAAGAGGTGTGGTAGAGCAATTGGTGGAGGGAGAAGAGTTAATAGAAGTCAAGCAGTAGCTGAACATGCATTGGGTGTTGGGCACGTCAATCACCTCCACCCAGTCAAACAGGCCAATGTCTACGTTAACAAGGACACAGTCGGTGGGCCCCAAAAGACAAACGTTTTAGGGAAAAAAAAAAGTGAGGTGGGAGTAAATGGAAGAACCGACAAAGCCCTCAGGAACCTAAGGTGCTTTTTCAAACCTCAAGAGTCACAGAGATTAAGGGCCCTTGTAGTTCAATCTGCCCTCTGTTTTACAGAGGGGAAATTGAGGCCTAGGGATGTCCCCAAAAGTTCCCAGGGAGATTACTACAAGGAAGGTTAGGAGAGATTCTAAACATTAAGGTATGCAGAACCTGTGAGATGCTGTGATGTTCTTTACTGTACTGTCCCCAGTTGAAGATCCCAGCTCCACACCCAGAGGCTACATAGACCACACACGCCAGTGGGGACCTTCTGAGCCAGCCAAAGCCACAGTCCAGACACCTGTTACCAGGTCCTGCCCACTTTGCCTCACAGGACTCTCTTAAATCTATCTGCGCTCTCCCCATCTGTCCAGCCCCGACCTCTTTCCTGATCTTCTGACCTGTCAACTTCCCTCCCTTCCACCCTGCACATAGCACAAACCCGCCCATCTCTACCCTACCTACAACCTTGCCATGGCTCCCCCAGTGCCCTTGGAAGAAAGCCCAGGCCCCTGTCCATAACCTTCAAGGCCCTACTGACGCCCCTAGCCCCATACCTCACAGCAATTCTACACTTACAAAGTCACATGCCATTTGTTGAGGACCTGTCCTCTCTCTTGCTCCCTGGCCCTTGTATGTGCCATTTGCTGTGCCTAAAACGCACTCCTATCCATGTCTAGCTGGCTCCTTCTCCTCCAGGAAGCCCTCCCTGGCTGAGGCAGGCATCACCTCTGGACTCCCCTATACCAGCCCTGCCCAGTCGCTGCCTGAGGACACATCTGCCTCCTCCATTGGACTGTGAGCTCTATGAGGGCAGTGTTGGGGCTGTCTTGATTACCACTGTGTCCCCAGCACAGAGGATGCTCTCAGGAATTGACCAAGCCTCTTCCCTGAAGTTCCCTGAACTTCCATGGTTCCCCAGTGCCATGGGGAGAAAGTCCAGCTTATTCATTTTGGCCCCAAAGGTGCTGTGTGAATAAGCTCCGCCCTTCTGTACTGCACAGACTTCAACCACTATAATCTGTCCAGCTCCCATGCCTTTTCTCCTGCTCATGACACTTGACCTTCCTTTGAGGAACCCCTACTAAGTGCAGCTCTGAGTCTGGCCACTCTAGAGTCACAGTGATTGGTTTAGAGAAAATCACATGGCCCATTTGGGCCAATGAGAGTCTGCCCTGGGACTTTTGCTGGGAAACTGACAATGAGGGTCTTTCTGCTGCAGAAAGCTGGAGGGATAGAAACTTCTAACTGCTGAAGTCATCTGTGCCACCAGGAAAGGAGCCCTTACTTGATAAAAATTACTAGAATTCAACTTACACTGAAAAAATAGATGCAATGGCCTGATGCCTGGATCAAACCTACCTGAAGCCAGGTGCCCCTGGACTATTAAGTAACATAAACCAACAAATACCTTTTTGCTTAAGCAGCGTAGATGGATTATTAGTCCTAATACAGCATTTCTCTTGCTGATTCTCCATCCATGCCCAACACAGCAGCCACACTGAAATTACCCAGTTCTCTGAAGATATACCACATACTCCCACTTCTGGGCTTTTGCCCAGGGCAAACTCAATGCCTAACTAACTCCTACTCATCCTTCAACACCCCATTCCAGCATTAATTCCTCTAGAGCATCTTCCCCAATGACCCCACCCTGCCCACTTTCTCTTCTGGGCTCCCCAAGACAATGGTTTGTCCGGTGTCTGTGTCAGAATCCCTGTCTCCCACAGACAGAGCTTCATGTCTCTGTGTCCAGCACTGGGCCTGGCATGGAGTAGGCATGGGTCAATGATTGTTTATTGAATAAATTTACTACTGGAGTAAGAAGTGGCTTAGAGTCCAGTGTAACATGGTGGCTGGGAGTGTGAGTGGATGAATGGGGGGCCCGATATAGGAACTGGGGCCTCGGGGATGAGGCCGAGTTCCATCCTGCCTTCTTCCACGACCATCCTTACCTTCCCACCCCCACCGCTCCCATTCTGCAGATGAGAAAACCGAGGCTCCGAAAGGAAAAACCACTGCCTGGATTCCCACGCCTCTTCTTTAACTCATTTGCAGGTGAGGGCAGGGAAGGAAAATCCTAGGGTCAGCATTGGGGAGGGGGGGACTCTCTTAAATTTATTGGGCAACAGGCTGCAGGTGAGGGGGCTGACAGGAGGAGGGTCGGGGTGTAATAACTTAAAAACCGTAGGTGACAGCGGCAGCTCCTCAAGAGACCTTTGCAGAGGGGAGGGTGTGGGGTATTTACAAGGATTTGTACAAAGTGCCCCGCGCCAGCCTGGGGCAGGAAGTGGGGGTTTGAGCGTGAGGGGACGGGAGGGGAAGGAATCTGCCTCTCTGACCCCCACTCCCAGTCCCCCAGATTCTCCAGTCTTTAGGCTCAGCAGCTCTCCCTGCCCCTGCCCAAGGCCTAATTTTGAGCTGTTGGGAGGAATGGAAGATTTCCTCAGTTTCCCTCCCTGCCCCTGCCCTGTCCCCAAAGTCTCCTCAGGTGCCCTCTTGGTAGGGCGAGGGAGGACAGGACTGGCTGGAGGCTCCAGGAAGGTGCCAGCTCCCCCCGCTGAGCCCCCTCATCCTTCTTCTGTGCTGAGCGGCCCCAGAGAACAGCAGAGGGGACAATCTTTGCCCCCAAATATAATTCAGGGAAACTGAGGTGATGATAAAGGGAGAATCCCCTCCCTGGCCCCTTCCCCTCCTGTAGAAGTGAAGGCGACAAGGGAGAGGAAGAGTAAGGGCCCTGGGACCGTGGTGGCTCAGAGCTCGAGGTCGTTGGAGATGCGGGTGACGAGGGTGCGGAAGGCCAGGGCGGTGCCCGCCACACGGCGGAAGAGAACTCCCCGCAAGCCTGGCCGGGGCAGCTGGCAGACCTCCACTTCGAAGTGGGACAGGGGCTCGGGCCCGCCCGCACCCCCGTGCAGGCAGGCCAGCAGGAACGGCTGTGGCTGGCGGCAGCGGCAGCGGGCGGCTGCTGTGGCCTGGCGCAGAGCTGCCATCAGGGCCTCAGGAGGGCGCGAGCTGGTCAGCTTCACACTCCAGGGGAATCGGAGCAGCCGGGGGGCGGTTTCCGTTTGATCCCAAGGTAGATGGCAACTGAGGCGAGAAGATGTCAGGGGTCAGAGATGGGAGCGAAGAGGAATGTGGTGGAGGGCTGAAGGGACAACTCTTCCCAATTCGGGACACATTCCTAGCCATCCCCTCAAAAAACATCTTCCCCTGTTACCCCAGCGACAGTTTCAACTGGATACAGAGCTGCCCAGCTAGAGACCACACTTTCCAGCCTCCCTTGCAACCAGGTGTGACCTTGTCTGTAAATTCTGGGACATGAGCAGAAGTGAGATGTGCCATCCACATCAGTTCCTTCAAAGAACCTGCATGTGCCAGGCTCTCCTGTCCCACATCTCCCAGGAGCTGGACTTAGCAGTGGCACAGGCCAGCCTCAACTGTGAAGATGACAAGGGCTCCAGGGAATCGGGATGCAATAACCTGGGGACCTGAATGACCGCATAGATCACAGTGGCCTTACCAGCCTGGCTTGGCCACATGGTTTGAATGTTTGAATGAGAAATTTCTTTTTCCTTTTCTTTTTTTTTTTTTTTTTGAGACGGAGTTTTGCTCTTGTTACCCAGGCTGGAGTGCAATGGAACGATCTCGGCTCACCACAACCTCCGCCTCCTGGGTTGAAGCGATTCTCCTGCCATAGCCTCCTGAGTAGTTGGGATTACAGGCACGCGCCACCACGCCTGGCCCCAGCTAATTTTTGTATTTTTAGTAGAGACACGGTTTCACCGTGTCAGCCAGGATGGTCTCGATCTCCTGACCTTGTGATCTGCCCGCCTCGACCTCCCAAAGTGCTGGGATTACAGGTGTGAGCCACTGCGCCCGGCTTTTTTTTTTTTTTTTTTTTTTGAGACAGAGTTTCGCTCTTGTCGCCCAGGCTGGAAGGCAATGACACAATCTTGGCCCACTGCAACCTCTGCTTCCCGGGTTCAAGCAATTCTCCTGCCTCAGCTTCCCAAGTAGCTGGGAGAACAGGCACCACGGCCAGCTAATTTTTGTATTTTTAGTAGAGACGGAGTCTCACCATGTTGGGCAGGCAGGTCTTAAACTCCCGGCCTCAGGTGATCCACCTGCCTTGGCCTCCCAAAGTGCTGGGATTACAGGCGAGAGCCACAGTGCCCGGCCACTTCTTAGTTTTTTTGAGACAGGGTCTTGCAATGCAGTAGTGCAATCACAGCTCACTGCAGCCTCGACCTCCTGGGCTCAAGTGATCCTCCTGCCTTGGCCTCCTGAGTTGTTGGAATTACAGGCATAAGCCACTGTGCTCGGCCTCTGGGGGCTTTTTGATTGTCACATGTCTTAGGATGGGAGCACTGCTGGCACTGACTAGGTTGGGGATGGGGTAGGTCAGGAATGAAAAACATTCTCCAATGTGCAAGAGGGCCCTGCACAACAAAGAAACGTCCCGCCTGAAGTACGAGAGTGCTGCTCTACATGAGCATCCCAGGACTAGCCTCCCTTGTTCCGGTGGGGCCGCCCCTCAGCTTGGGTGAGCACGACTCAGCTCTGCCAATGATAGCATTCTACTTCCCGGCCACTGTGCTTGGGTCAAGGGTGACCACATGACCAGGTCTGACCAACCAGAGTACTTCTCCTCTCTGGCTGCAGGCATTGGTTTAGGAATGAGCATGTGACCAAGTCCCAACCAATGAGAGTCAGCCCTGGCAGTTTGTTGCAGCTGCTGGGAAGGCTCCGGTTTCCACTTGGGTCTCTAAACCGGGAACTCAGACAAAACCAGGGCTTGGCAAACTCCAGTGCTGTCTGCTTTTGTAAATAAAGTTTCATTGGAACACTGCCATACCCATTTGTTTTGTGTTGAATATGACTGCTTTTGCACTACAATGGCACAACTGAACAGGCGTGACACAGGGTGCCTGGCCCTCAAAGCCTAAAATCTTCATGATCTGGGTCCGTACAGATGTTTGCCTCCTGCTGGCCCTGAGCTGCCAGCAAACATTGTGCCATGACTGGATGAGAGGCAAAAGGAGGTGGGGGCATTGACCAGAAGAGGAGTTGAGTTGTGGATGGGATGAGGCTTTTTTTTTTTTTTTTTTTTTTTTTTCAGACGGAGTTTCACTCTTGCTACCCAGGCTGGAGTGCGATGGCACAATCCAGCTCACCGCAACCTCTGCCTCCCGGGTTCAAGCGATTCTCCTGCCTCAGCCTCCCGAGTAGTTGGGATTACAGGCATGCGCCACTACGCCCGGCTAATTTTTGTATTTTTAGTAACGACGGGGTTTCTCCATCTTAGGCTGGTCTCAAACTCCCGACCTCAGGTGATCTGCCTCCCTTGGACTCCCAAAGTGCTGGGATTACAGGCTTGGGCCATGGCACCCAGCCGGAGGCTGAAGTTTAAGATGATCAAGGGAAGGTGCTTGGGGTTGGGTGGGAATGAGAGGAGCTGGCAGAGAAGGCTGGGGCCACAGGGCATTTCAGGAAGTTGGCCTTGCAGGATGAGACTGGGGCCCCATCTAATGCCCTGGGGTAAGTGTCGGGAGGTGCTGAGGCAGGAGAGGGGAAGTGGCAGTCAGGGGTAGGCCCAAGCACTCACCTTGTGACCTCAGGTCCCCCGATTCTCTCAGGTTCGTCTGCGACCCTAGGGGAGGGGAGGGGGACAGAGTGTCTAATCTGGACATAGGGAACCCACCTCCCGCAACCCACTGCCTCTGGGACTCCAAGCAGCCCCTGCCTCAACCCCAGTCCCTCCGGGCTGGTGAGGGCCTGGAGTCAGGATTTGATCTCCTTGTCCATCCCCATAACGGGGCTCATTCTGAAATGGTTAGTGCAGGTCACAGGAAAGATACTGAAGAATGTGGAAGATGAAAGGGAGGGGAGTGGGCAGAGACACACCCTTACATAGATAAGTGGCCACAGAGAGAAAGAGAGAGACACACGCACGTGTGCACACACACACACTCCCTCGCTCACATATACATTCATGCTTTGCTCAAACAACACCTCCTTCGTGAGGCCTGCCCTTTTTTCTTTTTTTGAGACAGAGTCTCACTCTGTCATGCAGGAGTGGCGTGATCTCAGCTCGCTGCAGCCTCAACCTCCCAGGCTCAAGCAATCTTCCTGCCTTGGCCCCTGAAGTAGCTGGGACTACAGGCGCGTGCCACATCTGCTTTTTGTTTTTTGTTTTGTTTTGTAGAGATGGGGCTTTGCCACATTGCCCAGGCTGGTCTCAAACTCCTGGACTCAAGTCATCTGTCCAAAGTGCTGGGATTGCTGGCCTGAGCCACCTCATCCAGAGGCCTGCCCATTTAATGCTGCACCCCATCCCTTCCCCACACCCCTTATTCCCCTCCCTGTTCAATTTTTTTTTTTTTTTTTTTTTTTTTTAGAGACAGGTTCTCCCTCTGTTGCCAAGACTGATGATCATAGCTCACAGCAGCCTTGACCTCCTGCGTTCAAGTGATCCTCCTGCCTCGGCCTCCCAATTCCATGGGAATACAGGTGCAGTCACCACGCCCGGCCAATTTATTTACTTTTTTGTAGAGATAGGATCTTGCTACGTTGTCCAGGCTGGTCTTGAACTTCTGGGCTCAAGTGATCCCCTCGCCTCAGCCTCCCAAAGTGCTGTGATTACAAGCATAAGCCACCAAATTTGGCTCCTACTCTATTTTTCTTCTTAGTTACTTCGCACTACCTAGCAGTCTATATAGTAAGTATATTTTACTTATTTCTTTGTTTTTTGTCTAGATCCCTTAGTAGAATGTTGGGTCTGCCAGGGCAGGAGTTTTGTACATTTTGCTCACCCTCTACTACAGGGCCTAGGACAGTGCCAGGCACACAGTAGGGGCTCAATGAATAATAGCAATTAATAACTAATACACATGTAAAGCACTTTCCAAGGCAATGTTCTACGCTCAGTCCATACGTCACTTCATTTAGTCCTCACAATAACCCTAGGAGACAGGTATTGTTATTACTATACCCATTTTACAGAAGAGGAAAACCAGGCCCAGAGACCTTGAGTGACTTGCTCAAGGTCACTTGGCAGAGCTGCCATTTGAACCCCCGAGTCTGGCTCCATAGGCTGTGCTTCTGTGAGTAAATGAACAACCAGACCCCACGCACAGACCCTCACATCCACAGAGCCCCCTCCCAATGCCCGCACACACAGGTCAGACATGCAGGCAGGGAGGCAGAGCCAGCGAGAACAGGGCATGGACGGGACTTACTGATCTTGGATCCCTGGGGCAGAGAGGCGCCCGAAACACAGCGGTTAGAGTTCTGCCGTTTAGAGGGATCGAGGGTAACCCTGCAGTGTGAGGAGGGAGGTGAGGGGTGACAGGGGAGGAGGAAAGGAGGAGGAGGAGGAGGAAACGAGGAGGAGGAGGAGGAGGAAGAGGAAATGTTGGGGTACAGGAGACAGAGCAGAGTGGAAGACAGGTTAGGTCCCATCGGCCCCCCGCCCCGCCCTGCCCCTGCCATCCCCGCGGAGCTCACCTTCGGGTCAGTTTGGAGGTCAGCTTGGTGAAGAGGTTGGTGGTGGGGCGGGGCCGCCCGGCGGGCAGGGGTGCAGCCTCATGGGCCAGTGTGGGAGAGGCAGGGGGCCCATTCTGCACACCCCCACCACCCCCACCCCCTGCCCGCCGGTCCCGGACCTGGCCACCATGGAAGGTGCTGCGGATGGTGGAACCACGTGCCAGGCGGCTCCGCTCCCCTGATGGGGGTGCCAGGCTGTGACTGGAGGGGGAGGCAGGGGGCACCCGTGGGGTGCCTGAGCTGTGGGCAGAGACAGACAAGTCAGGGTGGGGGACTGAGGCAGGCCAGGGCCCCAGTCCCTTTGATTCTTCACATTCCTGTCCTGAGACCAGGGACTGCAACCAGCCTGGAACTCAGAGACAGGGCTGCAACGTACAGTTGTGCAGGCTGTGCACTATACAATCCTAGCATTATTTTACTGACTCTCTCCTCTCCTATTACCCCTCCTTCAAACTGTCCCTTCTTCAAACTCTACCCGCTCCAAATCATCTCCTATCACAACTCTCCTCTCTCTAAACGCAGCAACTGAATAGATGCACAGACATTTTTGGGTGACTTCCTTGCTATTTGCCGAAACCTCAGGAACCAAATCAACTTGGCAAACACTTTGCTATCTGAACTCTCACCATCTAAAATCAGGAAAGGGATAGATGTAAAGGTCAAGGATACCTGTATTCACTATGGTAATCTGGGCAGTGGGGGTTCCACTGTCCCAGGACCCTCCTCCAGCCCCTCGGACCCTCCTAGTCGACAGCAGGGGCCAGACCTCCATCTCCTGAGTTCAATTCTCCTGCCTCACCCTCCTGAGTAGCTGGGATTACAAGCGTGTGCCACCATGCCTGGCTAATTTTTTTTTTTTTTTTTTTTGAGACAGAGTCTCACTCTGTCACCTAGGCTGAAGGGCCATGGGGCAATCTTGGCTACTGCAACCTCTGCCTCCTGGGTTCAAGTGATTCTCCTGCCTCAGCCTCCTGAGTAGCTGGGACTATAGGCATGCAGCACCACGCCTGGGTAGTTTATGTATTTTCAGGAGAGATGGGGTTTCACCATGTTGGCCAGGCTGGTCTCAAACTCCTCACCTCAGGTGATCCACTGGCCTTGGCCTCCCAAAGTGCTGGGATTCCAGGTGTGAGCCACTGCGCCCAGCCCAGACCTCCAATTTCTATCCTCCCAGGGACTCCAGGCCCAGCCTGGATCTCAGAGAAGAATCCTGATTGTGGCAGAGGCTGTTACTTCTCCCTTAGAATCCATCCTCCCTGTTTCGTTCTTGGTAACCAAACCCCTAAGAGTATGAGCACTGCACATGGCCACCCAGCCAGAGACTACATTTCCCAGACTCTCTTGCAGCTAGAGATGGTTATGTGACCATGCTCCGGCCAATGGGATATAAGCAGAAGTGCTCTGTACCATCTCTGGGTGACGCCTTTACAAAGAGTTGTTGCTTGTCCCCTACTCTTTCCCCACTTCTTCCTGATTGGGAAATGATGGCTGCTGGTGCAGCGGCCTCAGTCCCAGAGCTGGAAACTCATTTTGGGGCTGGAAGAACTTACCTGGGTCCTTGGAGGACCCTCCGGACTAAACGTCCTTTTTATTTAAATTACTCTACCCTGGGATCTCTTTGTTTTTATTACAGCAGCTAGCTGAGTCTATACTTTTTATTTTTTGTTGTTTTTAAATTTTTTTTTAATTTTTGATTTTTTTTGTCTGAGTCTGTAATTTAACTGTTCCACTATCTCTTGAGCAGAACTGGAAGGCCATGTACTACAGTGATTACAAATAAGATTCTGGAGTCAAGTCTGGAATCTGCTTCTTGACTTACCAGCTGTGTGGCCTTGGATAAGTTACTTAACCTCTCTGTGCCTTATGTCCTCAGCTGTAAAATGGAGATATTAGGATCTACCTCACAGAGTTGTTAGGGGCACTGAGCCAGGCAATAGACATAGAAGCCTGGCATGTAGCTGCTGCTTCATGAATGTTCACTATTGTTATTTGATAACCACCAAAAAAAAGCACTCTCAAGTCACTGAATGAAGGCCTCCTAAGCATCAGACCCAGTGCCAGGTACAGGACACACCTGATCTCTACTGCATCTCTATAATGGGGCCTGGAAGTGGACAGCATCAGCCCTTTTTTTTATGAGACGGATTCTTGCTGTGTGGCTCAGGCTGGAGTACAGTGGCGCAATCCCAGCTCACTGCAACCTCTGCCTCCCAGGTTCAAGCGATTCTCCTGCCTCATTCAGCCTTCTGAGTAGCTGGGATTACATGCACATGACATCGTTCCTGGCTAATTTTTGTATTTTTAGTAGAGACAGGGTTTCATCATGTTGGCCAGGCTGGTCTCGAACTCCTGACCTCAGGTGATCTGCCCACCTCGGCCTCACAAAGTGCTGGGATTACAGGTGTGAGCCACCATGCCCGGCCAGCATCAAGCCCATTTTACCGAGGAGGAAACAGAGGCACAGGGATTTACCCGGTCATTCTGCTAGCAGTGTGAGCACAGAGGTAAGATTCGAACTCAGAACTGAGTATTCACAGAATCGTGACTTTTTTTTTTTGAGATGGAGTCTCGCTCTGTTGCCCAGGCTGGAGTGCAGTGGCGTGATCTCGGCTCACTGCAAACTCCGCCTTCCAGGTTCACGCCATTGTCCTGCCTCTGCCTCCAGAGTAGCTGGGACTACAGGTGCCCACCACTGCACCCAGCTAATTTTTTTTTTTTTTTGGTATTTTTAGTAGAGACGGGGTGTCACCATGTTAGCCAGGATGGTCTCGATCTCCTGACTTCTTGATCCACCTGCCTCAGCCTCCCAAAGTGCTGGTATTACAGGCATGAGCCACTGTGCCTGGACAGATTTGTGACTGTTAACTACCCCATTCCTCTGCCCACACCCAGTGGGAACACCTGCACCCACTAATCAGGTGCATCCCAGAGTGTGCCCTGGTGTTGGCCATCAACCTGCCCTACAGCCCTGGTGGGGGGCAGTGTCCTCATCCTGGAGCTGGCCCCATTCTAGCTGGCCTTGACCTGTGATGTGAACCAATCCCTTCCCTCTCTCTGCTCCAGCCAGTCTGAACTGGTTTCCCTCCCTTGCCAGCTGGAAGAGACCTCACAGACTCAGGCCAACAAGCCGGAAAACCAGCCAACCAGATGACGCTGAAGCTGTGACATTCTGGGGCTTCTCTCGAGTTCTAAAAATGGATCATTCAAAAAATCAATTCAGGTTCCCAAGGCTTGTAGGCGGAGAACAGGGCCAACTGCTTTCCTGGTGCTTAAGACTAATTAATTAAGTGGGGAGGATTTTCAGGGGGGTACATGGGTCGATTCTGCCAAGGGCAGGGCAGATACACTCACTCTCTGGTCCCCATGGCACCAGCCTCCAATGCCTATCATCTCAGATCAAGGGAGGTCCTGTTCACCTACCCCCTACTTCCCACCCCTCACCCTGTTGCTGCCCCCTCCGTACCTGTTTTCTTTCCCATTTGGCAACAGTGACGGGCGCTCAGCCCCCGGGCGTTCTGTGCAAACGTAGGTGTTTCTGCGGGTCATCATGCTAGGAGGGAGGTTGTTCTGCAGGAGACACAGCCAGGAAGGGAGTGAGGGGGTGAAGACATGCCCCTGAGCTTCTCCCTCTTCCCTTCTCTGCCCTCCCCATCGATGAATAAGTCAGGGGCTCATGTGGGAACCCAGGGTGAGTAGGAGATGGTGAAAGGTCCCAAAGATGTGAAAGGTTCATGAGTAATCCCAGCCACCGAGGCTGAGTCAGGGGAGACCCCTGGAGACCGGAGAAGAGGGGGGCACTGAGGGAAAACGAGGCAGGGAAGGTTTCCAGGGGGCATCCTTGTCCACCGCTCTTCTCCCAGCAATGCCCACCTTCTTGAGGTCCAGCCCAGCCACACCAAACGTTTGCTAATGTACTTATTCATGCCACATTCTGTCACTGTGACTAGCCTGTGCACTGGCTGTCTCACCTGTTAGAACATTACTCCTACCTTTTCCCCTGACTCACTCCTACATATCTTTCAGGTGTCAGTTCATAATCTACCACCACCCCCGGCCCCAGGCTGAGTCACGTGCCTCCTCCTTTGGGTTCCCACAGGCCCCTGGGCTCCCCACTGCAGCTTCAATCACTGTGCTGTCAATGTCTGTTCTCATATATGTCCCCATCCCATACTGGGCTGTGAGCTCTGGGAACACAGGGAATATCAGGATTATGCTGCCTCATAAACATGTTAGGAAGAGAGCCCTCTTTTTCTATTCTCTGGAAGTTTGTCTAAGGTTAGTGTTATTTCTTCTTTAAGTGTTTGGAAGAATTCCACTGGTGGGAGTCATCCAAGCCAAAAATTTTCTTTATAGGGAAGGTTTTCAGTTACGAATTCAATTTCTTTAACAAGAATATAAGACTGTTCAGGTTTTCTATTTCTTCTTGTGTCAGTTTTGATACAGTGTGTTTTTAAAGTAATGTGTCCATTTCATCTAAGCTGTTAAATTTATTGGCACAAAGTAGTTCCTAATATCATCTTACTATCTTTTAATGTTAGAACAAAGTTCCCCTTTTCATTGTGGATACTGGTGATTCATGTTTGCTGTCTTTTTTCCTTAATTGATTTTTACCAGGGGTCCATTGGATTTTATTTATTTATTTATTTTTTTGGACAGAGTTTCACTCATTTTGCCCAGGCTGGAGTGCAATGGCATGATCTCAGCTCACTGCAACCTCCACCTCCCAGATTCAAGTGAACCTGCCTTAGTCTCCCGAGTAGCTGGGATTACAGGTGTGGACCACCACATCCAGCTAATTTTTTGTATTTTTGGTAGAGATGGGGTTTCACCATGCTGGCCAGGCTGGTCTCAAACTCCTGACCTCAAGTGATCCACCCGCCTCAGCCTCCCAAAGTGCTGGGATTACAGGCATGAGCCACCACGCCCAGACTGATTTTATTAATCTTTTCAAAAAACCAACTTTAGGTTTTGTTGCTTTATTGTACCTCTTCTTTCTCCTTCACTGATTTATTCTCTTTAATGCCTCCTCCCTTCTACTTTTTTTGAGATGGGGTCTTGTTCTGATGCCTAGGCTGGAGTGCAGTGGGGTGATCATGGCTCACTGCAGCCTCGACCTCCTGGCCTCAAGTGGATCCTTTCACCTCAGCCTCCCAAGTAGCTAGAACCTCAGGCATGTGCCACAACACTTAGCTAATTTTTATTTTTGGCAGAGACAGGGTCTATGTTGTCCAGGCTGGTCTTGAACTCCTGGGCTCAAGCAATCCTCCTGCCTCAGCCTCCCGAACTGCTGGGATTACAGGCATGAGCCACCAATTCCGGTCCCTTCTACTTTCTTTGAGGTTTATTTGCTTTTCCTTTTTTACCTTCTTAAGGTGTGGGTTTCGTTTAGCAATAACAATAGCTCTCATTCACTGAGTGCTTACTGTGCCAGTATGTGAAGTACTTCACGTATGAGATCTTACAAGATCCTCACAATGACCCAGGTTCTTTAATGAGCCCATTTCACATAGTGAGATATCAAAGATCAGAGAGGTGAAGTTACTTGCCCAAGGTCACACGGCTCATTAATGTAATTCAAACTCTACGTGGCTTCAGAGTCCCGGCCACTTTCTCAAACTGCCTCCACCCTTTTTCTCTTTTTTAAGAGATAGGATCTCACCATGTTGCCCAGGCTGGTCTCGAACTCCTGGCCTCAAGCAATCCTCCCACCTCAGCCTCCCAAGTAGCTGGGACTACATGTGTGTGCCACCATGTCCAGCTCTGCCTCCACTCTCCTGTTCCTATGTTGAGGATATTTTCGTACTTTGCTGTTCTTGGGAACTCAGATGCAAAAAAGCCAAGTCCTACATTTCCCAGAATCCTTTGCAGCTCAGGTTCTGCATATAAGTTGGGTTCTGCCAATCTTTGCATTCATGAAGATTTGGAAGGTGGAAATGGGGCAGCAGCTGCTCTCCTGCCTGCTTTGACTTCAGCTCACACAGGCAAGGCTATGAGATGAAGGTCTTTGCTTCAGCAGGGCCCCAGTGCCTATTGTCCAGCCCTCTGGGCATCAAGAAGCTCTTCTGATGGAGGATGAAGTTTTTGAGTCTTGGGTTACAGCCATGACAATGTGGTTTTTTGTTTTGTTTTGTTTTGAGACAGAGTCCCACCCTGTCACCCAGGCTGGAGTGCAGTAGGGCAATCTCAGCTCACTGCAACCTCCGCCTCCTAGGTTCATGCCATTCTCCTGCCTCAGCCTCCCGAGTAGCTGGGACTACAGGTGCCCGCCACCAAGCCCGGCTAATTTTTTGTATTTTTAGTAGAGATGGGGTTTCACCGTGTTAGCCAGGATGGTCTCGATCTCCTGACCTCGTGATCCGCCCGCCTCAGCCTCCCAAAGTGCTGGGATTACAGGCGTAAGCCACCGCGCCTGGCCCTAATTTTTGTATTTTTTGTACAGATGGGATTTTGCCATGTTGGCCAGGTTGGTCTTGAACTCCTGACCTCAAGTGATTCACCGCCTCGGCCTCCCAAACTGTTGGGCTTACAGGCATGAGCCACCATGCCTGGCCTAACAATGCACTCTTGAATTCACCAGTGCTGGGGCAGCCTCAGAAGGAGCAGCTCCCTTGGTGGGTCAGTTCTGTGGTGTGGTTGTGACTGTTGTTCCTACAAATCCCACCCATTGTCCGCTCCTCCAGTCCTTCCTACAATTTTGTTTTCTTTTTTCTTTAACCACCTCATCCTCTCCTTCTTTGGCCCTGCCGCTCCCATCCATTCTCTGGGTTGTGGATCATTCTCTGACACACGGGCCTCAGAGGCTGCATTGTGAAGCTCCAGGTCTCGGGGCTGGGGAAGAGCCAAGGGGCATGAATTTGTACTTATCCGGAATACTCAGGACACACAGGCATCCCGGCCTCCCTCCTGTGCCACCTGCCTGAAGTTGAGCTGATGCCTTCAAGATCTGTTTCCCCAAGGCCCTTCTGCTGTTAGGTAGCCAGTGAGCTGTCCTCAGGTGCACCCTCTCCTGGCCCATCCCCACGGGGTTCCCTCACAACATTCCACTCCCCTCCCTGTACTGACCCCGGGCTCTGCACAGCCCTGGAGTCCAGGGCCCTGAACCTGGACTAGCAGTCCTCACAGGTGGTGGCAGGGTCACAGCTAGCCAAACCAAACACAGCCGGTCATTGCCAGTTGCTGCTGGCTACTGCTGGTCATGGCCAGACACTGCTGGTCAAAGCCTGTCACAGCCAGTTAAGGCTGGTCATGGCCAGTCACCAACAGTCAGGGACAGTTAAAGCTGGTCATAAGTGGTAATAGCCAGACACCACTGGTCACAGCCAGATACCGTTGGCCAAGGGTTGTCACGGCCAGTCAAGGCTGGTCAAAGCCGGTCACAGTCAGTTGCTGCTGGTTAATACTGGTCATGGCTGGACACTGCCAGTAAAGGCTGGTTAATGCTGGCCACAGCTGGCTGCCACTGGTAACAGGTGGACACTTGTGGTCAAAGCTTCAGTGGGGCCCTGTCAGGCACTGCCAGTGAAGGCCAGTCACAATCAGTCAAAGCCGGTCAAGGCTGGTGAATGCTGGTAACAGCCAGACACCACCAGCCACCACGGCTGGGTGCCTCCTGATGGTCAGGACCTCTGGAGAAACACCCCTACCTCGCAAACAGCCATGCAGTGAGACCTTGGTTTGCCTTGGGTGTTTAGAACCAAAATAAACTGGAAGTACCCAGGGGCACCAAGAGCACTAAGAAGAAGTTAAAAAGATGAATGTTCTCAAGAACGTACGAGAAAAATTAGTATTTAAAAACTTTTTTGTTTGTTTCTTTGAGACAAGGTCTCCCTCTGGAGACTCCCAGGCTGGAGTGCAGTGGCACGATCTTGGCTCACTGCAACCTCCGCCTCCTGGACTCAAGTGATCCTCCTCCCTCAGCCTCCCAAGTAGCTGGGACTACCAGCACGTGCCACCACCACACCGGACTAATTTTTCTATTTTTTGTAGGGAAGGGGTCTCACCATTTTGCACAGGTTGGTCTCGAACTCCTGAGCTCAAGCAATCCACCCACCTCAGCCTTGCAAAGTGCTGGAATTACAGGCGTGAGCCACCATGTCTGACTAAAAACTTAATTTTTATGACTTTTTGTTTTGTTTTGTTTTGTTTTGAGACAGAGTCTTGCTCTGTCGCCCAGGCTGGAGTGCAGTGGCGTGATCTCGGCTCACTGCAACTTCTGCCTCCTGGGTTCAAGCAATTCTCCTGCCTCAGCCTCCTGAGTAGCTGGGATTACAGGCGTGCACCACCACGCCTGGCTAAGTTTTGTATTTTTAGTAGAAATGGGGTTTCACCATGGTGGCCAGGCTGGTCTCGAACTCCCGACCTCATGATCCGCCCACCTTGGGCCTCCCAAAGTGCTGAGATTATAGGCATGAGCCACCGTGCCCAGCCAACTTATTTGTTAAAGAGCAAAATCTTATGGTAAAGGATAACTATAAGTATTTTGTGTCTGTGTGGGTGGTGACCCATGCTTTTTTTTTTTTTTTTTTTTTTTGAAACAGAGTCTTGCTCTGTCACCAGGCTGGAGTGCAGTGGCACGATCTCGGCTCACTGCAACCTCTGCCTCCTGGGTTCAAGCAATTCTCCTGCCTCAGCCTCCTGAGTAGCTGGGACTACAGGCATGCGCCACCACAGCCAGCTAATTTTTGTATTTTTAGTATAGATGGGGTTTCACCATGTTGGCCAGGTGGTCTCGATCTCTTGACCTCATGATCCACCCTCCTCGGACTCCCAAAGTGCTGGGATTATAGGCGTGAGCCACCGCGCCTGGCAGGTGACCCATACTTTTAAAAGTTTAGGCCCACAATTGGCTCAGACTCACACCTGTGTGCACCCTGGTCAAGGCTGGGACTTGACTGGTAGTAACCTGCCGTGACCAGCCTCGAAAGGCCAAGGGCACAGCCACGTGGGGCGGCTACTGAACATGTGCAGAGCAGAAGAGCAGGGAGTGGGACCGAATGTAGATGCCGGAAGAGCTGAGGAGCTGGGGAAGCTGCTGCTGCTTCCCACGACTTTTTTTTTTTTTTTTTTGAGACAGAGTCTTGCTCTGTCACCCAGACTGGAGTGCAGTGGTATGATCTTGGCTCACTGCAACTTCTGCCTCCCGGGTTCAAGCGATTCTCCTGCCTCACCCTCCAGAGTAGCTGGGACTACAGGTGCATGCCACCATGCCCAGCTAATTTTTTGTATTTTTAGTAGAATTGAGGTTTCACTGTGTTAGCCACGACGGTCTCGATCTCCTGACCTCATGATCTGCCCGCCTTGGCCTCCCAAAGTGCTGGGATTACAGGCATGAGCCATTGCACCTGGCTTTTTTTTTTTTTTTTTGAAATGGAGTCTCACTCTGTCACCTATCCTGGAGTGCAGTAGCGCAATCTTAGCTCACTGTAGCTTCCGCCTCCTGGGTTCAAGCGATTCTCCTGCCTCAGCCTCCCAAGTAGTTGGGATTATAGGTGCCCGCCACCACGCCCAGCTGATTTTTATATTTTTAGTAGAGACGGGGTTTCACCATATTGGCCAGGCAGGTCTCAAATTCCTGACCTCAAGTGATCCGCCCACCTCTGCCTCCCAAAGTGCTGGGATTACAAGCGTAAGCCACTGTGCCTGGCCTGATTTTTTAAATTACTATTAATATTTTATTTATTGATTTATTGAGACAGGGTTTTGCTCTGTCACCCAGAATGGAGTGCAGTGGCGGGAACACAGCTCCCTGTAGCCTCAACCTCCTGGGCTCAAGTGATTCTCCCACCTCGGTCTTTCGAGTAGCTGGGACCACAGGTACATAACATGATGCCTGGCTAATTTTTTTGATTTTTAGTTGAGATGGCGTCTGCTATGCTTCTTGAACTCCTGGCCTCAAGTGATCCTCCCGCCTCGGCCTCCCAAAATGCCAGGATTACAAGCATGAGCCACTGTGCCTGGCCTTTCCCACATTTTTAAAAGCACTTAATTTCCTGTATTAAATCCTTTCTGCCAAGAGTACGTTCTGCACTTCTTTGACACAGAACACTAATTTATACGCTAACATCAAATGTTAGTGTATAAACTGAGCTCAGGCAAACAGAGGCACTCGATAAATGTTTGTTGAATGAATGAATGGGTAGAAGAAGGAGTTGGTAAGAAGGAGTTCCGTCTGGGGAATGAGATGAAGGCAGGGCCTGAGGAATGTGGCCCAGGTGGCGCCCCCAGCCCTGCCCCCCAGCCCTGGTCACTCACGGGGGTGCTCGTGCTGTCCTTCCGCCGCTCTGGGATCTCTGCCTTGTTGGGGTTGTGGGCGCTGCTGACCATGGGGCTGGAGGGGGGCAGCCCTCGACTCCCACTCCCCGCGGTGCTGCAGCTCGCCTTCCGGCCTGGCAGCCGCTCCTCCTTCAGCTCCGCCTCCCCCGTGCTCGTCGGGCTGCGTTTGGGGTGCAGGGGTGCAGGGGATGGGCCACCTGGGGGAGGGGGTACCGTTTAGAGCTGGCATCACCACGGAAACCCAGAACTGACTCTGGGGGATCGTTGGAACCTGAGAATTCCTCACGTGGGTTGCAATCTCTGTGTGGGCCATTCTGACAATATCTGTCAAAATTACCTCAAGATTACCAACGCACATATACTGACTTAGAAACTCCAAATCAATGACATCATGCACATACAGGCCATTCATTGCACCTTCTTTTTTTTTTTTTTTTTTTTGAGACAAAGTCTGGTTCTGTTGCCAGGCTGGAGTGCAGTGGTGCGATCTCCGCTCACTGCAACCTCCACCTCCTGGGTTCAAGCAATTCTCCTGCCTCAGCCTCCCAAGTAGCTGGAATTACAGGTGTGTGCCACCCCACCTGGCCTGTACCATTAGACTGGGAACAGCCTAAATGCCCCTTAGTAGAGGAATGACTAGATAAGTCAAGGTATTTCCACAGTGGAAAATTATGCAGCTATAAAAAAGAATAAGGAAGCACTTTATGCACCAGTACAGAATGATCTTCATGACGGACTGGAAAGTAGAAAAGGCAAGACAAGAGATGGGTCAACAATGTGTTATCATTTGTCTACAAAAGCAAAAAAGTGTGTATCTATATCTACTTGCTTATATATGAATATCTCCAAAGGACTATAACTTGTTTCAAAAGGGGAGAATTTATTGTTTTTATATATCTTAAGTTTCCTTCTTTTTTTTAATTTTTTTATTGAGACAGGATCTCACTCTGTTGCCCAAGCTGAAGTACAGTGGTGTGACCTCAGCTTGCTGCAACCTTGGCCTCCTAGGCTCAAGCCATCCTCCCACTTCAGCCTCCCAAGTAGCTGGGACTACAGGCACACACTACCATGCCCACCTAATTTTTGTATTTTTTTTTGTAGAGACAGGATTTCGCCATGTTGTCTAGGCTGGTCTCAAACTCCTGGACTCCAGCGATCCTCCCACCTTGGCCTCCCAAAGTGCTGGGATTACAGGCGTGAGCCACCGCACCCGGTCCCATATTTATCTCTTTACATGTTTGTTTATGAATAAAATCTCTCCAAAGGAATTCATATTAAAACCCATAACAGGGCCAGGCGCGGTGGCTCACGCCTGTAATCCCAGCACTTTGGGAGGCTAAGGCGGGTGGATCACAAGGTCAGGAGATTGAGACCAGCCTGGCTAACATGGCAAAACCCTGTCTCTACTAAAAATACAAAAATTAGCTGGGCATGGTGGCATGCACCTGTAATCCCAGCTACTTGGAAGGCTGAGGCAGGAGAATCGCTTGAACCTGGGAGGCAGAGGTTGCAGTGAGCAGAGATCACACCATTGCACTCCAGTCTGGCAACAGTGCGAGACTCCGTCAAAAAACAAAACAAAAACAACAACAAAAAACCGTAACAGTTGCTGCATTTGAGAAACTGGGAGCTGGGGATATGTGTTGGATGAAGACTTTTTCACTGTCTATCCTTTCCAAACTAACACATTTTCAAGGATGTTATTGTATGAACAATTTCAAAAGCAACACAAAATAATTCTGGTCTCTAGGAACATCTTAGGAATCTACTGTTTTAGAACCCGGGGGTGAAAAGTGATCTCAAACTTGAGAGGGTCAGAAGGTCTGCTTGTTACATCCTCAGGAGCGATACATGCTCAGAAGTCCCAGAACCACAAGCTGAGAGCTCTACAATGACAATGACAGATACCTGGCACCTGCCAGCAATCCCTCTCTGAGAATCCCTGGAACTCAGGTCTCAGTGTGGGGAGTTCTGAAGGTTACCACGTTCTAACCATATGATACCAAAGTCACAAGCTCCTTAGGAACTTTCTGGGCACGCCCTGTCATTTTACAGGTGGGAAAGACAAGACGCAGGGGCAGGGAATGGTTTGACCTCCAGCAATGGTGGGGGTAGGGCAGAAGCACCACTTCCCGTGTGGGGCTCATGCTGGGTCTCAGATTCCCTGACACCTCTCTCCTCCCTCACTTCAGTGTGGAGGGGAGGTCAGAGCGCAGGCTTTCAGCAGCCACTTTGTGCAATGTGTCCTCCTGTGCCCCCATTACAGCAGATTAATCCCAACTGGACTCGATATCAGAGCTCCATCCTGATCCTGATGAGTGGACCAAGGAGATTCTAGCTAACACTTGGGCTGGATTCTTTTTTTTTTTTTTTTTTTTTTTTGAGACACGGCAGTCTGGCTCTATCGCCCAGGCTGGAGTGCAGTGGCACGATCTGGACTCATTGCAACCTCGGCCTCCCAGGCTCAAACCATCCTCCCACCTCAGCCTCTCAAGTAGCTGGGATTACAGGTGCACACCACCATGCCCAGCTAATTGTTTTGTTTTGTTTTTGAGACAGAGTCTTGCTGTTGCCGCCCAGGCTGAAGTGCAATGGCACAATCTCGGCTCACTGCAACCTCTGCCTCCCGGGTTCCAGCAATTCTCCTGCCTCAGCCTCCCAAGTAGCTGAGATTACAGGTGCTCACCACCACACCCGGCTAATTTTGATATTTTTAGTAGAGACAGGGTTTCACCATGTTGGCCAGGCTGCTCTCAAACTGCTGACCTCAGGTGATCCACCCAGCTCGGCCTCCCAAAGTGCTGGGATTACAAGGCAAGAGCCACTGCGCCCAGCCTAATTTTTGTATTTTTCTGTAGAGATGAGGTTTCATCATGTTGCCCAGGCTGGTGTCGAACTTGAGAGCTCAAGTGATCCACCCAATTCAGCCTCCCAAAGTGCTGGGATTACAGGCGTAAGCCACTGCACTCAGCCCTGGGCTGGATTCTAAAACTGAGATGTAAGAAATCTAGGAGCGGGCCAGGCGCGGTGGCTCATGCCTGTAATCCCAGCACTTTGGGAAGCCAAAGCCAAAGCAGGTGGATCATGAGGTCAGGCGATCAAGACCATCCTGGCTAACACAGTGAAACCCCATCTCTACTAAAAATACAAAAAATTAGCTGGGCGTGGTGGTGGACACCTATAGTCCCAGCTACTCGGGAGGCTGAGGCAGGAGAATGGCATGAACCCGGGAGGTGGAGCTTGCAGTGAGCCAAGATTGCGCCACTGCACTCCAGCTTGGGCAACGGAGCGAGACTTTGCCTCCAAAAAAAAAAAAAAGAAAAGAAATCTAGGAGTGGCTGGGCACAGTGGCTCACGCCTGCAATCCCAGCACTTTGGGAGGCCGAGGCGGGTGGATCACCTCAGGTCAGGAATTCAAGACCAGCCAGGCCAACACGGTGAAACCCTGTCTCTACTAAAAATACAAAATTAGCTGGGCAAGGTGGCTTGTAATTCCAGCTCGGGGGCCTGAGGCAGGAGAATCAGTTGAACCTGGGAGACTGAGGTTTCAGTGAGCCACCATCGCACCACTGTACTCCAGCCTGGGCGACAGAGTGAGACTCTGTCTCAAAAAAAGAAAAAAAAGAAGAAATCTAGGAGCTGAGAGATCTAGAAAAAGATAAGGTGAGATATGTAAGACAGAGAAAAAAAAGATTAGACAAGCAGACAGCCTAGTACCTGTCCCAGAGTAAGAACTTCACCCCTGCAGACAAGCAGGGCTGTAAAACGAACAGAGTTGGAAAACACCCTGAAAGTTCCTCAAACTATTATTAAACACACAGTTACCAGATGACTCAGCAATTCCACTCCCAGATACGTACCCAAGAGAAATGACGGCAAAACACAGCCACACAAAAACACGGATACAAATGTTCACAGCAGCATCATTCACAACAGCCAAAAAGTGGAGGCAATCCACGTGTTCATGAATGGATAAACAAAATGTGGTCTATCTATGCAATGGAATATTACTTGCCAATGAAAAGGAATGAAGTGCTGATACCCATATCATGGATGAACCTTGAAAACTTTCTGCTAAATGAAAGAAGCCAGTCACTGAAGGCCACACATCGTGTAATTCCATTTACCTGAAATGTCTAGAATAGCCAAATTCATCGACATAGAAAGTAGATTAGTAGCTGAGGGTGGAAGGGGGATTGGAAGTTGATTTTTTTTTTTTTTTTTTTTTTTTTTTGAGAGGAAGTCTCACTCTTATCGCCCAGGCTAGAGTGTAGTGGCGCGATCTCAGCTTACTGCAACCTCCGCCTCCCAGGTTCAAGCAATTCTCCTGCCTCAGACTCCTGAGTAGCTGGGATTACAGACGCCTGCCACTACGCCCGGCTAATTTTTGTATTTTATAGTGGAGATGGGGTTTCGCCATGTTGCCCAGTGGTCTCGAACTCCTGCGCTCAGGTGATCTGCCTGCCTCAGTCTCCCAAAGTGCTAGGATTACGGGCATGAGCCACCATGCCCTGCCTGGAAGTTGATTGCTAAAAGTTGTGAATTTTCTTTTTGGGGTAATGAAAATGTTCTGAAATCGGTCATCATGATAGATGTACAACTCTATAAATATATTAAAGCCACTGAATTGTGCACTTTTTAATTTATTTTTTGAGATGAGGTCTCGCTCTGTAACCCAGGCTGGAGTACAGTGGCGCGATCACGGCTCACCACGACCTCGATCTCCTGGGTTCAAGTGGTCTTCCTACCTCAGCCTCCCAAGTAGCTGGGACCACAGGCGTGTACTACCACACCTAATTTTTAATTTTTTAGGGGGCGGGGTGGCGGAGTCTCGCTCTGTGGCCCAGGCTGGAGTGCAGTGGCGTGATCTCGGCTCACTGCAACCTCCACCTCCCAGGTTCAAGCAATTCTCTGCCTCAGCCTCCCGAGTAGCTGGGATTACAGGTGCCCGCCACCATGCCTGGCTTTTTTTGTATTTTTAGTAGAGACAGGGTTTCACCATCTTGGCCAGGCTGGTCTTGAACTCCTGACCTCGTGATCCTCCCACCTCGGCTTCCTAAAGTGCTGGGATTACAGGCGTGAGCCGCTGTGCCTGGCCAATTTTTAATTTTTTTGTAGAGACGGGGTCTTGCTATGTTGCCTAGGCTGGTCTAGAACTCCTGGGCTCAAGCAATCCTCCTGCCCTCAGCCTCCCAAAGTGCTGGGATTACAGGCGTGAGCCACCATGCCCGGCCTGAATTGTGCACTTTAAATGGGTACGTTGTTTGGTATATGAATTTTAACCTTAATAAAGCCGTTAAAAAAAATAGAAGAGAGGGTTAAAATTTGATGAGTGTGTGGGTGAAGGGACCTCTCAGAAGTCTCCATGCCTAATGGGTGCTGATGGTGGTGTGTATCCTTTTTTTTTTTTTTTTAATTTTTTTGAGATGAGGTCTCTCTGTTGCCCAGGCTGGTGTGCAATGGCATGATCTCGGCTCACTGCAACCTCCGCCTCCCAGTTTCAAGCAATTCTCCTGCTTCAGCCTCCCGAGTAGCTGGGATTATAGGCACGCACCAACACGCCCAGCTAATTTTGTGTTTTTAGTAGAGACAGGGTTTCACCATGTTGGCCAGGCCGGTCTCAAACTCCCAACCTCAGGTGATCCACTCACCTCGGCCTCCCAAGGGATTACAGACATGAGCCACCGTGCCTGGCCCAGATTTAAACTCAGACTCTGTATTCATTTTCTGCAGCAGATGAGATGTCTGTCAGTTGCAGAATGTGGGGTATAATCAGCTGTCCGCCCAGCTCTCTTCCAGAGCCTCCTTTACTTCAGTGTGGAGGCAAAGCCAGAGGGCAGACTCTCAGCAGCCACTTTGTACAACGTGTCCTCCTGTGCCCCAGTTACAATGGATTAATTCAAACTTGACTCTGATATCAGAGCTTCATCCTGGACCAGAGATTCCAGCTGCCATTTGGACTGGTCTCTAAGGTAAGAAATTGGGGGCTGGGTGCAGTGGCTCACACCTGTAATCCCAGTACCTTGGGAGGCTGAGGTGGGTGGATCATGAGGTCAGGAGTATAAGAGCAGCCTGGCCAACATGGTGAAACCCTGTCTCTACTAAAAATACAAAAATTAGCCAGGTGTGGTGGCAGGTGCCTGTAATCCCGGCTACTCAGGAGGCTGAGGCACAAGAATCGCTTGAACCCAAGAGGTGGAGGTTGCAGTGAGCCAAGATCACGACACTGCACTCCAGCCTGGGATACAGAGTGAGACTCTGTCTCAAAAAAAAAAAGAAAGAAAAGAAAAGAAAAGGCTGGGCACAGTGGCTCACACCTGTAATGCCAGCACTTTGGGAGGCCGAGGGTGGATCACGAGGTCAGGAGTTCAAGACCAGCTTGGCCAACATGGTGAAACCCCATCTCTACTGAAAATACAAAAATTAGCCGGGGGGTTATGGCAGGCGCCTGTAATCCCAGCTACTCGGGAGCCTAAGGCAGAAGAATCGCTTGAACCTGTGCAGCAGAGGTTGCCATCAGCCAAGATCACACCACTGCACTACAGCCTGAGGCACAGAGTGAGACTCCATCTCAAAAAAAAAAATCGGGGAGCTGGGACATCAGGAAAAAAGATAGGATGAGATAAGTGAGAGACAAAGGAAAAACCACACAAGCAGAGAGGAAGCAAGACAGAGAGTGTCTGCTCTGGGTCTGGCTGCTTTTCCGGTTTTAATCCCTTCCTGAGCCTGGCTGTGCATTCCTGCCTCCAAGTTCCATGCAATGCCCTGTGTCTTTATAAGACATTCCTCCCTCTCTGAGGTTAGCTCCAGTGGGTTTCTGTTGCTTGCCAATCAGAGAACCCTGACGTAACTGTAAGTCTGGGCCTTGGGGAGAAGGAGGGTGCGTGAGGGCGTGGGGTTGATACTCACAGAAATCGCTATGCCTGCGCTGGCGGTGGTAGGTGGAAGAGGAACTCCGCTGCCCTTTGCTGTGGCTGGTGCCTTTGCTGGAACTTGTTCCGTTGGTGGTGTCGCTGGGCGCCCGCACCCGTGCCAGGGCCAGCCCTGGGGCGCCCCGGTCCCCACCCTCCTGCGAGAGGATGACAGATGAGGCTCTTCTGCACCCCAAGTCCCTCCACCCAGGCATCACGCGTCCCCAAGGGCCCCTGGCGCCCCCTGACCTCAGTCTTCCTGCCCAGCAGGAGGTAGGTGGCGGTCACTTCGTTGTACTTCTGGCTGGTCAAGGACTCTTTGATTTCTTCCCGTGTGTAGCCCATACCCACCATCACCTCTGGGAGGGGGGGATGGAGAGAAGTTTCAGACTCCCAGAAACTTTAACTTCCATCCATTTCTCTTTTTTTTTGAGACAGGGTGTCACTCTGTCACCCAGGCTGGAGTGCAGTGGCACGGTCACAGCTCACTGCAGCCTCGGCCTCCCCAGGCTCTGCTGATCCTCCCACCTCAGTTTTTGTATTTTCAGTAGAGACAGGGTTTTGCTATGTTGTCCAGGCTGGTTTGAAACTCCTGGGCACAAGCAATCCACCCACCTGGGCCTCCCAAAGTGCTGGGATTACAGGCATAAGCCACTGCACCTGGCCCACTTCCACTCATTTCTGTGTCATTCACTGGTGTCTGCTCTTTGACCTGTCCAGTACCCATCCTCCCTTCCCAACAGCACATTGATTTCCTTTGAAAGAACATTCTTTCCGCTCAGATCACGTGGATGGCTCCCCTGCTCCAACCCTAAGGCAGGCGGATAACCCAGGTCTGGCTAATTAGTGTGTTCTACACCCAAAGCCACACTGACTGCTTCATTGAAGGCATGTGACCCAGATCTGCTTGCCTCCTGGAGAGCAGCCTGGGAAAAAGCTACCACAGAAAACATTCCCAACAACTGTCTCTGAGCACCTGGATACAACTGTGCCTGAAGGCTGCATACTCTATTCATTTTAGTTATGTGGCAGAATAAATCATCACTATTAGGTTAAACCATACAAAATTGGTGGTACTGACAATTTTAAACCAAAAAAATGGCAATTTCATATGGTTCAACTTTTTGTTGTGTTCAACCTACTAATATAATTAGGTTGATACAAAAGTAATTCCGGTTTTTGCCATTTAATGGTAAAAACCGTAATTATTGTTATTTTAGATGGAATTTTGCTTGTCGCCCAGGGTGGAGTACAGTGGTGCAATCTCAGCTCACTGCAACCTCTGCCTCCTGGATTCAAGCAATTCTCGTGCCTCAGCCTCCAGAGGAGCTGGGATTACGGGTGCCTGCCACCACACTCATCTAATTTTTGTATTCTTAGTAGAGACGAGGTTTCATCATGTTGGCCAGGCTGGTCTCGAACTCCTGACCTCAGGTGATCTGTCAGCCTCAGCCTCCCAAAGTGCTCAGATTATAGGCGTGAGCCACTGTGCCTGACCTTTTTTTCTTTTTTTGAGACACGGTCTCACCCTGTCGCCTGGAGTGCAGTGGCATGATCATAGCTCACTGTAGCCTCAAATTGTTGGGCTCAAGGGATCCTCCTACCTCAGCTTGCTGAGTAGCTGAGACTACAGGTGCACACAACCACAACTGGCTAATTTTTTATTTTTATTTTTTTGTACAGACAGGGTCTCCCTATGTTGGCCAGGCTGGTCTCCAACTCCTGGGCTCAAGTGATTCTTCTACCTCGACCTCCCAAAGTGCTGGGATTACCAGCATGAACCACCTCGCCTGGTCTCTCTTTATGTCTTAATATCAAAGCGAACATGGGCCGGGTACAGTGGCTCACACCTGTGATCCTGGCAATTTGGGAAGCTGAGGCAGGCAGATCACCTGAGGTCAGGAGTTTGAGACCAGCATGGCCAACATGGCAAAACCCTGTCTCTACTAAAAATAACAAAAATTAGCCGGGCATGGCGGCAGGCGCCTGTGGTCCCAGCTACTTGGGAGGCTGAGGCACAAGAATCTCTTGATTCTGGGAGGCGGAGGTTGCAGTGAGCCGAGATTGCACCACTGCACTCCATCCTGGGTGACAGGATGGCTCTCCCTGACCCTCACCAATTCTCTTGGTGTCCCCGAAGTCCTCCTCGGGCTCTGTGTATGGCTTCAACTCCTCACCCTCATAGCCGATGTTGATCCATTTGTCTTTCATGATTTGCTGCAGGCATCAGGAGCAGGGAAGGGGGAAGACAGGTGTCAGAAGGAACCAGAAATCATACAGCTTCTGCCCTGCCCCAAACCTCCGAGGCCTAACACCCAGAATTGCGGGCTTCCTAAGAGATAGCGCCTCCTGGGCCTCTCTCTCCCCCACGTCCCCTGCCGGAGCCTCCTGATGCCACCCTCCCTCCTCCGCATCATCTGGGTCCCTGGCACCCTGTAATCATCCTAGGAGCTCATTAGCTAATTACTGGCAAGGCAGGGAGTGGGTGAGCCTGTCGGGGGGGTGGCGTCAGGACAGGCCTGGGAGCTTTTCCCTGGACGGCCTGTCTACCCCCACTCACCAGCAGCAGATCTTCGGTGGGCACAGGAGAGGAAAAGTGTGTCAAGAAGGCTTTTGTGGGTGGGGGCAGGCAGAGTTTAGGGGAGTCAGGAGACTAGAAGGGCTCCCGCTGGCTGTGAGGCTGGGCTCACCTCGAGAGTACAGCGTTTAGCTGGGTTCAGCACCAAAAATCTCCGCAGGATGCTCTCACAGTCTGTTGACATGTAGAAAGGGACCCGGTACTTCCCTCTGAGTACTCGCTCCCGCAGCTCCTGCAGGGATGGGGTTACTGGAGGAGGGGGTCTGCCCCGCCCCCCACCTATTACACACACACACACACACACACACACACACACACACACACACACACAACCTTTGTCCCAACCCCTTTGATAGAAGTGACAGAAGCTCTGAGTCCCAGTCCTTGACGAGGTAAGCAAAACCCCATTCCTTTCTCCTGACCTCAGTTCCCTGTCCATAAAATGGGAACATCATATGGACGCTGCAATTTAAAAAAAAAAATTCTTGGCCAGGCGTAGAGGCCAAGACCGGAGGATCGCTTGAGCCCAGGAGTTCAAGAACAGCCTGGGCAACACAGGGAGACCTCATCTCTACAAAAAATAAAAAATGACCTGAGCATGGTGGTGCACACCTGTAATCCAAACACGTTGGGAGGCCGAGGGAGGAGGATAGCTTGAACCCAGGAGTTCAAGACCAGCCTGAACAACCAGCCTGTCTCTACAAAAAAAAAAAAAAAAAAATTTAAGCTACATAACTTTTCATTCAGAGGAAAACTTGCAGAGAAAGTTTATTATCTGGCCAGGCACGGTGGCTCACACCTGTAATCCCAGCACTTTGGGAGGCCGAGACAGGCAGATCGCCTGAGGTCAGGAGTTCGAGACCAGCCTGGCTAACATGGTGAAACCCCATCTCCACTAAAAATACAAAAATTAGCTGGGTGTGGTGGTGGCTGCCTGTAGTCCTAGCTACTTGGGAGGCTGAGGCACGAGAATCACTTAAACTCTTAGGAGGTGGAGGTTGCAGTGAGTTGAGATCACGCCACTGCACTCCAGCCTGGGTGACAGGGCGAGATTCTGTCTCAGAAAAAAAAGGAAGTTTATTCTCTAAGTCAGGTAAGAGGGAGGTAGGTAAGTGAGTCAGCCACTGGGGCCTCGGTCTCCTTATCCGTGAAAGGGATTACAGGACCCACTTCACATGCTTGCTACCAGGGTACAGGTGAGTTAATATCCGTAAAAATGTGGCTGGGCGCGGTGGCTCACGCCTGTAATTCCAGCACTTTGGGAGGGTGAGGCAGGCAGATCGCCTGAGGTCAGGAGATCGAAACCAGCCAGGCCAACATGGCGAAACCCCATCTCTACTAAAAAAAAAAAAAATACAAAAATTAGCTGGGTGTGGTAGCAGACCCCTGTAATCCCAGCTACGCGGGAGGCTGAGGCAGGAGAATCACTTGAACCCAGGAGGCGGAGGTTGCAGTGAGCCGAGACTGCGCCACTGCACTCCAGCCTGGGCGGCAGAGCAAGACTCCATCTCAAAAAAAAAAAAAAAAAAAAATCTGTAAAATGCTTACCACATGCCTGGCCCAGAGCCAGAGAGCGGTATGTAAATATGAGATTCACTCAAGGGGAAGGAGACCCTACTGCCTCTCCTGCCTTCTCGTCTCTCCCCTCCCCCAGCCATGCCTGCTGTCCAAAGAGACACACTCCTCAAGGCCATTCATGGATTTATCTGCTGGCTTTCTCTTTAAGGGCCTTTTATGAGAGGCCCTACCAAAGCTGTGAAAAATAAGATAAATCCATAGCTTGGCAGACCAGGGGGAGCTCTTTCCATCTGAATAAAAAACCGCAATAGGCCAGGCGTGGTGGCTTATGTCTATAATCCCAGCACTTCGGGAGGCCAAGGTGGGAAGACCGCTTGAGCCCGTGAGTTTGAGACCAGCCTGGGCAACACAGCGAGACTCTGTCTCTACAAAAAATACAAAAATTAGCCAGGTGTGGTGGCACATGCCTGTGGTCCCAGCTACTCAGGAGGCTGAAGCAGGAGGATTGCTTGAGCCCGGGAGGTTGAGGCTGCAGTGAGCTGTGACTGCACCACTGCCCTCCAGCCTGGGTGACTGAGACCTTGTCTCAAAAAACAAACAGACAACAAAAAAAACGAAGGGAGGCAGAAAACAGGTAGGAATGAATTGAGCGTTGGGGGTGAACAGGACTCCTTTAGGACAGAGTCCTCTGCTGCAGCATTCTCCTAAAAGGGCTGAAAGATGCCCATGCCTGGGGAGCCTCTGCAGATCATAAAGGGCTATTAATATTTAATTTGGATCACTTTCAGGACACTTACCCCTTAGCAGGCAGTGTTCTAAGTGCTTTATGCATATTACATCCATTTTCACAACGCCGCGAAGCCCGGTTATAACGCCCACTTTCCAGACGAGGAGGTTGAGGCCTGGAGGGGTTTGGTCACTTGCCCCAGGATTGCACAGCCAGAAAGTGGCAGAGCCTTGGCTCTGGAGCCTGTGCTGTGTGACCACCATGCCACACTGCCTATCACGTGATGGGGGAGAAGAAACCATCAGGCCACCACTGCCACCTCCAGCGCAGCTCCCAAGCATGATGCTGTGGCCAGATGCCAAGCTCCAGTGAAGGGCTTAACATATGCAGACGGGCTGCAAGCAGATGCTTTTTTTTTTTTTAAAGAGACAGGCTCTTGTTCTGTCACCGAAGCTGGAGTGCAGTGGCGTGATCATAGTTCGCTGTAGCCTGGAACTCCTGGGCTCAAGCAATTCTCCCACCTCAGCATCCCAAGTAGCTGGGACTACAGGCATGCACCACAATGCCAGGCTAATTTAAAAAATATTTTTTGTAGAGATGTGGTCTTGAAATGTTGCCCAGGCTGGTGTCAAACTCTTTTTATTTTTTTGAGATGGAGTCTTGCTCTGTCGTCCAGGCTGGAGTGCAGGGGCGCAATCTCGGCTCACTGGAGCCTCTGCCTCCCAGGTTCAAGTGATTCTCCTGGATCAGTCTCCCAAGTAGCTGGGACTACAGGCACGTGCCGCCACGCCTGGCTACTTTTTGTATTTTTAGTAGAGACGGGGTTTCACCATGTTGGCCAGGCTGGTCTCAAACTCTTGACCTCCAGTGATCTGCCCGCCTCGGCCACCCAAGGTGCTGGGATTACAGGCATGAGCCACGACACCTGTCCTGAATACTCTTAGTGTCTTCATCTTACAGGTGGGGAAACTGAGGTTCAGAAAAGGACATGTCCAAGGTCACTCAGAAAGGAAATGACAGAGCTAGAACCTGCCTCTTCTCAGCTGTGTGCCTCCTTTGCACAGCAAGGCCTGGGGTGCCTGGTGGGGACACCAGGATGGCAGAAAGTGACAAGGACCTGGGGCAGGTAAGACACTGGCCTGGCCCTTCAAAAAGGTCTCTTAGCTTCATGCTTGAGGCTCAGAAAAATTATTCTGTGACAACACCTCCCCACCCCAGACTTCAGCTATGGCCGGAGTGTCAGAGCCTGTTTTGTTTGTTTGTTTTGTTTTGTTTTTTTGAGACAGAGTCTTGCTCTGTCATCCAGGCTGGAGTGCAGTGGTGTGATCTCGGCTCACTACAACCTCTGCCTCCCTGGTTCAAGCAATTCTCCTGTCTCAGCCTCCCGAGTAGCAGGGATTACAGGCGCATGCCACCAGGCACAGCTAATTTTTGTGTTTTTGGTAGAGACGGGGTTTTACCATGTTGGCCAGGCTGGTCTTGAACTCCTGACCTCAGGTGAACTGCCCACCTCAGCCTCCCAAAGTGCTGAGATTACAGGCCTGAGCCACCGTGCCCGGCCAGAAGGCTGTCTTGAATGAGCACTTTGCATCCCTGATCTCAGCCAGTCCTTAAAAATCACTGCCACAAGGTTGGTATCATCTTTTTTGTTTGTTTGTTTTGAGATGGAGTCTCGCTCTGTTGCCCAGGCTGGAGTACAGTGGCGAGATCTCCGCTCACTCCAAGCTCCACCTCCCAGGTTCATGCCATTCTCCTGCCTCAGCCACCCGAGTGGCTGGGACTACAGGCGCCTGCCACCACGCCCGGCTAATTTTTTGTATTTTTAGAAGAGACGGGGTTTCAGTGTGTTAGCCAGGATGGTCTCGCTCTCCTGACCTCGTGATCCGCCCGCCTCGGCCTCCCAAAGTGCTGGGATTACAGGCGTGAGCCACCACGCCCGGCCCACAGGGTTGGTACCTTTATGATCTTCATTGAACAGCAGGTGAGACTGAGGCTTAGAGGGGTTGGCTATTTGGCCAAGGCCACTGTGAAGAAGGGACTCCCTCCTCTTCATCACTCAGGGTTCCGCTTTGATGGTCTGTCCTCTGCAAGTATTTCCCTGACTTTACAATTTCATATCACAGTACGTGCTCCTCACGGGCAACGCAGAGCAGGACAGAGCGTCCCAGCTGCAGAATTCCTGCCCCAATGCACCCCCGATTCCAATCGAGAGGAAACACCAGGCAACCCAAATTGAGGGACGTTCTGCAAAATTAACTGGCCTGAACTAATCGATAATGTCAATGTCATGAAAGACAAAAGAGAGGCTGAGAACTGTTCCGGATGAAAGGAGACACAAGAGATGGCGCAGCTAAATGCAACGCAGGGACCCGAGTGGATCCCCGACTGGGAAAAAAAAATAGCTGCCAAAGATATTCCTGGGATGATGGATGAAATCTGAGTATGGGCCATGGCGTAGAGGCCAGGATTATACCACTGCTGTATTTCCTGTATGTCACCGTCAACAGGAAAACGCCCCTGGTCTCAGGAGATAACCCGCTCTCGCCTTTAGGGATAAAAGGACACAGCGTCTGCAACTAACTGTCAAATGCGCCATCAATGCCGATGAGGGCAGCAAAGATCATGTGCAAATACAGACAGATAGAGCAAATGTGGACACAGGCCAGCGATTGTGAAGCTCCTGAAACATACCATGTGTTATTTGCTCTACTGTTGCAACTTTTCCGTAGATTGGCAATCGTTCAAAATAAAAAGTTCAAAGGGGGAAAAAAAAAAAGCAAGCAACAACTCAGCCCACACCTCCCATCCCCTTACAGTATTCCCCCCAGCATAGCACAGGCCAGCATCTGATATCATATCTAGTTTGCTTATTGTTTTGTTAGCTGCCTGGCCCCAGTAGGAATGTTAGTCTGGGAAGACAGGAACTGTTTTGTTTGAAGCGAAGTGCACAATTCGATGGCTTTTAGTATATGCACGGAGTTGCACAATCATTACTACATTCAATTTTATTTATTTATTTTTTGAGACAGAGTCTCGCTCTGTCGCCCAGGCTGGAGTGCAGTGGCACAATCTTGACTCACTGCAACCTCTGCCTCCCAGGTTCAAGCGATTCTCCTGCCTCAGCCTCTCCAGTAGCTGGGATTACAGGTGCCTGCCACCACACCCGGTTAATTTTTGTATTTTTAGTAAAGACAGGGTTTCACCATGTTGGCCAGGCTGGTCTCGAACTCCTGACCTCAGGTGATCTGCCTGCCTCGGCCTCCCAAAGTGCTGGGAATATAGGTGTGAGCCATCAGGCCGGCCACTACATTGAATTTTAGAACATTTTTCATCACCTCAAAAGAAATTCAGTACCCTTTAGCAATCAACCTCCAACTTGCTCCTCCCCCCCAGCCTCAGGCAACCAGTAATCCACTTTCTGTCTCTATGGATTTGCCTATTCTGGACATTTCACATTAATGGAATCATACATTCTGTGGCCTTATGTGACTGGCTTCTGTCACTTAGCACAATGTTTTCAAGGTTCACCCACAGCGTAGCATATACGAGGGCAGGGTTTGTTTTTTAATTTCTTTTTGGAGACAGGGTCTCCCTCTGTCACCCAGGTTGGAGTGCAGTGGCACGATCTCAGCTCACTGCAGTCTTGATCTCCCAGGTTCAAGTGATCCTCCCGCGTCAGCCTCCCAAGTAGCTGGGACTACAGGCGTGCGCCATTATGCCCGGTTAATTTTTGTATTTTTTGTAGAGACAGCGTCTCCCTATGTTGCCCAGGCTGGTCTTGAACTCCCAGGCTCAAGTGAGCCTCCCGCCTCCGCCTCCCAAAGTGCTGGGATTATAGGCATGAGCCACCGCACCCGGCCAAGCAGGAGTTTTTGCCTCTCTTGTTCTCGCCTTACATGCAAAGCCCAAAACAGAGCCTGACACAGAGAAGTGGGCCATAAATATTAGCTCAGTGAACGGATGAGTCAGGATTTGAACTCAAGCCTATCAGCTGCAAAGATCATGCCCTTAACCCCAGCATGGCACAGTCCATTCGGCTGGCCTCACTGCAGAGGGGACTTGAATCCTGCCCATCCCCCATCTTCCCATGAGAACTCAGGCCAGTCCCACCACTGAGGCCCTCTGCAGGGGAGGTGTGGGGGGGATAGGGGCCTGACTGTGGGGAGGGGCTGATGCCCCTGCACCCAGCCCCTCTCGGTACCTTGAGGTTGTGCCCGTCGAAGGGCAGGGAGCCGCTGACGAGGGTGTACAGGATGACTCCCAGGCTCCAGATGTCCACCTCCGGCCCGTCGTACTTCTTGCCCTGAAACAGCTCCGGGGCGGCATATGGGGGGCTCCCGCAGAACGTGTCCAGCTTCGATCCCAGCGTGAACTCGTTGCTGAAGCCAAAGTCAGCAATCTTGATGTTGGCCTCGGCATCCAGCAAGAGGTTCTCAGCCTGCAGGGAGAGAAGGAGAGGGCGGAAAGTGGGACTCAAGGCCAAAGCCTTTCATGGACGTGGGAGGCAGACAGGAGCACAGGCTCTAGGGCTGGCCCACAGGGATCAACTCTTGGGCCTGTCCTTTACTCTCTACCTGACCTTAGGTAGTAACTTTACCTCACTGAGCCTCAGTTTCCTCATCCATAGAATGGGGATAATCTTAGTTCCTATTTCATAGCGTAGTTTGAGAATTATGAGTTAATCCACATAGAAAACCTAGCACAGGCCAGACATAGTGGCTCACGCCTATAATACCAGCACTTTGGGAGGCCAAGGCAGGTGGATCACCTGAGGTCAGGAGTTCAAGATCGGCCTGGCCAACATGGTGAATCCCCATCTCTACTAAAAATACAAAAATTGGGCTGGGCACCGTGGCTCACGCCTGTAATCGCAGAACTTTGGGAAGCCGAGGTGGGCAGATCACCTGAGGTTGGGAGTTCAAGACCAGCCTGACCAACATGGAGAAACCCCGTCTCTACTAAAAATACAAAATTAGCTGGGCGTGGTGGCACATGCCTATAATCCCAGCTACTCGGGAGGCTGAGGCAGGAGAATTGCTTGAACCCAGGAGGTGGAGGTTGCGGTGAGCCGAGATCATGCCATTGCACTCCAGCCTGGGCAACAAGAGCGAAACTCCGTCTCAAAAAAACATAAAGATAAAAATTAGCCGGGCATGGTGGTGTGCGCCAGTAGTCCCAGGTACTCAGGAGGCTGAGGCACAAAAATTGCTTGAACCTGGGAGGCAGAGGTTGCACTGAGCTGAGACTGTGCCACTGCACTCCAGCCTGAGCAACAGAGTGAGAACTTGTCTCAAAAAAAAAGAAAAGCTAGAACAGTATTTCATACCCAGCGAGTACTATGTAATATCACTATTACCCCATGTGGTCTGCAGATCTAGGGGTCTTCAGGTAATCTCCTGCCCCTCTTGGAGCCTCAAGTTACCCAGCAGAAACAAAATAAGGCCTGATTGCTCAAGACCCAGGAAAACGAAAGCAATAATTTAATCCTGGTTGCATATCTACCATGCACTGGGCTCTGTGGACTATCAATTATAACAGTGTCTGTCTGCATAACGTGAAGGTGAAACGACAGACTCTCGGAGAATTCCAGCTGCAAATCCCAGCTCCACCACTCACTCGCTGTGTGAACTTTAGGTGGGTTACCAGACCTCTCTGTGCCTCAGTTTCCTTGTATGTAAACTGAGGGTGATCTCGACACCTGCCTCAAGCGTGGTTGTGGGTTTAAGCGTAAAGTGCTCACAGCGGCCCCTAGAGCACAGTCAGTGATCAGTAAACATTTCATGGCCGGGCGCGGTAGCTCACGCCTGTAATCTCAGCACTTTGGGAGGCCAAGGCAGGCAGATCTCCTGAGGTCAGGAGTTCGAGACTAGCTTGGGCAACATGGTAAAACCCTGTCTCTACTGAAAATACAAAAATTAGCCAGGCGTGGTGGCGGGTGCCTGTAATCCCAGCAACTTGGGAGGCTGAGGCAAGGAATCGCGTGAGCTGAAACTGCATCACTGTACTCCAGCCTGGGCAACACAGCGAGACTCCATCTCAAAAATAAGTGAATAAATAAATAAATAAACGTTTTGTATTGTTATAAAGTTTTGTCTATTTTTTTGCGGCATGCGGTCTTGCAATTGCCATTTCACAGGGGAGGAAACAGAAGCTGTGGGAGGCCACAACTCATGCCCATTGCAAGAAAGCAGCACAACTAGAATCTAAACAAGGCCACCCGTTTCCACAGTGCGCGGAGGAAGAAGCCTCCAGCCTTCTGACTACAAACAGAGGCACACCTCCACCTTTCAAAATGTCACCCGCGTCTGGCCCATCCCAACTGCGGTCCTTCCCTCGCCCAGGTCACCAGCATCCCTGGCTTCCTCCCAGGTCTCCCTATGTCTCCTGGTTTATTTCTGGACCACTCTTCCCCAGCTCCTGCCCCAATAAAGGCCCAAACCCTACAAAGACACACCACAGAGCTCCTCCCTAAACCTGAATGTAATAGCATCTGGCTTGCTCGGGGCTTACTTTTTCTTATTTTTTATTTTTGAGATGGAGTCTCACTCTGTCACCCAGGTTGGAGTGCAGTGGCACGATCTCGGCTCACTGTAACCTCTTCCTCCTGGGTTCAAGCGATTCTCCAGCCTCAGCCTCCCGAGTACCTGGGACTACAGGCGCCCACAACCACACCTGGCTATTTTTTTTATTTTTAGTAGAGACGAGGTCTTGCCATGTTGGCCAGGCTGGTCTCGAACTCCTGACCTCAGGTGATCCGCCCACCTCGGCCTCCCAAAAAGTGCTGAGATTACAGGTGTGAGCCGTCACGCCAGGCCAGGGATTACATTTCTTTTCCTGCCATTTGAGGCTCCGCAATCCAGCCCCAAAGTCACATGGGTTGGTCCCCTTGGTTGGTACCCCTGGTGTACTAATACGACCCCAAAACTCGTGTTAGCTGCTTTGGGGACCCTCCACCAGGGGACATACGACCTCCAGGTGAATCATGGAAGCCTCTAAGGTGCTGCCTCCAGGGCCGTGTGGAGGGACACCCTAGCCCAGTGGAAGGAAGTGAAGAGAGGGTTAGCACTTGAACCTCTATAGCAATTTGTTTTTTGTTTTCATTTTGTATTATTTTTCTTTTTTTCAGATGCACTTTCTGCTTTTGTATTTTTTGTTGTTGTTTTTAGAGACAGGGTTTTGCTCTGTTACCCAGGTTGGAATGCAGTGGCATGATCATGGCTCACTGCAGCCTCAACCTCCTGGGCTCAAGGGATCCTCCTGCCTCAGCCTCCTGAGTAGCTGAGACCACAGGCATACAAGCTAATTTTTTTTCTTTTTTTTTTTTTTGAGATGGAGTCTTGCTCTGTTGTCCAGGCTGGAGTGCACTGGCGCGATCTTGGCACACTGCAACCTCCACCTCCCAGGTTCAAGCAATTCTCATGTCTCAGCCTCTCAAGCAGCTGGAATTATAGGCACGCGCCACAACGACCACCTAATTTTTGTATTTTTAGTAGAGATGGAGTTTCACCGTGTTGCCCAGGTTGGTCTTGAACTCCTGGCCTCCAGTGATCTGCCTGCCTAGGCCTCCCAAAGTGCTGGGACAGGTGAGAGCCACCGCGTCCAGCCAAGCTAATTTTTTACAATTATTTTTTGTAGAGATCAGGTCTTGGGTGTGTTGCCCAGGCTGTTCTCGAACTTCTGGGCTCAAGCAATCCTCCCACCACAGCCTCCCAAAGTGCTGGGATTATAGGTGTGAGACTGCGCCTGGTCCTCCATAGGAATTTGACTGTGGAATTTCTTTAGAATCTAATAATAGCTTTTAAAATGGGGTTTGTGGCTGGGCACAGTGGCTCACACCTGTAATCCCAGCACTTTGGGAGGCCAAGGCGGGCAGATCACCCAAGGTCAGGAGATTGAGACCAGCCTGGCCAACGTGGTGAAACCCCGTCTCTACTAAAAATACAAAAATTAGCTGGGCATGGTGGTGCCCACCTGTAATCCCAGCAACTCAGAAGGCTGAGGCAGGAGAATCTCTTGAGCCCAGGAGTTCGAGACCAGCCTGGACAACAGAGTGAGATCCCTTGTCTACAAAAAACTCAAAAATTAGCCAGGCTTTGTGGCTCACACCTGTGGTTCCAGCTACCCAGGAGGCTGAGGTGAGAGAACTATTTGAGCCCAAGAGGTTGAGGCTACAGTGAGCTGTGATGGAAACATCACACTTCAGTATGGGCAACAAAAAAACAAAACAAAACAACAAAACCAACCCAGTCCTTCCTCACAGATAGTTCCAGAAGCACTTCCTTAAAGCACTTAGGATGCCGCCTAGCACACAGGTGCTCACAAAACGACAGTCAAGACAACCGGATTTGAGCCAACCAAACGGTCAGCCACCTGGTCTTGGAGCGCGAGGACTGAGACATACAGCGGAAGGTGTGGAATGCGGACCCTGGGGCCACAGGTACTCGAGGAGGCTGCCTGGCTCAGCTCCTACAGGTAGCTGGGCTGGAGCCCCGTTGAGTCCCTTCCTGCCTGGTACTGGCCAAGGTGGCTTTTCTCTCAAAGCCCCTTCTCAGACTGGACACGGTGGCTCACATCTGTAATCCCAGCACTCTAGGAGACCGAGGCAGGTGGATCACCTGAGGTCATGAGTTCAAGACCAAGCCTGGCCAACATGGTGAAACTCCGTCTCTACTAAAAATACAAAAATAGCTGGGCATGGTGACAGGTGCCTGTGACCTCAGCTACTCGGGAGGCTGAGGCAGGAGAATCGCCTGAACCCGGGAGGCGGAGGTTGCAGCGAGCTGAGATGGGGCCACTACACTCCAGCCTGGGCAACAGTGTGAAACTCCATGTCAAAAATAAAAATAAAAACGAAGCCTTCTTAAGTTCTCAGATTCCCGGCCAGGTGCCGTGGCTCATGCCTGTAATCCCAGCACTTTGGGAGGCTGAGGCGGGCGGATCACAAGGTCAGGAGATCGAGACCATCCTGGCTAACACGGTGAAACCCCGTCTCTACTAAAAATATAAAAAATTAGCCGGGCTTGGTGGCGGGCGCCTGTAGTCCCAGCTACTTGGGAGGCTGAGGCAGGAGAATGGTGTGAACCCAGGAGGCGGAGCTTGCAGTGAGCGGAGATCGCGCCACTTCACTCCAGCCAGGGCGACAGAGTGAGACTCTGTCTCAAAAAAAAAAAAAAAAAAAAGTTCTCAGATTCCTGTGACTCTGGGACCCTGTGGGCAGAGTGACTCTGGGGCTCTGCAACCTAAATCCTCAAGGAGTCCTGAATGTCCTAAGGTCGGAGAATGCCAAGGTCCCAAAGGCTCTGAGAGCGACAAACCCCTTATCATGTCCCAGCGTCCTTATCCAACAGCCCTGTAGCATCCAGGGCCATTTTGGGACACTTTGTTTCTCCCTGCTTTGTTCACTCCTCCTGTCCCCTCCCCCCCATCCGCTCCCCCATCTGCTGGCCTTGTTTCTGCCACAAAAGCTTGGGAAAGGGTCAAGGGGGTGCTGGGTGTGGAGGGAAGAGCAGGAGGAGAAAAGGGCTGGAGGAATTTGCTGGAGGCCACGGAAACCATGGAGGGGTGGGGGCAGGGAGAAGTCTGTGGGCTGAGCCGTGGTCCCTGAGATCACAGCGGGTCGGGGGCTTACCTTCAGGTCCCTGTGTACAATATTTTTCTGGTGACAATAGTGCACAGCCGAAACAATCTGGGAGGGAAGGGGAAGGTTGGTTATTTGTGGCTCCCAAAACCCTCAGCCTCCCTCAGTGGACTGTGAAACCACTCACAGCTGGGCCCCAGGCCTCCCCAAGGCACAGCCTGAGATCTGGGGCCTCACACCCTGATTCAGTCACAGCAAGAGGTGCCCGTGGAACCTGGGCAGACACACGTCTCCCCCAGGACACCCCCATGCCCAGGGATGTCGGAACCAAGGCATGGGGACCAGCCTCTCTTGACCTTCACATCTGGAAACTCCCATGGGGATATCCCATACCTGTAGATAGACAGGCCGCCCCAACTCACCAGGGCTTATGGCCCTTGAGTTCAGGACAGCAGCGTCAAGGCAGAAACACCCTCACACCTGCACATCTTCCTAGCCGACATGCCCGGCACCCTCACACCTGCACATCTGCTTACCCCACATGCCCCGGCACCCTCACACCTGCATCTCCTCTTACCCCACACACCTGGCACCCTCACACACGCACATCTTCTTACCCCTCATGCCCCAGCACCCTCACACCCACAACTCCTCTTACCCCACACCTGGGCACCTTCATACCTGCATCTCCTCTTACCCCACACCTGGGCACCCTCACACCTGCACATATTCTTACCCCACACCTGGGCACCCTTATACCTGCACTTCTTCTTATCCCACATACCTGGGCACCCTCACACCTGCACGTCCTCTTACTCCACACCTGGCCCCCCCCACACTCTTACACACCTGGGTGTCCTCACTACCACACACCTGGAAACCCATACATCTGGGCACTCGCACACCCGGGCACCCACATACCGGCATGCCCTAGTACCTACAAGCTTACACAACCACCCCTCAGCCCTCTCTTGCCCATCTACCTGGGGTGCCCTACACTCTCTTCCCCACACACCTACATACCTACATACCTGGGCACCCACATAGCTACTGCCCACACATCTTTTGAATCACACTCCGGCACACTCACACCTGGCACCCTGGCACCTTCGTGCCCCCATCACCCACACACCTACGCGCTGGGCACACCCACATGCCCTACACATGCAACACCTGCCCACCGGGGCGCCTTCATGCCCAAACATCCTCTCACCCACCCAACGGGGCACCTGCAAACCTACATCCGGATGCCCTCACATCTGGGCAACTATATGCCCAGCACACCCAGCTCTGCACCTTCACCCCTGCCCAGACTTAAGCCCCGCCCCCAGGTCGCTGGACAGCCCAGACCATGCCCAGCTCTCAGACGCCCTCCCAGGGACCCAGGCACCCAGTCAGCCCCACCCTCAGCCCTGCCCCAACCTGTCGGAACTTGGCTCGAGCTTCCTTCTCCTTCATGCGGCCATGCGACACGAGGTAGTCAAACACTTCTCCTGCAGGGCAGAGGCCGAGCGGGGTCAGGGTCAGGTGCAGCGGCAGGGGGAGGTGGCACAGGGGCAGGGCGGAGAGGGTGGGCGGCTCACCAGCACTTGCGTACTCCATCACCAGGTACAGCGTCTTCTCAGTCTCAATCACCTCAAAGAGCTTCACTATAATGGTTGGGAACAGTGTAGGGCATTAGGGAGAAAGGGCCCCTCCTAACCTGTCCTCAGTAACTATGCAAATGTGCCAACCATAACACCCCCACCCCAACTCAACACTCAATGGCTCCCTACTGACAGCAAGATTTTCCAAACTCCTCAGCCCCCTCTACCACCCTTTCCACTTTCGTTTTTTTTTTTTGAGATGGAGTTTTGCTCTTGTTGCCCAGGCTGGAGTGCAATGGCGCGATCTCTGCTCACCCTCCCAGGTTCAAGCGATTCTCCTGCCTCAGCCTCCCGAGTAGCTGGGATTACAAGCATGCGCCACCATATCCGGCTAATTTTGTATTTTTAATAGATACGGGGTTTCTCCATGTTGGTCATGCTGATCTCCAACTCCCAACCTCAGGTCATCCACCCGCCTCGGCCTCCCAAAGTGCTGGGATTACAGACGTGAGCCACCGCGCCCAGCCACCCTTTCCACTTTCTCTCTCACAAGAATGTCAGCTCCATGAGGCCAGAGATTTGTGTCTTGTTGTCTTCCCTGTTGTGTCCCCAGGGTCTGGCACATAGCGGCCACTCAATCAATAATTACTGAGTAAATGAATGAATGAATGAACAAATGCTGCAGCCACATCCAGGCGGAGCTAAACTCCGCTTCTCTCACTAAAGACCCCTCACTCCCGCCTCTGCCCAATGATAATGACAGTGAGGATGTTGATGCTGGTGGAAATAACTGGACCAAGTCCCATAGCTCAGCCCAAACTAAGCATTTTGGATGCATCATCTTTGTCAATCCTCACAATGACCTGGTAATAGGCCCTCTTATCACCCCTACTCCAGAAGAGAAAATAGAGGCTCAAAGAGGTTAAGTGACTTGCCCAAGGTCACACAGCAGTGATGCAACTATGAGAAACCAGGTCTCTAACTTTTTCTTTTTTTTTTTTTTTTGAGATGAAGTCTCGCTTTATTGCCCAGGCTGGGGTGCAGTGGTGCGATCTCAGCTCACTGCAACCTCTGGCTCCTGGGCTCAAGCAATTCTCCTGCCTCAGCCTCCCGAGTAGCTGGGATTACAGGCGCCCGCCACCATGCCCTGCTAATTTTTGTATTTTCAGTAGAGACAGAGTTTCACCATGTTGGTCAGACTGGTGTCGAACTCCTGACCTCAAGTGATCCACCCGCCTCGGCCTCCCTAAGTGCTGGGATTACAGGAGTGAGCCACTGCGCCTGGTGGGTCTCCAACTATTCTAACCACTGCCACCACCCCCAACTCCTTTGCAAGTGTTCCAGTTGGTGGCCTGCCCCTGCTCCCATTCCCTCCTCACCGATGTTGGGGTGGTTTAGGCCCTTCATGATGCGGACTTCTCGGAACAGCTGGGCGTGGCCAGAAAGGAAGACAGAGGAGAGTGAGGGTGGGTGGCTTGGGGGATCCTTTCCCCAGCCGGGCCCCCGCAGGAAGGGTCAGGTGGGTCACCCGGCTGTGCCGGAAGCCTGGCTCCTGCTCTCCCCCGTCTCCCCAGCCTCACCTTCTGCAGGCTGCTGGGATTCAGCTGGGTTTTGTCGATAATCTTGATGGCAACCTAGAGGGGGAGGAAAGGAGGAGGGACGGTCAAGGTGCCACAAGCCCCACTGGATATGGTGGCTCAGGCCTGTAATCCCAGCATTTTGGGAAGACCAAGGCGGGAGGATCACTTGAGGCCAGGAGTTCGAGACCAGCCTGGTCAACACGACGAAACCCTGTCTTTACTAAAAATACAAAAATTAGCCAGGTGTGGTAGCAGGCACCTGTAATCCCAGCTACTCTGGAGGCTGAGTTGGAAGAATCGCTTGAGCCTGGGAGGCAGAGGTTGCAGTGAGCCAAGATGACGTCACTGCACTCCAGCTGGCCCAGCTCAGATCACCCTGGGATATCCTTCCTTTGCCCCCTCTCCCAGAAGAGCCCTCACTCTGGGCCATACCCTGTGGATGGGGAACTCAGGGCCTCAGGGCCTTTGCACAAGCTGTCCTCACTGTCTCCACTGCCACCCTCACTTCTGCAGAGAAATATCCTTATTCCACAGCAGGGCCTGGCTGACGCTGCTCCAGAGCTGCCTGAGTGGATGTGGGCATGGACGAGACCTTGAGGGGATCCCTTTGTGAGGGCAATGAAGATCACTGGCCCATCACATCTTTGTTTTGAACAAATGAACAGTGGAATAAATAACAACTGGTTAACATGCACTAAGCCCTCACTACAAGGACTATGCGCTTTACAAACGAGAACTCTTAATCTTCACAACAACCTGTGAGATAAGTGCTAGGATTATCCCTCCCATTCTCCGCACCCACCCCACCCCCCCGCCCCCTTTTCTTTTGGAGGCAGAGTCTCGCTGTGTCTCCCAGGCTAGAGTACAGTGGTGTTACAGTGGTGTGATCATAGCTCACTGCAACCTTGACCTCCTGGGCTCAAGTGATCCTCCCACCTCAGCCTCCCAAGTAGCTGGGACCACAGGCACATGCCACCAACATTTGGCTAACAGGATTATCATCATTTTACCAACAGGGAAACTGAGGCACAGAGCTGTTTAGTCATTTGGCCAAAGTTACATGGCTAGTAAATTGTAGTAAGTTGTGGCCCAGATTTGAACTTATGCAGCCTGATGGAATCTACCTCTTAAACACAACTTTTAAAACAGCTTTGAGATACATCATGGGGAGGAAATCAGAATGTCATTGAACTCTCCTTATACTTCTTTTGCAGTGAAACTTTTTTTTTTTTTGAGACAGAGTTTCCCTCTTGTTGCTCAGGCTGGAGTGCAATGGCGCAATCTTGGCTCACCGCGACCTCCACCTCTCAGGTTCAAGGGATTCTCCTGCCTCAGCCTCCCGAATATCTGGGATTACAGGCATGCGTCACCATGCCTGGCTAATTTTGTATTTTTAGTAGAGACGGGGTTTCTCCATGTTGGCCAAGCTGGTCTTGAACGCCCAACATCAGGTGATCCGCCTGCCTGAGCCTCCCAAGGTGCTGGGATTACAGGCATGAGCCACCGCACCCAGTCTGCAGTAAAACTTTTATTTTATTTTTAAAACAGAGATGGGGCCAGGTCCCTCTCAGAAACCCCTGGAACCAGATCCACATATAGGGAACCATGTGTTCTTCATGGAAGAGAGAGCCCCTTAGCTTTCCTCATATTCTCACGAATGTGTTTTTAAAAATTTTATCAAACACTTTTTATGCCAGTATTGAGACGATCATATGGTTTCTCTTCTTTAATCTGAGAATGTGGTGAAGTACATGAATAAATTGTCAAAGGGAAAAGAACTTTGCATTCCTGAGATAAAGCCAGTTTCGTCATCACACAGCTTTCTTTAATTGATTTGCCAGGTTCTGTTTGTTAATATTTTGTATAAGATTTTTATACCTATGTTCACCAGATTGGCCTGTAATTTTGTTTCTTGTCTGGTTTTGCTCTTAAGGACAAACTAGCGCGTAAAAATCAGTCAGGCAGTGGCAGTTCTTTCTTTAGTCTCTGGAAGAACTGGCATAAAATGTGAACATCTGGTAGGATTTGCCTGTAAGACCATCGGGGCCCGGTGTCTTTTGCGTGTATGGTGTAGACAGCGTGAGGGCAGGGGAGAGTCCATCCAAGGCAGGATAATTCATTCCAATCATTTCTCTGAAGTTGAAGGAGGGGTGGGGAAATCATGAAATCACCCACCATTCCTTTTCCTCTAAGTGAGTTAGAGACCTCATATCTAGGCTGCAAAGCCTGTGTGGGCCCTTTTTGCAATAATGTCACCATACTCAGCACAGATGCCTGCTCTGGAAGAGGTGGTGGGGAGAGTGAGGCTGTGTGTAACTGAGAATACAACATAAATAAACCTGCTGTGTTCTCCAGATCACAGGAAGATTTCAAGGAACCAAAGTCCACCCTTAAAACAGAGAGGCAGCTCAGGTTTATTTATTTTTTATTTTTAATTTATTTACTATTTATTTATTTATTTATTTATTTTTTGAGATGGTCTTGCTCTGTCACCCAGGCTGGAGTGCAGTGGCACAATCTCGGCTCACTGCGGCCTTCGCCTCCTGGGTTCCAGTGATTCTCCTGCCTCAGCCTTCCAGGTAGCTGGGCTTACAGGCACGCACCACCACACCCAGCTAATTTTTGTATTTTTTTTTCAGTAAAGATGGGGTTTTGCCATGTTGGCCAGGCTGGTCTCGAACTCCTGACCTCAGGTGATCCACCTGCCTCGGCCTCCCAAAGCGCTGTGTTTGTTGGTATGAGCCACTGCACTCGGCCAATTTTTTTTTTTTTTTTTTGAGACAAAGTCTCGGTCTTGTTGCCCAGGCGGAATACAGTGGCACCATCTTGGCTCATTGCAACCTCTGCCTCCTGGGCTCAAGCAATTCTCCTGCCTCAGCCTCCCAAGTAGCTGAAATTACAGGTGCCTGCTATCACACCAAGCTAATCTTTATATTTTTAGTAGAGACGGGGTTTTACCATGTTGGCCAGGCTGGTCTTGAACTCCTGACCTCAGGTGATCCACTTGCCTTGGCCTCCCAAAGTGCTGGGACTATAGGAGTGAGCCACCGCGCACGGCCTTTTAATTTTTTTATTTTTTTGAGACAGAGTCTCACTCTGTCACCCAGGCTGGAGTGCAGTGGCATGATCTCGGCTCACTGAAACCTCCGCCTCCTGGGTTCAAGCGATTCTCCTGGCTCAGCCTACTGAGCAGCTGAGATTATAGGCATGTGCCACCACGCCCAGCTAATTTTTGTATTTTTAATAGAGACAGGGTTTCATCATGTTGGTCAGGCTGGTCTCGAACTCCTGACCTCAAGCAATCCACCTGCCTCAGCTTCCCAAAGTACTGGGATTACAGGCGTAAGCCACCATGCCCAGCCCTCTTTTATTTTATTTTATTTTTATTTTTTGAGATAGGGTCTCACTCTGTTACCCAGGCTGGAGTGCAGTGGTGAGGTCACACCTCACCGCAGCCTCAAACTCCTGAGCTCAAGCGATCCTCCCGCCTCAGCCTCCCAAGTAGCTGGGACCACAGGCACACACCACCGCACCCAGCTAATTTTTAAAAAATTTTACTTATTTTTTAGTGGAGACAAAGTGTTGCTATGTTGCCCAGGCTGGTCTCAAACTCCTGAGCTCAAGGAATCCTCCTGCCTTGGCCTTTCAAAGTGCTGGGATTACACGTGTGAGCCAATGCATCCGGCCACAGCTCAGGTTTATCTACAAAAGCCACATGCATCCTTAGCAACGCACACATTGGACTGCCTGTGATCTGAGATTTCCCGGCAATTTCAGGGATACATGAAATTAGTTCTCTTTTCCCATGGGGGTGGTTCTGGGAACATCAGAGATATTGTGACCTGTCCCATAGAGAGTCGGGAACTTACCTGAGGCCACAAAGCAAACCCAGGGCCAATCCTGACCTCTATCAACATACACCGAAGACCTGGTCCCACAGGGACCTGCCCCGAGCCCCACCCTGTGCCCATACTCACCTCCCGACCAGTGAGGATGTGCCGAGCCAGCTTGACTTTGGCAAAGTTGCCCTTCCCAATGGTCCTCAGCAGGCGGTAGTTGCCCACGTGGGGCTGCTCCTCGGGACAGGAGGCGATGGAGTTCCGGCAACGGGCACCCAGTGAGCGGCTGGACCAGGACGGGCCTTTGTCCGAGGAGCGGCCACTGCCCAAGGTGCCATGCTGGGCGGGGGAGATGGAGCATGAGCTATCCAATCCCACCTTCCGTGGAACCCGTGGGCTAGTGCACTTAACTTGAGGCCTGGCTACCGGCCCCTCCGTGGCCCTTTTCAAACTCAGGCCCCAGAGAGCCAAGCATCCTTCATCTTTCTCTACAAAAAGACGCCTCCAGGAACAAAAGCCCCCATGTCCTCCAAATCTGCAACATTCAGGGCCCCAGGCATCACACCCCTTCTTCAACCCTCACTGCAGTCTGACTACCCCCAACCTCCTTGTCTTTTTTTTTTTCCTTCGGATGGAGTCTTCCTCTGTCACCCAGGCTGGAGTGCAGTGGCACGATCTCAGCTCACTGCAACCTCTGCCTCCCGGGTTCAAGCCATTTTCCTGCCTCAGCCTCCCGAGCAGCTGGGATTACAGGCGTGCACCATCATGCCTGGCTAATTTCTGTATTTTTAGTAGAGACGGGGTTTCACCATGTTGACTAAGCTGGTCTCAAACCCCTGACTCAGGTGATCCACCTGCCTCGGCTGTACGGATTACAGATGTGAGCCACCGCATCCAGCCCCAACCTCCTTTTCTAATTACACACATACCTCAGAGATATCGCAAGTTTGGTTCCAGACCACCGCAATAAAGCAAATACTGCAAAAAAGCAATGCACATGAATCTTTTGGATTCCCAGTGCATATAAAAATTATGGGCCAGGTGGCCAGGTGCAGTGGCTCAGGCCTGTAATCCCAGCACTTTGGGAGGCTGAGGTGGGTGGATCATGAGGTCAGGAGTTCGAGACCAGCCTGGCCAATATGGTGAAAACCCCATCTCTACTAAAAAAATACAAAAATTAGCCAGGCATTGGCACACGCCTGTAATCCCAGCTACTCTGGAGGCTGAGGCAGGAGAATCACTTGAACCTGGGAGGCAGAGGTTGTAGTGAGCCGAGATCGCTCTACTGCACTCTAGCCAGAGTGATAGAGTGAGACTTGGTCTAAAAAAAAAAAAAAAAGGCCAGGCATGGTGGCTCACACCTGTAATTCCAGCACTTTGGGAGGCCGAGGCGGGCAGATCACGAGGTCAGGAGATTGAGACCATCCTGGCTAACAAGGTGAAACCCCATCTCTACTAAAAATACAAAAAATTAGCCAGGCGTGGCAGTATGCGCCTGTAGTCCCAGCTACTTGGGAGGCTGAGGCAGGAGAATGGCATGAACCCAGGAGGTGGAGCTTGCAGTGAGCCGAGATCGCGCCGCTGCACTCCAGCCTGGGTGACAGAGCGAGACTCTGTCTCAAAAAAAAAAAAAAAAAATATTATGGGCCAGGCGAGGTGGCTCACGCCTGTAATCCCAGCACTTTGGGAGGCCAAGGCAGGTGGATCACCTGAGGTCAGAGTGTGAAACTTGCCTGGCCAACACGGGGAAACCCCGTCTCTACTAAAAATACAAAAATTAGCCGGACATGGTGACGCGCACCTGTAATCCCAGCTACTCAGGAGGCTGAGGCAGGAGAATCACTTGAACCAGGGAGGCAGAGGTTGCAGTGAGCTGAGATCGCGCCACTGCACTACAGTCTGGGTGACAGAGTGGGACTCCATCTCAAAAAAAAAAAAAAAAAAGAGAAAGAAAAATTGTGTTTACATCATACTGCAGTCTACTGAGTGTGCAATAATAGCATTACAGCTATAAAAACAATGTACATACTTTAATTTTATAATACTTTCTTGTTAAAAGATGCTAACAATCATCTGAACCTTCAGTGAATCACAATAAAACAAAATCATTGACAAGGCGGGAGGATCGCTTGAAGCCAGGGAGTTTGAGACCAGCCTGGGCAATGAAGCGAGACACCCATCTCTAGAAAAACTTAAAAAAAAAAAATTAGCTAGGCATGGTGGCATATGCCTATAGTCCCAGCTACTCAGGGGGCTGAGATGGGAAGATCGCTTGAGCCCCAGGAGGTTAAGGCTGCAGTGAGCTATGATCATGCCACTGCACTCCAGCCTGGGCAACAGAGCAAGACCCTGTCTCTAAAAAAAAAAGAGGAAAAACATCACTGATATCAGATCACCATAACAGCTATTATAATAATGATGAAAAAGTTTGAAATACTGTGTGAATTACCAAAATGTGACAGAGACACAAATTGTGCACAGGCTGTTGGAAAAATGGAGCCTACAGGCTTGCTCAACACAGGGTCGTCAGAAACCTTCAATTTGTAGAAAACACTGTATCTGTGAAGCTCAATAAGGCAAAGTGCGAAAAAGCAGGATATGCCTGTCCTGGAGCCTGGATCAACTCTACAATATTTTGCCCTAAATGAGGCTGCCCTCAACCCCAATCAACGCTGACCTCAATCTGGACTCGAGGCTCCTCCTCCACCACCACTGGTCCTGACTTGCTATTTTACCCATCAACTGTCCCCTCTCCAGCCCCCAAATTCTACTTCAAACCCAAATGTCAACATTTGATTCCCAGTGGAATGCCCCTAACATTTGATTCCAATCACTGTTACCCCAGATTGGACTCCAAACATTGTAACCAAGTCTTATTTTTTTTCTTTTTGACACAGAGTTTCACTCTTGTTGCCCAAGCTGGAGTGCAGTGGCCCAGTCTGGCTCACTGCAACCTCTGCCTCCTGGGTTCAAGCGATTCTCCTGCCTCAGCTTTCCCGAGTAGCTGGGATTACAGGCATGTGCCACCACACCTGGTTAATTTTGTATTTTTAGTAGAGACGAGGTTTCATCATGTTGGCCAGGTTGGTCTTGAACTCCTGACCTCAGGTGATCCACCCACCTCGGCCTCCCAAAGTGCTGGCATTACAGGCCTGAGCCACCACCCCCTGCAGGGTAACCAAGTCTTTCACTGGCCCTGAGACCTGGTTGAATCCCTGTTATCCTCCTTCCATGGGAAACACTGTTGCTTCTGCCACCCCCTGAAACACCCAGGGCTTGAGAAGCGCCCTGACTTGCTGTCTCCCACACCATGGCTTCTCTCCTCCTGATGTTCTGTTCCTACTGTCCTGTCCCTCCCTGGCCTCTCTCCCCCGCAGGTCACCTGCCTGCTCTGAGCTGCCCTGGCCTGATTGGAAGCCCCAGGGACTGTCTCCCTTTCAGGGCTGGGGCTCAGGGTGCCTGAGGCCTCCCGCCAAGGCAGTTCTGCCTGTGCCCTTCCGGCTGGGAGTGGGAAGCAGGAGGACAACAGGAGGGGAGGAAGAAAGGCCAAGAGGCTGATGGGCTGGGGGCCCAAGTCTCTGAGAAAGACACTGCCGGGCCACTTGATAGCAACGACAACTAACGTTTAATTAATGCTGGTCATTGATGCAATATGAGGCCATTACCACACTATTATCTCCATTTTACAGGTGGGGAAAGTGAGACCCGGACCCACGATCTGAACCCAAACAGTTTCCACCAGTATTTTTTTTTTTTTTTTTTTTTTTTGGCAGAGTTTCACTCTTGTTGCCCAGGCTGGAGTGCAATGGCACGATCTCAACTCACTGCAACCTCCACCTCCTGGGTTCAAGCAATTCTCCTGCCTCAGCCTCCCGAGTGGCTGGGATTACAGACGCCCGCCACCACAACCGTCTAATTTTTGTATTTTTAGTAAAGAGGGGGTTTCACCATGTTGGCCAGGCTGGTCTTGAACTCCTGACCTCAGGTGATCTGCCCACCTCGGCCTCCCAAAGTGCTGGGATTACAGGCATGAGCCACCGTGCCCGATAGTTTCCACCAGACTTGATGCTCTTCTCTGTCACAATACCACACTGCCTCTCACACCTGAACCTTTTTTTTTTTTTTGAGACAGGGCCTTGCTCTGTTACCCAGGCTGAAGTGCAGTGGTGTAATCAAGGCTCACTGGAGCCTCAACTGCCTGGGTTCAAGCAAATCCTCCCATCTCAGGCTCCTGAGTAGCTGGGACCACAGGAGTGCACCACCACACACAGCTGATTTTTAAATTTTTTTGTAGAGATGGAGTCTTGCTATGTTGTCCGGGCTAGTCTTCAGCTCCCAGGCTCAAGCCATCCTCCTGCCTGGGTCTCCCAAAGTTCTGGGATTATAGGTGTGAGCTACCACGCTGGGTCATGAACCATTTCTACAAAGCAGCTCATGCTATGGACCAAGTCCTGTGTAAACAGGTAACTCGCCTACACTTAATTCCTGCAGTAGCCCAGGGAATGACTCCATGTTCCAGCAGAGAAACTGAGCCTTGGAGAGGGAAGGTGCCATGTGAAGGTCACACAGTCCATTCACAGGGGCAGAAAGACAACCTCCCCACAGCTGGGCAGTTCCAACCACCACGGCCAGGGCTCTAACCACGCGTCCGCCACTGCCTGCCGTGCCCTCACCCTGGCCTCCAATGTGGGTCCAATTATGATCTGCAGTCTTCAGACGGGGACACCCAGGCTCAGGCAGGGGGAGTCCCTCCCCCAAGGTCACAGGGCAGATGGAGCAGAGTGCTGGGATGCGAACCCCGGCCTGCTGATTCCTCCTGAGTGCTGAGCCAGGCTTCCCCACAGGCCCAGGCTTCTTCCCAGGAGAGACCAGGGAGGCAGGTGGAGATCCTGGAGATAAGGCCTCCGATCCCCACCAAGATAAGGACCTGGAGAAGAAGCCCTGTCAGGTGGCGCCAGGGCAGCCAGCTGGAGGTGGGATGGCACCACGCTGAAGGCAGCATGGCTGAGGGACCCCTGCGAGGGGCAGCTGGGGCAGTGGGTGACAAAGCCCCTGGGGGCCGGGGGTGGGAGCTAAAATTGGCCTGCACCACCAGCTGGCCTGGCTCCCTCCCGCCCGGCTGGCGCCCCAACACCCGGGACTGTTGCTAGGGAACCTGGGGAGGCTGGCCCCCTGGTGGGGGGCCCTGGAACTTGGGGTGGGGGAGCATGACCCCACGTGGCTGTAGCCATGGTAACCAGGTAACAGGAGAGGGGGCTGCAACCTCCCATTCCAGAGGCAGGCAAGTGACTCCCCACCAGGACTGACAGGCAGGTCTTAGTGACAAGAGTTGGAGGAGAGAAAAGGGGATTAGCCATCCTCAAATCCGCACCATGCACGCATCTTAACAACCCAGGGAACAGCAAGTCTTCATTAGGCGTTCCACTTAACAGACAAGGAAACCAAGGCTCAGAGAGGTAAGGTTACTTGCCCGAGGTCACACAGCTAGGGAGGGACAGAAACAGGATGTGAACCCAAGTTTATCTGAACAATTAAAGTAGTGCTAATAACCACAACAGCCACGACACATGCCAGGCCCTGTGCACCTTAGTCACATCACGTCGCTGGCTCCTGCAAACATCCCTAACAGTGGGGGGCCATCATCAACCCGATTTAGAGATAAGGAAACTGAGGCTGCAAGCTGGGAGTGAATCTGCAGGCTCACTCAACAACCAATAACAGCCCTGAGCTGAGAATCCACGGGCTGTCTGACTCATACCCACAGCCACAATAGCAGCTGGCATTTGTGGAGTGCTTCCTAGGTGCCAGCCTTCGCCTGAATCGAGTAAGCCTTGGAGGCACTCAAGCGGTCACCCCTATTTTCCAGGGCAGGAAACTGAGGCTCAGAAAGGGAGAACTGGTTGTCTGAGGACACAAGGCAAACCAGCTGGCCATGTCAGCATTGGAACCCAGGACTGTGGAGCCCCTGGCACCTCACTGTAGATTGTAGTGACCAAGGAACAGAGGTGGTAGGCATTTCATTAGACTCCAAATTGGAGTTCTGGCCCATAGTGATGATGCGGGGTGGTCTCTGTGAGGGAGGGATCTGCAAGATGAGGAAGGGACAGATATAAATCTCTCTGATGGTGTGTGTGTGTGGGGGGGTCTGTCGGAGGTGAGGGAAACAGGGGGAAGGGGAACAGGGACCTGGCAGAAGGATTTGGAGAAAGCCACAAAGATCCCAGGTGGGGAGAAGTCTAGGATTGGGTGGTGGGCAGGTCTTTGGAAGTGATCAGTGATCAGAGACACAGGAGATGGGGAGGGGCCTCTCTGGGAAGCAGTGTAGGGGCAGGGGGCGCCTGGGAATGGTGGAAAGTGACAAAGCCATGGGGGCAGTGGAAGTCAGAGGCCAGGAATCCCTGGGTCTTGGGGAAGCTCCTAGGAATCAGAGAAGGGGGCTTCTAGGAGAAGTCCTTGAAACCAGAGAAGGGTCTGGGGGGCCTGGAAGTATGGGGTAGGAACTTCTTGGGCAAGGAGCAGCCCAGATGAATAAAGGCTGAGCCCTGGGGAAGGTCAAGGGGTCTAGAAATTTGGGGAGAAAGCTTCCAGCAGATTGACCCAAGGGAAAAGGGCTTGAAACCAGGGCAAGACGAGAGGCTTCAGGTCCAGGAGTTTTCTGGAAGAAGGATCTGGGGCCAGGCCCTGTAGCTGAGGAAGGCCTCTGAAGCTGAGGAGGGGGCTTCCTTGGAAGGCCAGACTCCCAGCAAGGAAGGGGGAGGCCCTGGGGCAGGAGAAAGGACGGTGGTTTGTGGGGAAGGGGTCTGAGTTTGGCCTAGCAGGGGGTCCAGAGGTTGGGGGTTGGGGAAGGGGCTGCCTGAAGCTGAGAAGTTGATAGAGGGCGGATGAGGCCTGGAGTCAGACTGGTCCAGGGCCTAGAAATACCAGCCTGGGTGAGGTGAGGGCCTAGAAGTTGGAGGCCAAGGCTTCCTGGGAGAGGAAGAGACCAGAAAGGGTCCAGGTGGCATCTGGGGGCCCCGGGGTGCTGGGATCTAGGGACAGGGCTGCTTGGAAGATGGGGACCAGGCCTGGGACGGGAGAGACCTTGAAGAAGCCAGAAAAGGGCCGGGGCCCAGGAGAGGTGGAAACCAGCTTCCTGCCAGGGGCTGCCCACAGGCGCCCTGGGTGCGTCCTGGAGGGGCAGAGGGCTGGGAATAAGAGGAGGGGGGCTCCTGGGGAGCCGGCACCCAGCCCCAGACAGGGAAGGCCGGAGCCAGAGGCAGGACTGGGCCAGGCCCTGCTGAGAGTGCCAGGGCCGGGCCTTGGGGGGTCAGGGGCCCTGCAAATCCGGGAGGGGGCGAGGTGTCGGACGCGGACGGCCTGGAGGGGAAACGGCTTAGCACAGGCAAGAGAAGGGAGGGGCTCCTGGAAGCAGGGGAAGGGGCTTCCTGGAGGGAACAGACCCGAGCGGAAGCGGTCTGCACGGGGACAAGAGAGGGGTCCCGAGAGAGGGGCGCCCCCAGGGGTCGGGCTGGGCTGGAAAAGGTGGGGAGGGTGGAGAGGCCTGGAAGTCCGGGAGGGGTCGAGAGGTGACGAGCCGGGTCGGGCCCAGGAAACGAGGGTAGGGGCTCGCGGGGCGAGGGGTACAACGGGGAGAAGGGTTTGGCGGCTGGACCCAGCCAGGGCTCCCCAAGGGGCCGGGCCCCACTCACCGTGTCCGAGTTCCGATCGTTGCCCGGGGCCAGCACCGTCCGCGAAGACATCTTCTCCGGGTCCCGGGGGGCAGGGGCGGCCGGGTGGGGGGGGCGGGGGTCCCAGGGTCCCCTCTCTTCCCCTCCCCCCCCGCCGGCCTGGGGACGCGAGCTCAAAAGCTGGGCGCCGAGAACGCCCGGGTCCGCGCGGCGGGAGAGGGGGCAGGGCGGGGGAGGGGAAGGGACGCCGAGGGTCCTAGTGGCCCCGTGCAGCGGGGACCCCGGGCGCCATGGGGGCGGCGGGCAGGCGGGCGGGCGGGGGCCGCGGAGGGGGCGCGGAGCCGGCCCAAGCGGCGGCGGAGGGAGGCGGTGGAGGGGCTGGGGAGGGAGGAAGGGACGTCAGGGGGAGGGGCGGGCAGGGCGGGGCGCCGGGACCCCGCCCCCCGCCGCCGGCCCTTAAAGGCGCAGGCCCGGGCTGGTCGGGGCGCCGGGGGCTCCGGGGGCTCCGGGGGCGGAGGCGGGTCTGGGCACGCCGGCGGGGAGCGTGTTCTCGCCCGAGACGAGAGGCGCACTGGAGAGGAGAGAAGGGGAGAGAGAGGCCGGGGCAGAGCGCCAGAGACGCAGAGAGAGAGATCGAGAGACGTAGAGATAGAGAGACACGAAGAGAGAGAGACGAGTTACAAAAGGGTGGAGAGGCGCAAGGAGATGAAGGAAGAGCCAGATGACAGAGAGAGAGAGACGCAGGGAGACAGAGACAGAGAGACCCAGAGACGCAGAGGGACAAAGACTGAGAGAGACCCCACACACACACAGGGAGAGACAAAGAGATACAGAGACGCAGAGATCTGTGAAGAGATAGAGATAAAGGGACTGAGCCAGAGAAGACCCCAGAGGCGCTGCCCACATTGTCCCTCCCCCTGGCCCATTCTCTCCCCAGTTGGCGGGGGGGAGCGGGGGAAGCTCTCCCCTCGGAGGCCTAAGGGTGGGGTGGGTGAAGGGGATGGTGTGCGGGGCTTGGCCACTGCTGAGGGCTCAGTGACCTCCCTAGTCAGGCTGCCTCCACTCAGCCACATAGATCCAGACCCGCAGGTTGGGGCTGCAGCATCCACTCCTTTGCACCCCAGCTGGGGTGTGGGGACCCTCTCTGTCCACCTGTATGACCCGGGGCAAGCACTTGCCCTTTCTGGGCTTCACTTTCCCAGTTTGTAAAGTGAAAGGAAGAATCCGTGTGTTGCTCACTGGCAGGTGCGAAGGAACCCTGTGCAGGTATTCGCCTGCAGGGCACAGCCACTCCCCATGCGGGCAGGCTGAGACCAGAGAGGACAAGAGCCTCTCGGAGGCCACACAGCGCTGTGGGGACCATCCATGCTCTGTGGACCAGGGTGGGATGAAAGAAAGACAGGCATTACATAGTCTTGGCCTGGGAGTCACATGGTTTTGGGAAGGGGTCTGTGCCCTGCCTTCTTCTATCTGAGGCTTATTTTCCTGAGCCTCAGTTTCCCCTTCTAAAACAGCAGTGTGCTGGATCTGGCTGGAGCGAGCTGATTGTTATGTCTCAGGAATTTTGGAACTGGTTGTTAAACACAGCCATTATTAAAAATTAAATTATGCAAACATACAATTAAATTACATTAAAGGTACAAGTAATACATACTCATCACGTCCTAGTTATCTTACTACATTTGCCATTATCTGTGATCTTGAGGTTACCTACGTCTATTGTAGCTGCACAGTAAAATTACTATATAATGGGGGGCAAAAATGCCATGTGATATCACCTTGGTAGCTTGAAATTAGCCATGGTGGGAATATTTACACCATGGAAATTGGCAAATGCTACAAATTAAGGCTCCACACCCCCACCTGCAGAGAGCTGGGGGTGTTTTGTTTTGCTTTGCTTTGTTTTGTTTTTGAGACAGGGTCTCACTGCATTACCCAGGCTAGAGTGCAGTGGCACGATTATGGCTCACCGCAGCCTGGACATCCCCGGCTCAAGCAATCCTCCCAGCTCAGCCCCACCAAGTCACTGGGACTACAGGTGTGCACCACCACGCCCAGCTAATTTTTTGTAGCCATATTGCCCAGGCTGATCTCCAACTCTCAGGCTCAGGCGATCCTCCCACTTCGGCCTCCTAAAGTGCTGGGACTACCCTGCACTCAGCCAAAAGCTGGTTGTGAAAGCACAGCACTGCTTGATACTATGAGCAACACAGACTCATGGCAGTTGCCCTTGTGCCAGGCTCTGAGCAGTTTCTCCTTTCTGCCACCCCAAGAGGTAGGGAGCATCTTTATCAATCCCATTTGCAGATGAGGAAACAGAGGCCCAAGGAAGGGAGAAACGTCACACGCTGAAGGTCACACGGCAAATTAGTGGCAGGGCTACAATTTGAATCCAAGTGCTCCCAAGTTCCAGAACTTGGACCCTCTCTCAACCACTGTGGTTTCCTGTCTCCGAAAAATAATAGCAGCAACCTCAGGCTGCTACTATTTTTATTTGTCAATTTGTTTATATTTATTTGTTATTTTAATGTTACTGCTAACAAATAAATGAGAATCTTTGAGTAAAGTGCTTCACAGGGGACCAGATTCAAAATTCATATGTGGGGACATTATTATTACTATTTGGCAAATATGGCCCGAGGAGCCTCAGGGACAGTGGCAGAGAGGGTGGAGTTCCGGGGTAGTGTTCTAGACGTACTGTGATCCCAGGGACGCCGCAGGGTGAAAGTGGGGGTCTTGGGGGTAGGCTAGAGGGGCTGAGCGCCCCCAACCCGTTCCCTGCATTGGCGCTGAGAGCTGCAGTTCTACCGTGCACCACACGGGGGCAGCCGATCACCTCCCTACACGCGCCCCACACACTCCAGGGTCCACCCCTGCCCTCCCTTCCCCAACAGCGTCCCCACCCCATTTCCCAGATGTGGGGGGACCGAGGCTTACAGAGAGGGAGGCTGCAAAGTGGATGAACCTTGAAAACAGCATGTGGCCGGGCGCGGTGGCTCACGCCTGTAATCCCAGCACTTTGGGAGGCCGAGGCGGGCGGATCACGAGGTCAGGAGATCGAGACCACGGTGAAACCCCGTCTCTACTAAAAATACAAAAAATTAGCCGGGCGCGGTGGCGGGCGCCTGTAGTCCCAGCTACTCAGGAGGCTGAGGCAGGAGAATGGCGTGAACCCGGGAAGCGGAGCTGGCAGTGAGCTGAGATCGCGCCACTGCACTCCAGCCTGGGCGGCAGAGTGAGAATCCGTCTCAAAAAAGAAAAAAAGAAAACAGCATGTTTAGCGAAAGAAGTCAGACGCAAAAGACCACTTACTGTATGCTTCCATTCATATGAAATATTCAGAATTGGCAAATCCATAGACAGAAAGTAGATTAATGGTTGCCAGGGGTTGGAGGCTGGGGAATGAGAAATGACTGCTGATGGGTACCAGGTTTCTTTTTGGGGTGATGAGAATGTTCTGGAATTAAATAGTGGTGACGCTTGCTGCAACCTTGTGAATATACTAAAACCTACCGGACTCTGTTTGAAAAGGGTGACTCTTATGTATGTGAATTGTATTTCAATAAAAAATAATAATAAAATTTAAAAAGGGGGCTGGACGCGGTGACTCACACCTGTAATCCCCGTACTTTGGGAGGCCAGAACGGGAGGATCACTTGAGCCCAGGAGTTCGAGACCAGCCTGGGCAACATAGTGAGACCCTGTCTCTAAATCAAAATAAAAAAAATAATTTTTAAAAAGGAGGGGGACGGGCACGGTGGCTCACGCCTGTAATCCCAGCCCTTTGGGAGGCCGAGGCGGGCAGATCACGAGGTCAGGAGATCGAGATCATCCTGGCTAACACAGTGAAAACCTGTCTCTACTAAAAAAAATACAAAAAATTAGCCGGGCGCTTGCAGGTGGCAAGCGCCTGCGTCCCAGCTACTCGGGAGGCTGAGGCAGAAGAATTGCTTGAACCCAGGAGGCGGAGGTTGCAGTGAGCAGAGATCACGCCACTGCACTCCAGCCTGGCGACAGAGCAAGACTCCGTCTCTAAATAAATAAATAAATAAATAAATAAATAAGGCGGGGTGGAAATCCTGCACGATCCCAGTACATGATGGGCCACTGCTGACCATGGGTCCGCGGTGCAGAGGCCGAGCTGGGGGGCAAGGCCTGTTCCTCTGCCTCCCGACCTGGTCATCCAGCTAGCCCTTCCTCCACAACCTATGTCTGGTGAATTCATTCCTTCAACTGGGGCATTCAGACCTTTGAATCTTAACCCTTGGATCCAGGAGGGAGCTGTGATCCCTAAGCCCAGCCCCCGATCCTAATGTTGACCCCAACCCTGATCCCAGCCTGGACTTTGCCTAGGCCAGTGATCACGCATCCCCCTCAGGCTGTGCCTGAGCACTTGAACACAGTTTATCTTATTTATTTATTTGTTTGTTTGTTTATTTGAGATGGAGTCTCACTCTGTCTCACAGGCCGGAGAGTGCAGTGGCACAATCTCGGCTCACCGCAACCTCTGCCTCCTGGGTTCAATCGATTTCTTCCGTCTCAGCCTCCCGAGTAGCTGGGATTACAGGTATGCACCACCACACCTGGCTAATTTTTGTGTTTTTAGTAGAGGCAGGGTTTCATCAGTTTGGCCAGGCTGGTCTCAAACTTCTGACCTCAAGCGATCCACCCACCTTGGCCTCCCAAAGTGCTGGGATTATAGGCATAAGCCACTGCAACCAGCCCAGTTTTATTTATTTAAAAAAAATTTTTTTTTTCTTAATTTTTGAGACAGGGTCTCTCTCTGTCACCCAGGCTGGAGCGCAGTGGCGAGATCATGGCTCACTGCAGCCTCCACCTCCCAGGATCAAGTGATCCTCCCACTTCAGCTCCCTTAGTAACTAGGACTACAGCGTGCCACCACACTTGGCTAATTAAAAAAATTTTTTTTTTTGTAGAGACGGGGTCTTGCTATATTATCAGGCTGGTCTTGATCTCCTGGGCTCAAGCAATCCCCCTGCCTTGGCTCCCAAAGTGCTGGAATTACAGGCATGAGCCACCACACATGGCCCTAGCCTTTTAAAGTAACCCTGACTCTCATACCCAACCCCACCCAGCACCAGCTCCAGCCCCAGCCCTCACTTCACTTGGCATCCCAACTCTAGCAGGAAGTCCATCTCCAAACCCACCTCCAACCCTCAGCTTCATTTAAATTCATTTAAATCTTGACTACTGAGGGCCAGGCACGCAGCTAGGCTTATAAAGATGAACAGGATCAACAAAGTGAGCTTTGCTGAGTTTATCTGCAAGGAATCCAGTTGCATCTGATAATTTCAGATTGTAGAAGGTGCAATAAAGAAATTGACAGGCTGGGCACAGTGGCTTACGCCTGTAATCCCAGCACTTTGGGAAGCCGAGGCAGGAGGATGGCTTGAGGCCAGGAGTTTGAGACCAGCCTGGAGAACCTAATGAGACCCGTGTCTCTACAAAAAATACAAAAATTAGCTGGGCATGGTGGTGCATGCCTGTAGTCCCAGCTACTCAGGAAGCTGAGGTGGGAGGATCTCTTGAGTCTGGGAGATCCAGGCTGCAGTAAGCTATTGTTACGCCACTGCACTCCAGCCTGGGCAACAGAGCAAGACTCTGTCTCAGGAAAAAAAAAAAGAAAAATAAATTGACAAAGCAGAGTGACGACTCTGTGAGACGGGACAGTGGAGAACAGAGGAAGAGACTGTGGGGCTGGAACTGGGATGATGAAAAGGAGGGCCTCATGCAGAGACCTGGGTACAGGGGCTTCTAGACAAAGAGAACCACAATTCCAAAGCCATGTCCAGTGCCCTCCTCCATAGGTCCCCCTCCCCAGCCCCTGGGCCCAGCAAAACTTCCCTCCTGGTCTTCAGCCCGTGGCAGGGAACTCTAGAGAGATGCGTGCCTGCCCCCCGGTTCTCATTCTAAGGCCTCGGGGCTTGCCCATGCTGGAGAGCAGCTCTGGGCTGGCGTCCAGCTTGGGGTGTCTCCCCGGGGCGCCCAGGATGGTGTTGTCACCTTGGGAGGCGTGAAGAGCATGCAGGAGTGGGCGGATTCCGGCCTGGAGCGGGGGTGAGGGTGGGGGCCCAGCTGTGGGCCTCGGCCTTCCCAGCCCAACCGCAGCCTGGCCTAAAAGGGCAGACAGATAATGAGTCCTTCCCGCCCCTGGCCCCAGAGAGGGAGGGGTTTCCTGACAGGAAATTGTCCTCCTCCGAGCACCCCCCCAACTCAGATCCAAGCTCCCAGCAGTCCTGGCTGAAGTAGCCTGGGGACAGGACAGCAGCGGGAACAGAAGGACGGGCAGGAGGACAGAGGTGAGTGTGCTGGGGACAGGGGGAAGGGGTCCCCCTTCCCCAGGGCAACTGGGAAAACAGTTGCCCTTAGTTGCACTGGACCAGAGCTGATGAGAACCTGTACCTTGAACCCAGCAGAGGCTGGGGGCAAAGAGAGAATCTGGGGCCTGACTCCAGAGGGGTGCTGGCGAGAAGGCAGAAAGGAGATGAAAATGAGAGGAGGGTGCAGGGGAGAATTTGAGGACTCGCGGGGTCCACAAAGGGTGCAAGGGAGCATTAGAAACCTTGGTGCCACCAAAGGAGAATAGAGATGAGATGACATTGGGTCGAATGTCCTGCGAGTCTGGGCGGGAAGACTGAGGCCAGGAAGGATCGGGTATTTGTTCTATCCCAAGAGATGGGGTCTCGGAGATGGGAGACAGGGACCAGGTAGGGATTGAGATCAAGCAGGAGAGACCGAGATCAGGTTGGGATTGGAGATGTGGATGAGCTTGCAGTGGTCTGGGCTGATGACAGGATTGTGTTTGGGGTCAAGGACTAGATTGGGGTTGCACTGGTTGGGGTTGGGCTTGGGGACATGCCATATGGAAAGACCGTTCTCTAATACAGATGCTGAGCGTTGGAGGTGATGGATTCCGCAAACCGAGGTCAGGGCCGCTGCAGAAGGTTAGGGACTCCGGGGAAAAGGCTGGCAGTGAGGAAGAGGAGGAGGGGCTCAAAGAGGGAAGCTCTGGTGGCCAAGACATCCTGCGGGCCTGAGAGGCTGGGGGCTTGAGGGATGCCTCGGAAGTGAGTCAGGGGCTGGGCACTGGGAGGCAGACAGAGGGTTGGAGGGGGCAGGATGTCAGCACCAGTTTGCAGAGGCGGGTGTTGGAGCCAGGAAGGGGAAAGACGTCGGAGACAGTTTTGGGAAAATGTTGCAGCCAGGTTTGGGGATGTTGGATCCAGTTTGGAGGCGATATTGAAGCCAGGTGGGGGAAAGTCAGATGTAGTCCGGGCAAGGTTGACTTCAATTGGAGGGAAATTCGAGCCTGAAATTTTGAGAGGAAGATGGAGACAGTTATGGGGTGGAGGGGGGATGATGGAGCCATTTTGGGATGAGGCATGTGGATGCCAGTTCAGAGGATGAAAGAGAAATCAAGGCTGGGTGTGGTGGCTCATGACTGTAATCCCAGCACTTTGGGAGGCTGGGGCAGGTGGATCGCTTGAACTCAGGAGTTGACCAACCTGGGCAACAGGGCGAAACCTCATCTCTACTAAAAATACAAAAATTAGCCAGGTGTGGTGACTTGCACTTGTACTCCCAGCTACTCGGGAGGTTGAGGTGGGAGGATTGCTTGAGCCTGGGAAGCAGAGGTTGCAGTGAGCCGAGACCATGCCACTGCACTCCAACCTGGGTGACAGAGTGAGACTGTCTAAAAAATAAAAGAGAAGGACAGAGTGCGGTGGCTCACACCTGTAATCCCAGCACTTTGGGAGGCTGAAACAGGCGGATCACAAGGTCAGGAGTTCGAGACCAGCCTGGCCAATATGGTGAAACCCCATCTGTACTAAAAATACAAAAATTAGCCAGGCGTGGTGGTGGGCACCTGTAGTCCCAGCTACTTGGGAGGCTGAGGCAGGAGAAATCGCTTGAACCCTGGAGGTGGAGGTGCAGTGAGCTGAAATCGCGCCATTGCACTCCAGCCTGGGTGACAGAGCGAGACTCCATCTGAAAAAATAAAATAAAATAGAAGAGAAATGAGTGTGCAAATAATGTGTGTGCATGGGGGAGTATCTATTGCACACAGCCATGGGGGCTCCAGGCAAGGGGTCGTCATGGTGACTGCCTCCTGTGGGGGCGGGGGCCCATGGAGACCGGAAGGAGGTCCGAGAGCGTTTCTAGGAACTGGAGGGTTGAGAAGCAGCAGCTCAGGGGTTGAAACAGGGAAAGAAAGAAGGGGCCTCCCCATCATGGAAAGGGGTGCTCTTACTCATAACCTAGGCAACCCAGGCCTTTTGCACACCACCCTCTTCCCAGGCCTCCTGTCCACCCCCGCACGTCTGCATAATCCTGACCCTGTCCTGACCTGCTCAGAACCCTGTCGTGGTGACAAACAAGCTACACGTCCAGCAATAGAAGAACAAGTGAACATCTGACCCTTTACACAATTCATATAGTGGAATATTACATAGCACTTAAATGAACTGGAGCTGTATGGCTAGACATGGATAAATTCTCACAAGTTCATAACGTGAGCAAAAAAATAAATTTTAAAGCAAGTTGCAAGATACAAATAGTATGATACCATTTATAGAGAGTTTGAAACCATGTAGAACAGTATATTATTTCTGGATACAAGTCTATGGAGCATGGGATAAAAATCTACTTGGACGGGTAAACAGCACATTCATTCTGGATGCTGGATTCCTTAGGAGAAGGCCAGAGCGAGTGGGACCAGGAGAGGTGGCAGGAGGAGGCTGCACGCATTTGTAATTCTTTTTTTTTTTTTTTTTTTTTGAGATGGAGTTTCGCTCTGTTGCCTAGGCTGGAGTGCAGTGGCACAGTCTGGGCTCACTGCAGCATCCGCCTCCTGGGTTCAAGTGATTCTCCTGCCTCAACCTCCCAAGTAGCTAGGACTACAGGCACCCGCCACCACACCCAGCTAATTTTTGTGTTTTTAGTAGAGGCAGGGTTTCACCATGTTTGCCAGGTTTGTCTCAAACTCCTGACCTCAGGTGATCCTCCCTCCTCGGCCTCCCAAAGTGCTGGGATTATAGGCGTGAGCCACTGCGCCTGGCTTGTTCTTTAAAACAAAAATCAGGGCAGTGGATGGTGGCTCACGCCTGTAATTCTAGTACTTTGGGAGGCCGAGGAGGGAGGATTGCTTGAGGCCAGGAGCAGGAGTTCCAGACCAGCATGGGCAATATAGCGAGACCCCATCTATAACAAAAAATTAAACAATAAAATTAGCAGGATGTCCCCGTTGCTTGGGAGGCTGAGGTGGGAGGATCGCTTGAGCCCAGGAGTTCAAGGCTGCAGCCAGCCATGATCACGCCTCTGCACTCCAGCCTGGGCAACAGAGTGAGATCCTGTCTCTAAAGACAAAAGCAACAACAAAAACCTGAACTAAGAGAGCAAATGATTGTGTGAGCTGTGGCTAGGATTGTAGGCACAGAAGTGTTTATTAAGCTTGTCTTCTGTACTTTTCCGAATGTTTGAACTATTTCATTGTTTTAAAAAGCACCTATCTGTGGCTCTGCAGGGCTCTTGGAAGAAAGCCTGTCCCTTATCAAGGAACTTAAAGCCCTGCGTGGCCTGCTCCCTAGTGACCTCTTCCAGCTCGACTCACCCTCCTCCTCCCCACACAAGGAATGAACTGTCTTGCCACTTTCCTTCCTTCATTTCCTGTTTAGCACCCATTCCCTGAGTGTCTGCCCTGTGCTGGGAGCTGGGGACACAGTGGTGACTGAGACAGCCCCAGCCCTGTCCTGCTGAGGTTTGCAGTCCAGTAAGGGACACAGATCTGTCCCCAGACAGGGATGACCCAGAGCAGGCAGAGGTGAGGTGTGGGAACCCAGGGACTGGGAGCCTGAGGGTCACAGAGGGCTTCCTGGAGGAGGGGGCATGGGGCTGAGTCCTGAAGTGTGAGTCCTGAAGTCCTGACTGGAGCATGGAGAACAGGCGTCTATGTAGAAGCACCAGCAGATGCTGAAACCTGGAGGTTCCTGGGGTAAGGAGGAGGCTACGGGACAGCACTAGTGACGTGTGCAGCTGCCAGAGCATGAAGGCTGTGGTGAGAGGCCTCAGCTTTGTCCTGAAGATACTAGGGAGCCATGGAAGGCTTAGGAGATGGAGAAGAGCAGGTTTGTGCTTTTTCTTTTCTTTTTTTTTTTTTTTTTTTGAGATGGAGTCTTGCTCTGTCGCCCAGGCTGGAGTGCAGTGGCGCGATCTCAGCTCACTGCAATCTCCGCCTTCCGCGTTCATGCCATTCTCCTGCCTCAGCCTCCCGAGTAGCTGGGGCTACAGGCGCCTGCCACTGCACCCAGCTAATTTTTTGTATTTTTAGTAGAGACGAGGTTTCACCATGATCTCGATCTCCTGACCTTGTGATCCGCCCGCCTCGGCCTCCCAAAGTGCTGGGATTACAGGCGTGAGCCACTGCACCCGGCCTGGTTTGCGCTTTTTCAAGGTCCTCAAAGGCGGACTGGAGGTGCCAAGACTAGAGGCTGGGGACCAGGGAGGAGGCCAGGGCAGGGAAGTGGGCAAGGGTTCCGCTTGGGGTAGGGGCTATGGGAAGTGAGTGAAAGGAGGGAGCGCAGACTGAAGAGAGGCTTAGGAGATGGAATGGGCAGGACTCAGGAAGCTGTAATGGCAGGGATGGGGGCTGCCCTGGCCACTGCTGTGTCCCTAACGCCTGCACAGGGCTGGGCCCATGGCTAATACCTAGTAAGTTGTTTTGTTTTATTTTATTTTTTGAGACTGAGTCTTGCTCTATTGCCCAGGCCAGAATGCGGTGGTGTGATCTCAGCTCACCGCAACTTCTGCCTCCTGGGTTCAAACAATTCTCCTGCCTCAGCCTCCCGAGTAGCTGGGATTACAGGTGCATGCCACCACGCCCGGCTAATTTTTTACTTTTTTTATTTTTAGTAGAGACGGGGTTTCACCATGTTGGCCAAGCTGGTCTCGAACTCCTGACCTCAGGTGATCTGCCTGCCTCCACCTCCCAAAGTGCTGGGATTACAGGCATGAGCGACCACGCCTGGCCTTAAGCCATTTTAAAAGCATACAATTAAGTGGCACTTAATGCATTCACAGTGTTGTACAACCATCACCTTTATCTAGTTCCAGAGTGTCTTCCTTTCCCCAAAAGGAAACCCTGCATCCATTAGCAGCCACTCGCCATTCCCCGTTCTCTCCAGTCCTATTGTCAGTCTCCTTTCTGTCTCTAAGGATTTGCCTAGAGACCTGCGAGGTGATTTGCACCTGTAATCCCAGCACTTTGGGAGGCAGAAGTGGATAGATCCCTTGAGGCCAGGAGTTTGAGACCAGCCTGGGCAACATAGCAAGACCCTGTCTCAATAAATAAATAAATAAATTAATTAATTAATTAAGTGGGCATGGTGGTACACACCTGTAGTCCCAGCTGCTGAGGAGGCTGAGGTACGAGGATCATTTGAGCCCAGGAGTTTCAGGCTGCAGTGAACTATGATGGGGCCATTGCACTCCAGCCTGGGTGACAGGGTGAGTCCCAGTCTCAAAAAAAAAAAAAAAAAAAATTAGGCTTTGCCTATTCTAGACATTTCCCAATAAGTTTTTGCTGAAGAGATGAATGAGGGAGAGATGACAAGGGTACAAATCAAACAGGAGAAATGAAGGGGATGAGGGGGTGTAGGCAGGTGCTCAGGAGTCTGCCCTGGACGTCTGGGTGGATGGTAGGGCCTGAGTCCCCATATCATCTCTGCCCTTGACTGACTGTGTCATCTTGGGAGGGAGCCTTCCCCCCTCTCAGCCTGTTTCTCCACGGAGTAGGAGGATCAACTTAAGATAGAGAATATTCCAGGCCAGCAGAGGTGGCTCACTCTTGTAATCCCAGCACTTTGGGAGGCTGAAGTAGGTGGATCGCCTGAGTCAGGAGTTCAAGACCAGCCTGGCCAACATGGTGAAACCACATATCTACTAAAAATATAAAACTTAGCCTTGTGTGGTGGCGCGCGCCTGTAGTCCCAGCTACTCCGGAGGCTGAGGCAGGAGACTTGCTTGAACCTGGGAGGCGGAGGTTGCAGTGAGCCGAGATCGTGCCACTGCACTCCAGCCTGGGTGACAGAGTGAGTGAGACTCCATCTCAAAAGAAAAAAAAAAAAGAGGCAAGGCGCGGTGGCTCACGCCTGTAATCCCAGCACTTTGGGAGGCCGAGGCAGGTGGATCACAAAGTCAGGAGATCGAGACCATCTTGGCTCACACAGTGAAACCCCGTCTCTACTAAAAATACAAAAGTTAGCCGGGCGTGGTGGTGGGCGCCTGTAGTCCCAGCTACTCAGGAGGCTGAGGCAGGAGAATCGCGTGAACCCGGGAGGCGGAGCTTGCAGTGAGCTGAGATCGTGCCACTGCACTCCAGCCTGGGCGACAGAGCGAGACCCCGTCTCAAAAAAAAAAAAAAAAAAAGTCCCCATCTTATAAGCTTGTGCAGATCAAGGGCTTATTAAGTGCTCAGGCAAGTGTCTGGTACGCTCACCCCAAAGTGCTCGGTACACAGAGGCACCGTCATCCATACCACCATTGTCATCAGCATCGCCCATGGTCATTATTTTTTTCCCCAGGTCCCCACCTGTCAAAATGCCTATCCTGAAGAATCTGGGAGTGTCAGACCCTAAGGTGCCCCGGGCGGGGACCCTGCCCCTGAGGTCCTCTCGGAACCCCTTTGAAGAAGTTTCAGGGCTGGAGGAAGAAGAGGCCGGGGAGCTGGGGTCCCTCCCCAATGGAACATCTTGTCGCCGCCGCGCCACCCTGGAGAAGCTTGCGGGCCTGGCCCCCTTCCGGCTGGGCTGGGCCCCGGGCCGGCGGGCAGGCAGCCCTGGGGATGGGCAGCCCCGCTCTTTCTTGGGCCGTGTGCTGGTACCAGGGATACGCAGGAGCTCAGCAGATTTTGGCCTCCTGGCCCGGCTGCATGGGACCCGAGCCCACGGCGACGAGGAGGCAGCGGGGGAGGCCGCCCGGAGACTGGCCTTCCTGAGACTGGGGCGTGGATCCAAGCCCCAGCGTGCGTCCCTGGCTGAGAGAGTGGTGCCTGCAGGCGAGGCAGCTCCAGAGCCCCCACCCAAGGTCCCAGAGCCCCCAAAGATGAAGGAGCCATTGTCAGGTGAGTCCGGAGCCCTGACCCTGTCCTGGGAGAATCCCAGTGCCCATGTCCATCCCCAGCCCTGGTGGTCCCAGGCTTCATACTTAAGCCCATCCCAGCTACCACCTGTGACCCCGACCTGCAATTCACATGTCTAACTCACATCTCCCACCTCCATGCCAGCTCCAACCCATTACCACTGCAGTCCTAATCCCTGTCGTCAACCTTTCTCTTCAGTGCCACCTGTTAATATATGCCCACCCTCAATCTTTGCCTCCTCCACCTGCCGTCTTCAGCCCTACTCCCATGTCTAAAGCCAAGGGAATACCTGATTTTGGTCCCATCTCTCCCCCTTCTCTTTCTATCCCCAATTTCTTCAATTTCTTTATTTTATTTATTTTATTATTATTATTTTTTTGCCTCTGTCGCCCAGGCTGGAGTGCAGTGGTGCAATCTTGGCTCACTGCATCCTCTGCCTCTGGGGTTCAAACAATTCTCCTGCCTCAGCCTCCCGAGTAGCTGATATTACAGGCATGTGCCACCTGGATAATTTTTGTACTTTAGTAGAGGTAAGGTTTCATCATGTTGGCCAGGCTGGTCTCAAACTCCTGACCTCAAGTGATCTGCCTGCCTCGTCCTCCCAAAATGTTGGGATTACAGGCTTGAGCCACGGCGTGTGGCCAATTTCTCCTTTTTATGAGGACACCACTCACATGGGATTCGGGTCTGCCCTATGATCTCACTTTAATTTGATTGCCTCTGTAAAGACCCTATTTCCAAATCAGGTGACATTCTGATGTACTGGGGTGAAGACTTCACATATCTTTTTTTTTTCTGGGGGGACGTAATTCAATCCCTAACACCACCCTGTCTTCATCCTCAGTCCCCATTCCTACTCCAAGCCCCAGTGTCTTCCTCAGTGCCTTTTCTGTTCTCACCCCACACTTATTCCAAGCCCACCATCAGTCTCTATCTGAGACACATCCGTATGCTTCTCGTACAGCTCATCCTTTCCTCCAAATGCCATCTAGTTTTGGAGACAAGGTCTCGCTCTATCACTCAGGCTAGAGGCTAGAGTGCAGTGGTGCAATCATGGCTCTCTGCAGCCCTGACCTCCTGGGCTCAAGCAATCCTCCCACCTTAGCCACCAGAGTAGCTGGGACTACAGGCACATATGATCACACCTGGCTAATTTTCACATTTTTTGTAGAGATGGGGGTCTCGCTATGTTGCTCAAGTTGGTCTTGAACTCCTGGCTTCAAGTAATCCTCCTGCCTCAGCTTCTCAAAGTGCTGGAATGACAGGCATGAGCCACTGCGCCTGGCCTAAACGCCATCTTTAATGTCATTGTCTATGTCCAACACCATGGCAACCCCCAACTGGTCCAGCCCCGTTTCATATCCCATTCTTCCCCATGTTCACCTTCCACCCTTTTAAACTCTTTTGGTCTCACTCTTAACCCCCAACCCCAGGCCCCTCTCAGCACCCACCTTCCACCCATTTCCCTCTGGCGACCTCCTTTTTTTTTTTTTTTCCTTTGAGACAGGGTCTCACTCTGTTGCCCAGGCTAGAGTGCAATGGTACAATCTCAGCTCACTGCAACCTCCGCTTCCTGGGTTCAAGCGATTCTCCTGTCTCAACCTCCTGAGTAGCTGGGATTACAGGCATGCATCACCATCCATGCCTGGCTAAATTTTTTTTGTATTTTTTGTAGAGATGGGGTTTTGCCATGTTGGCCAGGCTGGTCTTGAACTCCTGATCTCAGGTGATCCACCCGCCTCAGCCTCCCAAAGTGCTGGGATTACAAGCATGAGTCACCGCACCTGGCCATCAACCTCCTTATTCAGTCCTATTTGAGTTCCTAGTTCTTCCTCAGCCCCCAGTTTCAATTCCAACTCCAAACGCAACCTCCTCTTCATCCCTAATCTATCTTCACCCCTATCCTGAGTCCCAGTCCTAAACCCCCATCCCCAACCTCCATTTTCAATTCCATCCATGTTCCTATTCCCAAGCCCAACTCACTTCCACAATTCATCTTCAAACTCACATCAATCTTTTTTTTTTTTTTTTTTTTTTTTGAGATGGAGTCTAGCTCTGTCATCCAGGCTGGAGTGCAATGGCAAGATCTCAGTTCATTGCAGCCTTCGCCGCCTGGGTTCAAGCAATTCTCCTGTCTCAGCCTCCTGAGTAGCTGGGACTACAGGAATGCACCACCATGCCTGGCTAATTTTTGTATTTTTAGTAGAGACCAGGTTTCACCATATTGGTCAGTCTGGTCTTGAACTCCTGACCTCAGGTGATCCGCCCACCTTCCAAAGTGCTAGGAGTACAGGCATGAGCCACCGCACTCGGCCTTCACATCAATCTTTATGTCCTTTCCATCCTCAGCTTTCACCTACATTCCCCTCCCCCACCTCTCCAACCTCATCCCTACCCAGACCCCAATGTCATTCTTGCCTCTTTCCCATTTCTGTCCAGACTCCCACCTGACCTCATCCTAACCCTAAACTCCCTCATCCCAACCCCCACCTTCACCCCATCCTCACCTCCGGCCCTATCCCCATCCGTGTCCCAATCCCCATCTTAATTCACCGCCACCCCCAACCCTGCCTTTATCTCTGCTCCCGTGCCTGAGCCCGGCTTTTAGCCCCGAGGCCCGAACTGCTCCAGGGCTGGGGACCTCAGGAGAGCCTTTTCTGTCCTCTGATGCCCTCCACGTTCTGGCCAGAGGCTATTTCAGCCCCAGCTCCCTGGGGACTGGGAGGGCACTGGAGGGAGGTGAGGAGGGGGTGACTAGAGCCCCGCCTTCTGGAAACGGATGGGCAGAAATAGCGCTGGCCAGGAAATAGTTTCTCTGCCAGGGAGGAAGTGGAGGGGGGTGGAGGTGTCGAGGGTAACCCTGGGCTGCCAGGACCCTCCTTCAGCCTCAGAGGCCTTCCAGCCCGACTCGCCTTTCTCGAGGCAGTCTGAACTCATCAGAGGGCCAGATCAGCCCACAGCCATCCCCACCCCAAAAAGACCCCATCAGTGGTCCCATATCCTCTCCCCATCTCCAAGTCACCACCCTGCCCCTCCTACTCCCACCGGCTGCCTCCATCTCTCTCCCCCTTACGTGGCTCCTCTCTCAACCTTCTCGCCTCCTCCGACCCCTCCTCCATTTTTCCGCCCTGCAACCTCCCCAGATCCCCTCCTCAGTCACAGGCATTTTTCTTTTCCCCCTCTCTCTTTTTTATTTATTTATTTTTGAGATAGAGTCTCGCTCAACATGTTGCCCAGGCTGGGGTGCAGTGGCGCGATCTCGGCTCACTGCAACCTCTGCCTTCCGGGTTCAAGCGATTCTCCTGCCTCTCGAGTAGCTGGGATTATAGGTGTACGCCACTACGCCTGGCTAATTTTTGTATTTTTAGTAGAGACGAGGTTTTGCCATGTTGGCCAGGCTGGTCTTGAACTCCTGACCTCAAGTGATCCGCCGGCCTCGGCCTCCCAAAGTGCTAGGATTACAAGCATGAGCCCCTCACCCTGACCCCTCCCCTACATCCTTCACTCAACATCCTTCTTTCTTGCTCTTCTCCGGGCTCTTCTCTGCCCCCACACTTTCCCGCCTCCTGTAACCCTTTTCCCCTCATCTCTCTCCCCTTCCTAAGCACCCCCAACCCCGCGTCCGGCATCGCCCTCCTCCCCCCCGCGCACTGCTGACCTCCCGCTTTGCTCCCGCAGTGCTGGAGATCCTGAGCCTGATCCAGCAGCGCGAACTAGCGCGTGCGGACGAGCACATCCTGGAGCTAGAGGCCGAGGAGCTGGCGCCGTCGAGGGGCGGCGCGCCTGGGCCTCCCAAGGCCGAGGGCGCTGGCGGGGGCCGCCGGGCGCGGGACGTGGCGCTGCTGTACGAGGCCCTGCAGCGCGAGCTGTGGGCGCTGGTGCGCGAGACGCTGGCGGGCCCCGGGCCGGGAGCGTGCGCCGGGGCTGGCGCGGTGGCGCAGCTGGGCCAGGTGCTGGTACAGGAGGAGGCGGCCGACGGGCGTCGGGGTCCCGGGGCGGCCCGCAAACTACGCGCACGCTGGGCCGAAGCCGTGGCGCGCGCGGCCCGGGAGCGCCTAGAGGCAGCGGCTCCCGGGGCGCCCGGGGGCCTGGCCGGGCAGCTGGAGGCGCTGCGGGCGCGGCTGCTGGAGGATATGGCCGTGGTGCGGGGCCGCCTGGCGCCCGCCTACCCCGCCGGCCTGGGCGCCTTCGGCGTCTACCTGCGCGGCTACCACGGGGCCCTGGCCGAGTGGCTGGGGGCCTCCGCCCGTCGCAGGCTGCCGCTGGCCGACCGCTACGCGCTGCTGCACTGGCACAATCAGGTCTACCCCAGGTAAGCTGGACTCAGTTGCCCAAGGTCACGTGAAACCCTCAGCCCTACCCCCTAGCACTGGCTTCTTCAGACCTTAAGGACCTTGGGACAGCTGACCCTACAGTCCTAGCACTTTAACACCATTAACCCATCCAGTCGTCAGCACCGCTGACAGTTACAATCCTAGACTCTCACTGCTACCGAGGCTTCCGGTTCCAGCACCTTAGTACCATGGACGCTTGCAGTCCTAGAATAAGAGCTCCGGCACCACTGTGGTCCAAAAACCTCAGCGCTCTGTCAACACTTACACTCTAGATCGCCTCGCTGTCCACCCTTCCAGTCCCCGAATCTTAGCACCATTGATTCCTCTAGTCCTAGAACCTTTGCGTTGCTACTTTTCCGTTCCTAAAATCTCAACACCATTCATTCTTCTAGACCTACATACAACCTTAGCATCATCGACAGTTACACTCCTAGCATCTAAGTAACACTGATGCTTCCAGTCTTAGAATCCTAGCATTCCCACCCTTTCAGACCTAGAACCTATTGGCACCATTGACTCTTCCAGTTCTACAATTTTAGCACTATCGACAGTTTCAATCCTAGTAGCTCAGCACGGTGGGCCCACCAGTCCAAGAACCTGGGCTTCATGACACTTACGCTACTAGAATCTTAGCTGTTCACCCTTCCAGTCTTAGAGTTTTAGCACTGTTGACCATTCCTTCCTAGAACCATAGCCCCACTGACCCTTCACCTTAATACAATGACACTTAGAATTCTAGAATCCTACACTGCTTTCTCTTTAGAGCCTAGGGCATTAGTACTGTTGACGTTTCCAATCTTAGAACTTAGAATGTATGGTGCAACCATAGAAGCTTAGTACCAATGAAGCTTTGAATCCTAAACCTTAGCCTCATTCCCTCTTTTGGTCTTAGAACCTCAACACTGTTGATCCTTCTAGTTTTAGGACGTTATTTATTTATTTATTTATTTATTTTGAGACGGAGTCTTGCTCTGTCGCCCAAGCTGGAGTGCAGTGCTGCAATCTCTGCCAACTGCAACCTCCGCCTCCCGGGTTCAAGTGATTCTCCTGCCTCAGCCTCCCGAGTAGCTGGGATTACAGGCGCCCACCATCATGCACAGCTAATTTCTGTATTTTTAGTAGAGACGGGGTTTCACCATGTTGGCCAGGCTGGTCTTGAACTCCTAACCTCAGGTGATCCACTTGCCTCGAACTCCCAAAGTGTTGGGATTACACGCATGAGCCACTGTGCCCGGCCTAATTTTTTTGTATTTTTAGTAGAGGCGGGGTTTTACCATGTTGGCCAGGCTGGTGTCGAACTCCTGACCTCAAGTGATCCACCCACCTTGGCCTCCCAAAGTGCTTCGATTACAGGTGTGAGCCACCATGCCCGGGCCAGTTTTAGGACTTGAGTGCTGTTTGCCCCTTGAATTCTATAAGGGTAGCACCCAGAACCTCAGTACCATGGTCCCTCTCAGTCCTAGAATCTTATTACTGTTGAGACTTTGTGTCCTAAAACATACCCATTCTTGTGGCCGGGGGATGGACTATGGTGATTAGCCACCTCCAGGTCACCTGTCTACCCCAGAGAAAAGGGAGTTAGCCACATCCAAGCCACACGTTGGACAGTGAAGGGGGTGGGTGGTTCTTCCAACAAAATCAGGATGCTGTCACCGGAAGACTGGGAAGGCAACAGATACCCACATTGACCACATAGATCTCATTTGGGAATGTATGTCAATAATGCTCTCATGTTATCTATAAGGGATGGAGGCAGGATAGGGAGTCCGGAAAGCTTCCTAAAGTGGTGGGAACTGGGTTTGGTCCAATTTGTAGGGCAATGGTGTTTATAATTGAGAGGATGCCATGAGCCCAAGTCTGGGGTGTTTGGGGGTGGATATTGATGATATCACATAGCTCCAGGCATGTAAGCTCGTAGAAGGTGGGGAGAGAGGGCTGGACTGGGGAAGCCTCCAAGGCCAGGTAAGGCAGCAGGGCCTCAGAGCATAGGTGCAAAGGGAACTTCTGTCTGGTGAAATGGATCATGGGTGAAGCCTTGCATGTCAGATCTTCAAGCCTGGACTTGACCCCTAAATATCATGCCGGGACACCATCCATCAGGGAGCTGACTCAGAGAGCTGGAGCCGGGGAAGCAACAATTCCAAAGACTTCCTCTGAGGGATGAGCAGAGATGACTTAGAGAGAGGAAGGGAGTGGCCCAGGGTCACAGAAACAGTGGGTAGGAGGGTGTGGGGAAGGTTCCAACTGCCCAGCCCCACTTTTCACAGACCTCCTTTTCTCTCACCCCCATCCCCAGAGAGGTCCTAGGGCTGGTGGACATGGCCGCCCTGGAGAATGGGGAGCTGGGGCCCCTTCTCTCCCCTGGCACCCTGCGGGGTTTGGAGGATGAATGCGTCACAGATGTTAAGGTACCTGGAACTTTGCATTTTGGAAGCAGGAGGTGCTGTGGAGGGAGGGGGTCACAGTGGGCTTGGGAAGCCTGTCCCCTCCACCTTTCACTCTTTCCAACTCCCTTTTCCCTTTACGAACTTCTGAGTTCTATCCATGTGCCATAGACACAAAGGCCGCTGTACAGAGACACTTGGTAAAGGTTCAGTATATCTGGACACTTCAAACCTTAGAGTACAAGAAAGTTAGTCACAGAACTACAGCTCACAGGCCCAAAGACTCACAGAAGTATAGCATCAAAGATTTTTTTTTTTTTTTTTTTTTTGAGGCAGGGTCTCGCTCTGTTGCCAGGCTGGAGCATTGACCTCCTGGACTCAAGCGATCCTCCTGCCTCAGCCTCTCCAGTAGCTGGCACCATAGGCACGTGCCATCAGGCCTGGCTGACAAAGATCTTCACATATAAGCAGGGCTGGTAATAAACATGGTTAATTACTGAACCTGCACAGACACCGCTGAGCAGAATGGCCCAGCCATGCACGCCGTCCCCGGCTACAGTGATGTTTGCTGTCTCAATTCCAGTCCTACTTCCAGCCACAGAAATCAGTCAATGCTACTTAAGAGCCTAGAACCATAGAAAAGAGATCTGGATCCTTAAACTCATCAAATTGAGGATTATACTTTTTTATTTTTTTAATTACAGATGTCTCCCTCTTTTGCCCAGGCTGGAGTGCAGTGGCATGATTACAGCTCACTACAGCCTCGAACTCCTGGGTTCAAGGGATCTTCCCACCTCAGCCTCCTGAGTAGCTGGGATTACAGGCACACACCACCATGCCTGGATAATTTAAAAAAAAAAAATTTGCAGAGACAGGGTCTTGCCATTTTGCCCAGGCTAGTCTCAAAATCCTGGCCTCAAGTGATCCTCCAGCCTCAGCCTTCCAAAGCTCTAGGAGTATAAGCATGAGTCACCCCAGCCGAGACAACACATTTGATCAGAGAATCAGAGATGTGAGAACCTTTGCAGCCCAGCCTTTGGAGTTCTTGAAACACAGAATCTGAGAATCTTAAACTAACTGTTTGGCAGAACCTGAGAGCAGAGTCTTGGGACCAAAAGACAATAAAACATAGACCCTTGGCCGGGCGCGGTGGCTCACACCTGTAATCCCAGCACTTTGGGAGGCTGAGGTGGGAGGATTTCTTGAGGCCAGGAGTTCAAGACCAGCCTGGACAACATAGCAAGACTGTCTCTGTTTTAAAACTTTTGTGGCCGGGCACAGTGGCTCACGCCTGTAATCCCAGCACTTTGGGAGGCCGAGGCGGGTGGATCACGAGGTCAGGAGATTGAGACCATCCTGGCTAACACAGTGAAACCCCGTCTCTAGTAAAAATACAAAAAATTAGCTGGGCATGGTGGCGGGTGCCTATAGTCCCAGCTACTCTGGAGGCTGAGGCAGGAGAATGGCGTGAACCCGGGAGACGGAGCTTGCAGTGAGCCGAGATCGCACCACTGCACTCCAGCCTGGGCGACAGAGCGAGACTCCATCTCAAAAACAAAACAAAACAAAACAAAAATGTTTTGTAAAACATTTTAAAAGTTAGCTGGGTGTGGTGGCACGTGCCTGTAGTCTCAGCTACTCAAGAATCTGAGGCGGGAGGATTGAGTCCAGGAGTGTGAGGCTGCAGTGAGCCATGATGGTACCACTGCACACCAGCCTGGGGGACAGAGCAAGACGTGGCCTCTAAAGAAAAACAATATTTAATATAAATAATACTTCATACATATCATAATATGTAATAATAGGATTTATATTTAATATAAATATTAAGTATACATTATTTGTGTATACATATTAACATATAAATGTGTATATTATAAATAATATACAATAATATATTATATTATAGCTTTATTTATAATGTACACATATATATATTTTGAGACGGAGTTTCACTCTTGTTGCCTAGGCTGGAGTGCAGTGGCACAAACTCGGCTCACCGCAACCTCCTCCTCCCGGGTTCAAGTGATTGTCCTGCCTCAGCCTCCCAAGTAGCTGGGATTACAGGCATGCGCCACCATGCCCGGCTAATTTTGTATTTTTAGTAGAAAAGGGGTTTCTACATGTTGTTCAGGCTGGTCTTGAACTCCCAACCTCAGGTGATCTGCCCATCTTGGCCTCCCAAAGTGCTGGGATTACAGGCATAAGCCACCGCACCTGGTCACATGTATCTATATTATTTATAATATATTATTTATAATATGTATTATTGATTTATATTTAATATTTATATGTTAATATAGATTACATATTTCATGTGCTATAGTATATAATACATACTAATTATTAATATATAAATAACGTATTATGAATTATTAATATACACATTATATAGCTTATACTAATATTTAATATATAAATATATTACATATATAACATATATTTAATACATAAATATATGTATATATTTAATACATAAATATATGTATATATTTAATACATAAATATATGTATATATTTAATACATAAATATATGTATATATTTAATACATAAATATATGTATATATTTAATACATAAATATATGTATATATTTAATTATACACACACGTGCACACACACACAATTAAGCCCTTGCTTATTAGATGGAGGAAGCTTAAAACCATGGACTAATTTTATTTTATCTATTTATTTATTATTTTTTAATTTATTTTTTTGAGATGGAGTCTCACTCTGTTGCCCAGGCTGGAGTGCAGTGGCACAATCTCGGCTCACTGCAAGCTCCGTCTCCCGGGTTCACGCCATTCTCCTGCCTCAGCCTCCTGAGTAGCTGGGACTACAGGCGCCCACCACCACGCCCGGCTAATTTTTTGTATTTTTAGTGGAGACGGGGTTTCACCGTGTTAGCCAGGATGGTCTCCATCTCCTGACCTCGTGATCCACCCGCCTCGACCTCCCAAAGTGCTGGGATTACAGGCGTGAGCCACCGCGCCCAGCCTATTTTATTTTTATTTTTGAGTTGGAGTCTCACCCTGTTGCCCAGGCGGGAGTGCAATGGCATGATCTCCACTCACTGCAACCTCTGTCTCCCAGGTTGAAGCAATTCTCCTGCCTCTGCCTCCTGAGTAGCTGGGATTACAGACACGCACCACCACGCCCAGCTAATTTTTGTATTTTTAGTAGAGACGGGGTTTCTCCATGTTGGCCAGGCTGGTCTTGAACTGTTGACCTTAGGTGATCCGCCAACCTCAGCCTCCCAAAGAGATTACATGTGTGAGCCATCGCGCTTGGCCAAACCAGACTTTTAATATGAAGTTCCAAACCACAGAGTTAGGAGTGGGAAGGGCTGCAGAAGTTTTCTGGCTCAGCCTCCCTCCCCAGCATCACCTTGACAAGCTCATAGGTAGAATCCAGAACTGCTTGGGGTTAAGGGCTAGGGGATTGTGGTGGGAGAAAGAGATAAAAAAAAAGACCTCCAGGCCGCCCCCAACTCCTGCCTGTCTCCCCTCTCCCTACTGTAGGCTCAGACCCGGGCTGCCCTTCTCCGTGTGCTGCAGGAGGACGAAGAGCACTGGGGGAGCCTGGAGGACCAGCCCAGCAGCCTGGCCCAGGATGTGTGTGAGGTAGGAGGTGGAGGGAGGCTGGGGGATGGGCTGGATGGAAAGTGGGACCTTGCCCCTCCTCACCTCTTCTTGTCGCCCTGGACCTCACAGCTGCTGGAAGAGCACACAGAGCGAGCACCCCGCATCAGCCAGGAGTTTGGGGAGCGGATGGCCCACTGCTGCCTAGGCGGGCTGGCAGAGTTCCTGCAGAGGTAGGGGAACCTGGGAGCACAGGTTAGCTCTGCTGGGGGTTGGGCATCAGGGCCTGGGATCCAATAGAGAGAGGAGAGATGAGAGGGAGTCACCTGAGGACAGGTAGAGTGCCACCGCAGGGATGGTGGCTTTGGCAGGCTGGGTGCCCACGAGGGACCCTGACCCAGTGGCGCCCTATCTGTCCCCTTTCCTCCCACCAGCTTCCAGCAGCGTGTGGAGCGATTCCATGAGAACCCAGCAGTCCGGGAGATGCTACCTGACACCTATATCAGCAAGACCATCGCCCTGGTCAACTGCGGCCCCCCACTGAGGTGAGGGCATCCATGGTGTGATGGAGGGAGGACCAATCCAAGGTGGAAGCTGACCTGGGATGCCCGGATCCTGGGTGGGGATTGCAGAACTGACTCAGGGGAGTCTGAGCATGGGACCTTAGACGCATAAAATCTGGGAGTCCTTGAAACAGCCATAGCACCACAGAGCATCCGAATATTGGAGTGTTCGAATTACAGAATCCTAGACGCCGGACTCAAGACTCTAAGAATGATAGATTTTGGCTGGGCACAGTGGCTCATGCCTGTAATCCCAGCACTTTGGGAGGCCGAGGCAGGCGGGTCACGAGGTCAGGAGATCGAGACCATCCTGGCTAACACGGTGAAACCCCGTCTCTACTAAAAAATACAAAAAAAAATTAGCCGGGCATGGTGGCGGGCACCTGTAGTCCCAGCTACTCGGGAGGCTGAGGCAGGAGAATGGTGAGAACCCGGGAGGCGGAGCTTGCAGTGAGCCAAGATCGCACCACTGCACTCCAGCCTGGAAGACAGAGCAAGACTCCGTCTCAAAAAAAAAAGAATGACAGATTTTTTTTTTGCCTTTTTATCCTTTTTGATTAGTTTAACTAAAAAAAAAGAGAGAGAGATGGGGGCCAGGCATCGTGGCTCACACCCGTAATCCCAGCACTTTGGGAGGCCGAGGCGGGTAGATCATGAGGTCAGGAGATCGAGACCATCCTGGCTAACACAGTGAAACCTTGTCTCTACTAAGAATACAAAAAAATTAGCCGGGCTTGGTGGTGGGCACCTGTAGTCCCAGCTACTCCGAAGGCTGAGGCAGGAGAATGGCGTGAACCTGGGAGGCGGAGCTTGCAGCGAGCTGAGATCGCGCCACTACACTCCAGCCTGGGCGTCAGAGCGAGACTCCGTCTCAAAAAAAAAAAAAAAAAAAAAAAGAGATGGGAGTCAGCTGGGCACAGTGGCTCACACCTGTAATCCCAGCACTTTGGGAGGCCGAGGCGAGCAGTTCATCTCAGGTCAGGAGTTCAAGACCAGCCTGGTCAACATGGTGAAACCCCATCTCTAAAAAAATACAAAAATTAGCTGGGCATGATGGCAGGTGCCTGTAATCCCAGCTACTCAGGAAGCTGAGGCAGGAGAATCGCTTGAACCTGGGAGGTGGAGGTTGCAGTGAGCCAAGATCCCGTCACTGCACTGCAGCCTGGGTGACAGAGCGAGACTCCATCTCAAAAAAAAGAAAATAAAAGAGATGGAGGTCTCTCTATGTTGCCCAGGCTGGTCTCGGACTCCCAGGCTCAAGTGATGCTCCTGCCTCAGCTTCCCAAAATGCTGGCATTACAAGCATGAGCCACCTTGCCTGGCCATTCCCATTTCCTATCATTGTAGCAGTCTGTGTTCTTCCATTGCCGAATGGAGAACAGTCCAGACCAAGCACTTTCTGCCCAAATCACAAACACTGGGCGCTTGACCCAGCAGATCCTCTAGGAATGCACCCTTCAGAGGCCAAAAGCTCATGGGATATGACATATGTGCAGGGTTCCTCCCTGGAAAAAATGGAACCAACTGTCCATCTATCGAGGGCCAGTTAAATAAATGATAGGACAGCTAAGCAGTGGAATCCAGTTCAGATGTTAAAAAGGAGCGTGAGAACTCTTCATGCCCTAACGGAAAAGTCTCCAAGCTGTTGAAGGAAAGGGCAGAAGTGGGTATACTATTCTACCATTTGTATTACAAATAATAGTAATCATAATAAATGGCCGGGGCAGGATGCAGTGGCCCATGCCTATAATCCCACACTTTGGGAGGCCAAGGTGGGCAGATCTCTTGAGGCCAGGAGTTCAAGACCAGCCTGACCAACATGGTGAAAACCTGTCTCTACTAAAAATACAAAAATTAGCCAGGTGTGGTGGCGGGTGCCTGTAGTCTCAGCTACTTGGGAGACTGAGGCAGGAGACTCACTTGAACCTGGGAGGTTGAGGTTGCAATGAGCCAAGATCGCGCCACTGCACTCCAGCCTGGGCAACAAGAGCAAAACTGTGTCTCAAAAAAAAAAAAAAAAAAAGAGAAGAGTAAGGGTACAGTTTCAGAGCTGTAGACCATTAGAACCCCAGACTTGGCCGGGTGCGGCGGCTCATGCCTGTAATCCCAGCACTTTGGGAGGCCAAGGCAGGTGGATCACAAGGTCAGGAGATCGAGACCATCCTGGCTAACACGGTGAAACCCCATCTCTACTAAAAATACAAAAAATTAGCTGGGTGTGGTGGTGGGCGCCTGTAGTCCCAGCTACTCGGAAGGCCGAGGCAGGAGAATGGCATGAACCTGGGAGGCGGAACTTACAGTGAGCCAAGATGGCACCACTGCACTGCAGCCTGGGTGACAGAGCGAGACTCCGTCTCAAAAAAAAAAAAAAGAACCACAGACTTTTAGAATGGAGGCCTCCACACTCTCACCCAGAAAGCACCAAGAGAAACTGAGACCCGAAGACACAGAGAGACCCCCCTTCCCTCCCCCAATATACCCTAGACCTCCTAGCCATCCCTCAGCCCCCCAACATCCATGAGTCCCCTGACGTCCCCAGACACCCCAATCCCCAGACACCCCCAACCTGTCAAGCATCCCCTGACCCCTCTCCAGAGTCCCTGACCTTTCTCAGCCCCCCATCTGACCTGTCACCCCTGTGCCCCTCTGATCTACCTAAGGGAAGACAGGCCTAGGCAGTTGGGCTGAGATGTTGGGGTCCCTCAGTTTTGGCTCTGTTGATCCCCACAGAGCTCTGGCCGAGCGCCTGGCCCGGGTGGGGCCCCCAGAAAGCGAGCCGGCCCGGGAAGCATCTGCTAGTGCTCTGGACCATGTGACCCGGCTCTGCCACCGTGTCGTGGCCAACCTGCTGTTCCAGGAGCTGCAGGTGAGTGAGGTGGGAGGCCAGGGTTGGGGCCCATGCCAGGACAGGGAAGCGCTGCCCCCCACCATCCTCCAGTTCCTTTTAGCCCATGGCTCAGTGTTTGGGAAGCAGACAGGGGCGGGGGGCAGGGGCAGTTAAGGCCATGCCTGGGCTGTTGGTGGAGTGGAGAGGGTGCACCCACCGGGATAACAGAGGGCCATCAGCAGGAGGGGGCTTGAGGTTTGGATGGAGCCCCTCCCCACTGAGGTCCCCCAGATCCCTGCTCAGGCTCTCCTAGACCCCAGAGCCCCATACACCCATCTCCTGGTCCTCGTGCCCGCCCTATAGGGGTTCGGTGCAAAGGTGGGTGAGTGAATGTGGTAGGGGGGTGGGAGCACTGAGGAGAGAGACTGCAGGGGGAGTGTGTTCCTGGCCGTAACACAAGCTCAACCCATGTTATACAGTGGAACACTCCCCTTCTCTCTGCTCAGAATCCTCCCACAACTCCCAGCTCACGCAGAGCAAATGCCAAAATCCCACTGTAGCCCCCACAACCCGGCACAATCAGCCCCTTCCCTCACTACTCTCCTTCTCAGACCTCATCTCCTGCCCTGCCCGCCACCCTCCCCCCACTCCTGGCTCTCCCACTAATCCCACTCCAGCCACGCCAGCCCCCTTGCTGTCTCTTAACCCAGCAAGTACATTCCTGCCTCAGGGCCTTTGCACTTGCCCTTCCCTCTGCCTGGAATGCTCTCCCTCTCACAGCCACATAGCTGCCTCTCATGCCTGTTTCAAGTCTTGTTTTGTTTTGAGACAGTCTCCCTGTGTCGCCCAGGCTGGAGTGGAATGGCACAATCTCAGCTCACTGCAACCTCTGCCTCCCAGGTTCAAGCGATTTTCCTGCCTCAGCCTCCCTAGTAGCTGGGATTACAGGCATGCACCACCACGCCCAGCTAATTTTTTTGTATTTTTAGTAGAGATGGTGTTTTACCATGTTGGCCAGGCTGGTCTCAAACTCCTGGCCTCATGTGATCTGCCCACCTCGGCCTCCCAAAGTGCTGGGATTACAGGTGTGAGCCACCATGCCCTGCCTCAAGTCTTGACTCAAATGTCACCTCAGTGCGACCTTCGCTGATTGCCCCATTTAAAACAGAAGCTCTGACTGGGTGCGGTGGCTCACGCCTGTAATCCCAGCACTTGGGAGGCCAAGGTGGGCGGATCACTTGAGGTCAGGAGTTTGAGACCAGCCTGGCCAATATGGCAAAACCCCGTCTCTACTAAAATTACAAAAATTAGCCAGGTGTGGCAGCACACACCTGTACTCCCAGCTACTCTGGAGGCTGAGGCAGGAGAATTGCCTGTACCCAGGGGGCTGAGGTTGCAGTGAGCCAAGATCGCACCATTGCACTGCAGCCTGGGTGACAGAGCGAGACTTCCCTCTCAAAAAACAAAAAAACAGAAGCCCCTAGACCAAACCCCCCTCCCGACTCCCTGCTATTTTTCTCCAAAGCACTTACTGCCACCTGCCATGCTATAGCGGTTGCCACCACGCCACCATGCTAATTTTTGTATTTTTAGTAGAGACGGGGTTTCACCATGTCGGCCAGGATGGTCTCGATCTCTTGACCTCGTGATCTGCCCACCTTGGCCTCCCAAAGTGCTGGGATTATAGGTGTGAGCTACCTCGCCCTGCCTATTTATTTGTATTTCTGGTAGAGACAGGGTCTCACTATGTTGCCCAGGCTGGTCTTGAACTCCTGGGCTCAAGCGATCCTCCTGACTTGGCCTCCCAAAGTGTTGGGATTACAGATGTAAGCCACCACACCCAGCTTGCTATCTTAAATATACAGACTTTATAGCAACAGCAAACACATTCTCAGGACTCACTGTGCCAGGTGCTTGAGAGTATCGGCTCGTTTAATTCTCACTGCAATCCTATGAGATGGGTTGTAGATTCATTTTACAGGTGAGGAAGATGAGACCAGCAAGTGGCAAAGCCCATTGCGAATCTACGGTCTTAGTCTATAAACCACTATGTATGTTTGCTTTTTTGTTTTTGTTAAATTGTTTTTGAGACAGAGTCTTGCTCTGTCACCCAGGCTGGGATTACAGGCATGAGCCACTGTGCCTGGCCTTATAAACCACTATGTATGTTTTGAGGGAGAGAGAGACACAGACAGAGAGAGCAGAAGCAAAAGAAACAGGGAGAGACTGAGAAAACAAGATAGGTGAGGGAGGAAGGAAAGGAGAGAGACTGGGACAGAGGGACAGAGGGAGAGACATCAGAACCAGCTAGAGATAGACTGTGCGTGGTGGCTCATGCCTGTAATCTTAGCACTTTGGGAAGCCAAGGCAGGCAGATCACTTGAGGTCAAGAGTTTGAGACCAGCCTGGCCAACATGGTGAAACCCCGTCTCTACTAAAAATACAAAAAATTAGCCAGGCGTGGTGGCAAGCGCCTGTAATTCCAGCTACTCGGGAGGCTGAGGCAGGAGAATCGCTTGAACGTGGGAGGCAGAGGTTGCAATGAAATGAGATCATGCCACTGTACTTCAGCCTGGGCGACAGAGTGAGACTCCGTCTCAAAAAAAAAAAAAAAAGGAGAGAAAAACAACCAGCTAGAGACATGAAGAGACAGGACACAGTGCTGTGCTCGCATGCCTGTGTGAGTGTGTGAACAGCTGTAGGCTTTTGAGGGAGTGTTTGTGTGTGTGTGTGCGCCGTGTGCATGAGTGTGCATGTGTATGTGAGCATCAGCCAGGGTGGGGACCCTGGGAGAATCACCAGGGCCCAGGCATTATGTGGGTTCCCTCATGCCTTGCTCCATTTTTGGAGGTTCAGAAAACAGAGCTGGCCGGGCGTGGTGGCTCACACCTGTAATCCCAGCACTTTTGAAGGCTGAGGCAGGAGGATCGATTGAGCCCAGGAGTTCAAGACCAGCCTGGGCAACATAATGAGGCCTCTTCTCTACAAAAAATAAAAAACAATAAGCTGGGTGTGGTGGTGGGTGCCTGTAGTCCCAGGTACTTGGGAGGCTGAAGTGGGAGGATCGCTTGATCCCAGGAAGTTGAGGATGTAGTGAGCTGTGTTCACACCGTAGCACTCCAGCCTGGGAGACAGTGCAAGACCCTGTATCAAAAAAAAAAAAAAAAAAAAAGCCCTGCTGGGCACAGTGGCTCACACCTATAATCTCAGCACTTTGGGAGGCCAAGGCAGGCAGATCACAAGGTCAAGAGACCATCCTGGCCAACACGGTGAAACCCCATCTCTACTAAAAATGCAAAAATTAGCCGGGCATGGTGGCACGTGCCTGTAGCCCCAGCTACTCAGGAGAGTAGGCAGGAGAATCACTTGACTGGGAGGCAGAAGTTGCAGTGAGCCAAGATCGCGCCACTGCACCCTAGCCTGGCGACAGAGCGAGATTCCGTCTCAAAACAAACAAACAAAACCCAGCAACACATTAGACATGGTGGCTCTCACCTGTAATCCCAGCACTTTGGGAGGCTGTGAGGTGGGAGGATTGCTTGAGTTCAGCAGTTCAACACCAGCCTGGGCAATATAGTGAGACCCTATCTTTCAAAAAAAAAAAACCACAAAAAAACAAAAAAGAAAACTGGGCTGCTGTCAGGGTGAGAGAGCAGGTGCTGAGGCTGAGCTGAAGAGGGAATTAGACGCCCTCCCATGGATACCATCTTGGGGATATCTCCGAACTTCACATGCCCTGTGTCTACCCAGACTGCAGCCTCTCCCCCGACCCTCCCCCCGCCCCTGTCTCAGGGAGAGACCCACGGCCTGCCCATCTCCAGGGTCTCTGGTGTCCTCCAGATACCTCCCTTCCCTCCCCACAGGTGGTGGTCACTCACTTCATCCTATGAATTCTACCACTTGGATTCTCCTCTTCCCCTTCCTCACCCCCTTTCATCCCCTCCCTATCTCCACTTTCCCCTTTTTTCCAGCCTCCTCCATCATTTCTACCTCAGTCTCGTCTCCTCCCATCTCGGTAAAGCACAAATCTGACCCTCTCCCTCCCCAGCTCAAACTGGCCATGGCTGCCTAGTGCCCTCAGGAGAAAGCTGGGGCTTCTCCCCAAGCCCAGGAGGCCATGTGCAATCCAGCCCTGCCCCAGCCTCACCTCTCCCCTCCCTGTCTTATGCCTGGAATAAACCCCAATGCCAGCTTCAGGGTCGCACAGCTTCCCTCACCCCCAAAACACACACTTCGAAAGGCCCAATCTTGGTTTAATGCTCTTCTGTCACTGTCTTAAAGTTATTATTATTTTTTGTTTTGGGCAGGGGGAAAAAGAGTTTTGTTTTTGTTTCTGTTTGTTTTTTTGAGATAGAATCTTGCTCTGTCGCCCAGGCTGGAGTGCAATGGCATGATCATAGCTCATTGCAGCCTCAACCACCTGGGCTTACATGATCCTCTCACATCAGCCTCCTAAGTAGCTAGGACCACAGTGTGGGCCACCATGCCCAGCTAATTAAACAAACAAAAAAAAATTATAGAGAGGGAGTCTTACTATGTTGCCCTTGGCTCAAGCAATTCTTGAGCCTCAGCCTCCCAAAGTGCTGAGATTACAGGCATGAGCCACTGTGCCCAGCCCTTAATTAATTTATTTATTTATTTTTGAGACAGAGTTTTGCTCTTGTTGCTGAGGCTGGAGTGCAATGGCTTGATCTCAGCTCACTGCAACCTCCGCCTCCCAGGTTCAAGAGATTCTACTGCCTCAGCCTCCCGAGTAGCTGGGATTACAGGCGCCCACCATCACGCCTAGCTAATTTTTTGTATTTTTAGTAGAGATGGGGTTTCACCATGCTGGCCAGGCTAGTCTCGAACTCCTGACCTCAAGTGATCCACCCACCTCAGCCTCCCAAAGTGCTGGAATTACAGGTGTAAGCCACCATGCCTGGCCCCTTAATAATTTTCCAATGAGATCCGCCTGGCCAAAAGACGGTTTTTAAAATGGTGAACTCAATTCATTTGGTGCATTTGCAAGGTGCAATACTTTCCTTCATTTACCAGTGGAAGAAGTTAGAAATTAACTTCCCCCCAAAATCAGCAAATGGCAAACACATTTCCTTGAAAGTCACAGTCGCATATACAGTGCATTCTAGAAAAGAGGGGGCAAGACAGGTTCCACCCACTTTCACAAGTTTCGTCAAATACCGGATCTACTCAAGGGTGGAGAGAAAAGGCAACTTTCAAAAAGGAGGATGTTATTAACTGAGGCATTTACTATACTCCTTCCTAAGAGCTCCAGATGGGGAACATGTTTTCTCAACCAGACCTAGGAAGTGGAATGTGGAAGCAATCCGTCCTCCTTCCCTTAAGGGCTGTGCATAGTTAATGAATTTTAAAAATATGTCTTAAAGTTCTTACTTTTTCTCTTTTTTTTTTTTTTTTTTTTTGAGACGGGGCCTCCCTCTGTTACCCAGGCTGGAGTGCAGTATCATGATCATATTTCACTGCAGCCTGAACTCCTGGGCTCAAGCCATCCTCCCACCTCAGCCTTCTGAGTAGCTGGGACTACAGGCACATGACACCATACCCAGCTAATTTTTATTATTTTTAATTGATTTACTTATTTTTGAGACGGAGTCTTACTCTGTCGCCCAGGCTGGAGTGCAGTGGTGTGATCTCGGCTCACTGCAACCTCCACCTCCTAGGTTCAAGCAATTCTGCTGTGTCAGCATCCAGAGTAGCTGGAACTACAGTTGCACGCCACCGCGCCCGGCTAATTTTTGTATTTTAGTAGAGACAGGGTTGAACTCCTGACCTTAGGTGATCCACCCGCCGCAGCCTTCCAAAGTGCTAGGATTACAGGCGTGAGCCACTGCGCGCAGTCCCAGCTAACTTTTAAATGTTTTGTAGAGATGGGGTCTCGCAATGTTGCCCAGGCTGGTCTCAAACTCTTGGGCTCAAGCTACCCTCCTGCCTCGGCCTACCAAAGTGCTGGGATTACAGGTGTGAACCACTGTGCCCGGCCCTTAATAATTTTTAAATGAAGTCCCCTGTTTTCATCAACCACACTGACCTTTTCGCTGGTCCTCTCCCTGACATGCCCATCTGAAATCTGAACTTTCTTAATACTCACTATTTTCTCCCATTGAGCCACTCCCCCTCCCCCATCCCTCACTTGGCTAAGGAAGATCATCACCAGGGCCTCAGTTCCGGTGTCCCCTCCTCCAGGAAGCCCTCCATGGCTCTATGCTGAGTCAGGCATCCCCTCTGGGCTTCCTAAACCCCTGGGTTCCCGAGTCCCAGCCTTGCCAGCTTTGGGTCATCACTACCTGGGGACCAGTCTCTCTCCCCTTCTGGACTGTGAGTCCAAGGATGCCAGGGCTGGGGCTATCTCTTCCCCTTGTGTTCCCAGCACCGCACAGCCCTGGTTCAACACGGAGCAGGGTTGCAGGAACTTATTCCTAAGTGAAGAGGGAGGGTGGGAGGGAGGAGAGCGTGACCCCCTACTCTGTCCCTGCCAGCCACACTTCAACAAGCTGATGCGCCGGAAGTGGCTGAGCAGCCCGGAGGCCCTGGATGGCATCGTGGGCACGCTGGGTGCCCAGGCCCTGGCCCTGCGCAGAATGCAGGACGAGCCTTACCAGGTGCACCTGCCTGAGGGGAGGGGAGGTGGGGGTGGGGGAAAAGAGGGGAGGAGGAAAGGGGAAAGGGACGGGAAGAGGGGAGATTGGGAGGTTGGGAGAGCCAAGAACGCTCCTGCTGGAGGAAACCCCTCTAAGGTGGGGAGCGGCTCCCTGTGGATGGGAGAGGTGGCCCCTGCCCGGGGTCTGCGGGGAGGCATGTGCGTGGAACTGGGGTGTAAGGCGGGGTGCAGACTGAGTCAGGGCCCCTGAGAGTGGAGCTTGGGGAATGGGGAGAGGCTGGGATGGAGCACCCTTTGGGGACCGGCAGAGACTGTCCGCGGGCTAATTAGGGGGCCAGGGAAGGCATCCTAGGATAGCTCAGGGGCTGGGGACTGGGGCGTGGGCACGGGAAGGGTGCCCATGGGTGCCCGGAGTGGATGTGGGCGAGTGGGGCGGGGGTGGCCTTCAGACTGGCGGGATGGGAGTCCGTGGGGCATGGCTCACACCCCTCGGGTTTCCCTCCTCCGCCTCCAGGCGCTGGTAGCCGAGCTACACCGGCGGGCGCTGGTCGAGTACGTGCGGCCCCTGCTCCGTGGGCGCCTGCGCTGCAGCTCGGCGCGGACCCGCAGCCGCGTGGCCGGCAGGCTCCGGGAGGACGCGGCGCAACTGCAGAGGCTGTTCCGGCGGCTGGTCAGTGTCGGGACGCGGTTGGGGGTGTTTCAGAAACCAGGACAAGGCTTGGCTTCCGAGAATCTCAGGTCCCAAAAGCCAGGGGGAGAGGGGCAGAGCTCAGGACAGAAACTCTCACCCAACTTCGGGTCAATAGCAACCAGTAACTTTGACCGACACCCTTTGCACTTAAAACCTGGCTTTCTTGCTCTGAGAACTCGCCTCTGGGCGCTTTCCTCGGCTGTTAAATAAGGCGAATAATGGTCCCTATCCATTGTTTTGAGGATCAGATTGGTTAATTCCTGTTAAGTGCTTTGGACAGTGCCTGGCTCAGAGTTAAAACTCCTTGCATTACCAAAATTATCCGGGTGTGGTGGCTCACGCCTGTAATCCCAGCTACTTGGGAGGTTGAGGCAGGAGAATCGCTTGAACTAAGAGGCGGAGGTTGCAGTGAGCCGAGATCCTGCCACCACACTCCAGCCTGGAGGACAGAGTGAGACTCTGTCTCAAAAAAAAAAGAAAAAAAAGACTCCATGAACGTACAGAGAAACTACATGCAACAGAAACACAGAAATCCTAACATTTCTAAACCCTGGAATTAAAAACCGCCAGATCTTATTTGTACCCAGTTGTATTCAGCTGGGCTGGAAGGGCCTCATTCAGTCGCTCTTCTTGGAGTTCCAAGCCCGGAGTCCTTGGAATGTTTTCTTTGGAAAATTTTTGAGATAATTGTAGATTCACATGCAGATGTAAGAAAGAATGCAGGGAGCTTCCTTGTACACTTTGTCCAGTCTCCATCCCCGCAAAGGCAAGATTTTGCAGACGTGGAAGAGGTTTGGAGATGTTTCCCAGAGTTCCAAATTACCTGCAAAACTGGGAGGAGATTATATTATGGATTTTTCTCAAATGTGGCCATAGTATGTCTTCTGCTACATTTTATTTTTTATTTTTATTTTTATTCTTTATTTTTGAGACAGAGTCTCGCTCCGTCACCCAGGCTGGAGTGCAGTGGTGCAGTCTCCGCTCACTGTAACCTCTGCCTCTCGATTTCAAGTGATTCTCCTGCTTCAGCCTCCTGAGTAGTTGGGATTACAGGTGTGCACCACCACGCCTGGCTAATTTTTGTATTTTTAGTAGAGATGGGGTTTCACCATACTGGCCAGGTTGGTCTCGATGTCCTGACCTCTAGTGATCCACCCGCCTCGGCCTCCTCCCAAAGTGCTGGGATTACAGGCTTGAGCCACCACCCCTGGTTTCTGCTACATTTTAGAGATGGTATAACAAGCCAGGAGGGGCAGGAATTGGCAGGGTCAATCTTGGGAGGGTGTGACCCCGCACCCTCCCTCCCCTGCAGGAGTCCCAGGCCTCGTGGCTGGATGCCGTGGTGCCCCATTTGGCTGAAGTCATGCAGCTGGAAGACACGCCCAGCATCCAGGTGGAGGTGGGAGTGTTGGTGCGCGACTACCCAGACATCAGGTGAGACACCCCGCCTGGGCCAGGGCTCGCCGTGCCTGGCCGAGGTCTCCTGGCGGCCTTGGCATCCGTCCCTGTGCTTCCTGCCTCCTGAGGGAGGGAGCCGGTGAGCGTGTCTGACGGCCGTTTCCTGCTGGAACCAGGGCATTATTAATAAGATTTCCCTCCTTCTCCTGCCGCCGCTGCTGCCTCCGCCGCCACCGCCACCAGGGCTCACAAACAAACAGGCGGTCACAGGAAGCCCAGGGCAGGGGGGCGCAGGGCTGCCTGGAGGCAGGAAGGGCCAGCCCGCAGGGGAGCCGCAGGGGACTCAGGGACACGCAGGGCACACGGGCGCACACGCACTGGGACAGCGGCAGGCGCAGGCGGCATTCAACTCCTGCCAGGTCACTTCCTTTGTAGGTGACCTTCTCGGAGCCTCAGTTTCCTCATCCGTTCCATGGGGATAGTAGTATTCTCGTCATAGGGTTATTAGGGAAATTTATCATCATCATCATCATCATCATCATCCATGACTATAGTAACAATTCCAGTTCTCACTCAATGAGTTCTTATTTCAGACCTAAATAAGCATCTTACATGCCAACTTTTTTTCTTTTTTTTTTGAGACAGGGTCTCACTCTGTTTCCCTGGCTGGAGTGCAGTGGCACAATCACGGTTCACTGCAGCCTTGACCTCCTGGGCTCAAGCAGCCCTCCCACCTCAGCCTTCTGAGTAGCTGGGACCACAGGCATGCACCACAATGCCCAGCTAATTTTTTGTATTTTTTGCAGAGATGGGTTTCACCATGTTGCCCAGGCTGGTCTCGAACTTCTGGGCTCAAGTGATCTGCCTGCCTCGGCTTCCCACGAATGGGGAAGTGTGAGCCACCGTTGCCCAGCCCATGCCAACTTTATAAGGGGTATTTTGTTGTTGTTTGTTTTGTTTTGTTTTTTGAGACAGAGTCTCACTTTGTCGCCCAGGCTGAAGTGCAGTGATCTCAGCTCACTGCAACCTCTGCCTCCCGGGTTCAAGAGATTATTGTGCCTCAGCCTCCCAAGTATAGGCATGTGCCACCACGCCCGGCTAATTTTTGTATTTTTAGTAGAGATGGGATTTCACCAAGTTGACCACACTGGTCTTGAGCTCCTGACTTCAGGTGATCCGCCTGCCTCTGCCTCCCAAAGTGCTGAGATTACAGGCGTGAGCCACTGCGCTTGGCCTATAAGTAAGGGGTATAATTAAAGCTATTGAAATATCACGCCTAGCAAGTGGCAAAGGTGGAACTTGAACCCAGGCAGTAGACTGGCTCTAAAACTAGTACACCAGATCGGCCGGGCATGGTGGCTCACGCTTGTAATCCCAGCACTTTGGGAGGCCGAGGTAGGTGGATCACCTGAGGTCAGGAGTTCGAGACCAGCCTGGCCAACATGGTGAAACACCGTCTCTACTAAAAATACAAAAATTAGCCAGGTGTGATGGCACACTCCTGTAATCCCAGCTACTCGGGAGGCTGAGGCAGGAGAATTGCTTGAGCCCAGGAGGCGGAGGTTGCAGTGAGCTGAGATCGCGCCACTGCACTCCAGCCTGGCCAACAGAGCAAGACTCTGTCTCAAAACAAACAAACAAACAAACAAACACACAAAAAAACTAGTGTACCAGATCAGCACACCACACCACCATGTGACAGTGCTGGATGGTGGTGGCAGTGGTGGTGGCTGCCGGAGCAACGCCAGTCCTTGCAGTGCTATTTGGGCAGACACATTCTCAGACATACTCAGAGAAACAGAACCCCAGAAAAACAAGGAGTGAGGCATGAGCGGGTTTCAGTTTCAGCACTGAGGGTGGGGGTCCTGGAATTGATTCAGGGTGGTCAGTTCTGATTCTGGGGGATAAGGTCATGTCCTTGGGAAGGCACATATTCCTGGAGTCCCATGGGGTCCCAAGAAGTCCCAGTATTCTTGCTGATGTGGAGTTTCTGAACTTGAATATTGGATCATGAGTCAGAACTTGAATCTGTAGCTAAGTTTAAGAGTTTGCTAGCTGGGTTGGGTTTAGGGGGTTGAGCTTGAGATTAGGAGGTACCTAGGGCTGAGGATTTAGGGGGAGTGGGGTACAAGGTTTCTTTCTTTTTTTTACTTTTGAAATGGAGTCTCGCTGTGTCACCCAGGCTGGACTGCAGTGGCGCGATCTCAGCTCACTGCAACCTCTGCCTCCCAGGTTTAAGGGATTCTCTTGCCTCAGACTCCTGAGTAGCTAGGATTACAAGCGCCTGCCACCACACCCAGCTTTTTTTTTTTTTTAATGTATTTTTAGTAGAGAGAGGGTTTCGCCATGTTGGCCAGGCTGGTCTCGAACTCCTGACCTCAGGTGATCCGCCTGCCTTGGCCCCCCAAAGTGCTGGGATTACAGGCATGAGCCACGGCACCCAGCTGAGAAGGTGAATTTTAATCACGAGCTGAGGCTTGGGGTGAAAAGGAAGATCCCAGGGCTGGTTCTGGGGTTGGTTGTAAGGGGGATTTGGAGATGGTTGGAAGTGAAGTTCTGGAGGGAGCTGGTATGAGGTGAGGGCCTGGGCAAGGGAGCTGATTGGAGGGAAGGCTCTGGAGGGGACACAGAGGCCCCAGAACTCAGGCAATTTCTGGGATAGGTGAGGGGGTCAGGTGGGGTCCACGGCTGGGTTGGGTGTGTGTCTAGAGCTGGGGATCTGCATGCACCTGTCTGTTCCTCTCCCCACAGGCAGAAGCACGTGGCAGCCCTCCTCGACATCCGTGGCCTGCGCAACACAGCCGCCCGCCAGGAGATCCTGGCCGTGGCCCGGGACCTGGAACTCTCTGAGGAGGGAGCCCTGTCACCCCCTCGGGACCGTGCCTTCTTTGCAGACATCCCTGTGCCCCGCCCATCTTTCTGTCTCAGCCTCCCTCTCTTCCTGGGCCGCCTCCCCCTCTCCCGGCTGGCCAGGCCCAGTTTGGCCTGTCTGCCTCGGCCCCGGCCTCCGTCTCTAGCGCGACCTCGGGCCCAGCGCTGAGGGTCACCCAACCGCCGGCCTTAGTGACCCCATCTATGCTGCTGACAAGCCAACCTCCCGTACGGCGCCCCTCCTGACTCCCTGCCTGGGACCACACACCCCTGGGATAGAAAGACCCTTAGATGTCTTTTCACCCAACCCCAAACTCCCTGTACAGAAGGGAAACAAACGCCAGGCACGGTGGCTCATGCCTGTAATCCCAACACTTTGGGAGGCTGAGGCCGGAGGATTGCTTGAGCCCAGGAGTTCAAGACCAGCCTGGGCAACATAGTGAGACCTGCCCCCTATCTCTACAAAAAATAAAAAATTAGCTGGGCACGGTGGTGTGTGCCTGTAGTCCCAGCTACTGGTGAGGCTGAGGCTGGAGGATCACTGGAGTTCGAGGCTGCAGTGAGCTATGACTGTGCCACTGCACTCCAGCCTGGTCAACAAAGCAAGACCCTTTCTCAAAAAAAAAAAAAAAAAAAAAAGGTAGGGGGAAACAGAGGCCAAAGAGACAAAGCATTTTCCCAAGGCCATGAAGCCTGTTCCCAGCACCTCCCCTCCTGCCATAGCCCAGAGTGGTGAGTGTCGTTCTGGAAGTCTCTACAGAAATATCCCAGCTCCCCCGCCCCTTTCCCTCACCTCAAGGTCTGGCCCCAATCCAATGTATTAAGGAACGTTCGATACTTAGAATAAAGAGGTTTCTATTTAACACAAGGAAGGGCTGAGTCCTGAGTGTGTTGTGGGGAGGAAGGACCGGGGAAGCAGGGCCCCGGGCCAGTGGCTTCTCACACACCCAAGGCCGGGCTGGGCTCCAGCTCCTGGGCAGGGTAGTGGAGGTAGAGGGAGGCTGCATGTGCTGGGAGCGACGCCAACCCATGTACACCTCCTGGCTGTGTGGCTCTGAGGCCAGGCCTTCGCCACTCTGAGCCAGGGTCCCTCGTCTGGTCAATCTCAAAGTGCCTGTCCATTCCTGGTCCTGGTGGCTCCATCTTGGCACACCCTCCCCATCCATCCTTAGCCGGGAAGCTGCCCTGTCAGGAGAGGAAGGAGGTTGGGGGCAGGGCTGGCGGCATCCAGGGCGCCCTCCTGGGTTGACGCAGGAAAGTCTCGGGGTGGGAAAATTTCCAGCCTCTCACCCCCAGCCCCGCCGGATCCTAGTCCCCACGGAGACCTTGAGGTCACCTCCCTGCTGACTCCTGCCCCTCCGGCCTGGGCTGGACAGCCCGTGATGGATGTTTCCTGACTTGTGGGATTTTTTGTGTGTATGTGGTTTTTTTTTTTTTCCCTGAGAAGTCAGAAAGAGGAGGCAGCCAGGGGTTAGCACTGGGGCTGGGTTTGGAACTTCACGCATGCACATTTGAACTTGGGGAGGTAGAGACGAGGGACTCTCGGAGCCCAAGGCTGTGCTTCCTGACCCGAGGCAGGAAGCTGCCCCTCTCTGGGCTGAGGTTCCTGTGCCTTTCTGGGGGAATTGCTTAAACTCTCTTTCCCCAGGCTGAGGCAAGAATGTCCTGAGGGTGCACCTTCCTCACTTTGCCCTCTGAAAATGACATTTTCTTTTTTTTTTTTTTTTCAGTCAGAGTCTCATTCTGTCGCCCAGGCTAGAGTGCAATGGCGCGATCTCAGCTCACTGCAACCTCCACCTCCCAGGTTCAAGCAATTTATTCTCCTGCCTCAGGCTCCTGAGTAGCTGGGATTACAGGTGCCCCCCCTCCACCACCACCATACCCAGCTAATTTTTGTATTTTTAGTAGAGACGGGGCTTCACCATGTTGGCCAGGCTGGTCTCCAACTCCTGACCTCAAGTGATCTACCCGCCTCAGCCTCCCAAAGTGCTGGGATGACAGGCATGAGCCACTGTGCCCAGCCCGAAAATGACACTTTTTATGTTGCCAATATGCAAAAGAGCAAGAGAGGAGTTGAGGAATCAACAATATTGTGCAGTCCATAGACATTTATTATTTATTTTTTAGAGACAGGGTCTTTGCTCTGTTGCCCAGGCTGGAGTGCAATGACACGATCATAGCTCACTGCAGCCTCTACCTCCTAGCCCAAGTGATCCTCCCACCTCAGCCTTCTGAGTAGCTGGGACTACAGGCTCGTGCCAGCACACCCAGCTAATATTTTATTTGTTTTGTAAAGACAGAGTCTCACTATGTTGACCAGGTTGGCCTCAAGCCATCCTCCTGCCTCATCCTCCCAAAGTGCTGGGATTACAGGCGTGAGCCACTGCCACTGCCCTGTAGGCGTTGAATTAAACATATAAGAGCCTCAGTTTGTCAATGTACTTTTCAGATGTTGGTCCTCCATTGAAAAACAGCTTTTGGCTGGGCACAGTGGCTCACACAGCAGTTTGGGACACAGAGGTGGGAGGATCGCCTGAAGCCAGGTGTTCAAGGTTGCAGTTGGCTGTGATTGTGCCTCTGCGTTGTAGCCTAGATGATAGGTGAGACCTTGTCTCATTAAAAAAGAAAAAAAAAAAAGTGGCCGGGTGAGGTGGCTCACACCTGTAATCCCAGCGCTTTGGGAGGCCGAGGTGGGCGGATCATGTGAGGTCAGGAGTTCGAGACCAGCCTGGCCAACGTGGAGAAACCACATCTCTACTAAAAATTCAAAACTTAGCCAGGCGTGGTGGCGCATCTATAATCCCAGCTACTCCAGGAGGCTCAGGCAAGAGAATCACTTGAGCCCAGGAGGCAGAGGTTGAAGTGAGCCGAGATCGTGCCCCTGCACTCCAGCCTAAGAGACAGAGCAAGACTCCATCTCAAAAAAAAAAAAAAAAAAAAAAAAAAAAGTTAAAATAGTAAATTTTATGTATATTTCAGCACAATAAAAAAATTTTAAATAAAGAAACCTCATACTCATTTGTAGTTAATATCCAATCTCCCTAGTAACTTTCTAGCCCTAAGCAGACACTAATCTCTCTGTCTCTATTAATCTACCTATTTTGGACTTTTCACATTTGGAAATACATAACGTAGTCTTTTGTGACTGATGTTTTTCATGTGCATAATTTTGTTTTGTTTTGTTTTGTTTTTGAGACAGAGTTCTGGCCAGGCACAATGGCTCACGCCTGTAATCCCAGCACTTTGGGAGGTGGCTGAGGTGGGCGGATCACGAGGTCAGGAGATGGAGACCATCCTGGCTAACACAGTGAAACCCCATCTTTACTAAAAATACAAAAATTAGCCGGGCGTGGTGGCGCATGCCTATAATCACAGCTACTTGGAAGGCTGAGTCAGGAGAATCGCTTGAACCCGGGAGGCAGAGGTTGCGGTGAGCAAAGATGGTGAGCCAAGATGGTGCCACTGCACTCCAGCCTGGGCAACAAGGGCGAAACTCCGCCTCAAAAAAAATAAAATAGGCCGGGCATGGTGGCTCACGCCTGTAATCCCAGCACTTTGGGAGGCCGAGGCGGGCGGATCACGAGATCAGGAGATCGAGACCATCCTGGCTAACACGGTGAAACCTCGTCTCTACTAAAAATACAAAAAATTAGCTGGGCGTAGTGGCAGGCGCCTGTAGTCCCAGCTACTCGGGAGGCTGAGGCAGGAGAATGGAGTGAAACCGGGAGGCGGAGCTTGCAGTGAGCCGAGATTGCATTACTGCACTCCAACCTGGGCGACAGAGCAAGACACTGTCTCAGAAAAAAACAATAATAACAATAAAATAAAGAAATAGAACTACTCTCTTCGAAATTTTCAAGTATACAATACATTGTTATTAACTGTAGTTGGTCAGGCGCAGTGGCTTATGCGTGTAATCCCAGCACTGTGGGAGGCCAAGGTGGGCGGATCACTTGAGGTCAGGAGTTTAAGACCAGCCTGGCCAACATGGTGAAACCCCATCTCTACTAAAAATATAAAAATTAGCCGGGCATGGTGGTGCTCGCCTGTAATCCCAGTTACTCAGGAGGCTGAGGCAGGAGAATGGTTTGAACCCGGGAGGCAGAGGTTGCAGTGAGCCGAGGTAGCACCATTGCACTCCAGCCTGGGCAACAGAGAGAGACTCCATCTCAAACAAACAACAAAAAAAAAACAAAACTGTAGTCACCATGTTGTGCAATAGATCTCCTGAACTTACTCCTCCTAACTGAAATTTGTATCCTTTGACCACCGTCTCCCCAGTCCTCCTTTTCCTCTTTTCTAATTAAGCATTTAAAAATCTATCAATGTCTTTCTAAGCATTACTTTATCTCATGTCATGTATTTTGATATGTTATTTTTTTTCATTGAGTTTTATGTAGTTTATACTTTCTCTTTTGATTTCTTCTTCGACTTCTGGGTTATTTACTTTCCAAATACTTGTGGGCTTTTTTTTTTTTCTTTCTGAGATAGTTTCACTCTTGTTGCCCAGGCTGGAGTGCAATGGCACAGCCTCAGCTCACTGCAACCTCAGCCTCCTGGATTCAAGTGATTCTCCTGCCTCAGCCTCCCAAGTAGCTGGGATTACAGGCACCCACCACCACACCCAGCTAATTTTTGTATTTTTAGTAGAGATGGTGTTTCACCCTGTTGGTCAGGCTGGTCTCGAACTCCTGACCTCATCAGGTGATCTGCCCACCTGGGCCTCAAAGTGCTGGGATTACAGGCGTGAGCCACCACGCCCGACACCACGCCCAGCTAATTTTTGTATTTTTAGCAGAGACAGCGTTTTGCCATGTTGGCTAGGCTGGTCTCAAAGTCTTGACTTCAAATGATCCACCCACCTCGGCCTCCCAAAGTACTGAGATTACAGGTATGAGCGATGGCACCTGACTGATTATTTTTATTTCTAAGAGATTATAGATTCATAAGAAGTTACAAAAAGAGAGGCTGGGTGTGGTGGCTCATGCCTGTAATCCCAGCACTTTGGGAGGTCAAGGAGGGCAGATCACGAGATCAGGAGTTCGAGACCAGCTTGGCCAACATGGCAAAACCCGTCTCTACTAAAAATACAAAACTTAGCTGGGCGTGGTGGCAGGTGCCTATAATCCCAGCTACTTGGAAGGCTGAGGCAGAAGAATCGCTTGAACCCAGGAGGTAGAGGTTGCGATGAGCCAAGATTTCGCCACTGCACTCCAGCCTGGGTGACACAGCAAGACTCCATCTCAAAAAAAAAAAAAAAGTACATGGTGGTCTTGTTTGCCCTTCATCCACTTACCTGATGCTAACATCTTATATAACTGTAATACAACATCAAAACAGGACATTGACATTAGTTCAATTCTAAGACCTTAATCTTCCAATTTCACTGGTTTTACTCACTCCTATGTGTACCTGTGCACATGTGTGTGTATGCAGGTGTATGCGTGTGCACCTGCACATTCCTATGTGTAGCACTAGGCAAAAATTTTTTTTAATTTTTTGAGATGGAGTCTCGCTCTGTCTCCCAGGCTGGGGTGCAGTGGTGTGATCTCAGCTCTCTGCAACCTCCACCTCCTGGGTTCAAGCAATTCTCGTGACTCAGCCTCCCGAGTAGGTGAGACTATAGGTGTGCGCTACCACGCCCAGCTAGGTTTTTTTTTTTTTTTTTTTTTTTTTTTTTTTGAGACAGAGTCTCGCTCTGTCACCCACACTGGAGTGTGGAGTGCAGTAGCACTTGAATGTAGACTGCGAGAAGTTAAAGATGTGGACTATAAACTCTACAGTGACCATTAAAAAAACAAGGCAGGTGAGGCGCGGTGGCTCACGCCTGTAATCCCAGCACTTTGGGAGGCCGAGGCGGGTGGATCACCTTAGGTCAGGAGTTTGAGACCAGCCTGGCCAACATGGCGAAACCCCATCTCTACTAAAAATACAAAAATTAGTCGGGCTTGGTGTCGGGCACCTGTAGTCCCAGCTACTCAGGAGGCTGAGGCAGGAAAATCACTTGAACCCGGGAGGCAGAGATTGCACTAAGCCGATATCGTGCCACTGCATTCCAGCCTGGGCAACAGAGTGAGACTCTGTCTCAAAAAAAATAAAATAGCTGGGCGCGGTGGCTTACACCTGTCATCCCAGCACTTTGGAAGGCTGAGGAGGGTGGATCACTTGAGGTCAGGAGTTCAAGACCAGCCTGGCCAACATGGTGAAACCCTATCTCTATTAAAACAAATTAGCTGGGCATGGTGGCAGGCGCCTATAATCCCAGCTACTCTGGAGGCTGAGTGAGGCAGGGGAATCAGTTGAACCCAGGCGGCAGAGGTTGTAGTGAGCCTAGGTCGTGCCACTGCTCTCCAGCTTGGGTGACAAGAGTGAAACTCTCAAATAAATAAATAAATAAAATAATAAAACAAAGAGCTATAGCTAATAAGCCTACAAAAGAGATAAAATGGAATCATAAAAAAATTACTTGATTAATCCAGCCAGTCATAGTGGCTCATGCCTATAATCCTAGCCCTTTGGGAGGCCAAGGCGGGAGGAATCACTTGAGCCCAGGAGTTCAAGTCCAGCCTGGGCAGCACATGAGACACCATCTCTATTAAAAAAAAAAAAAAAAATTTAACTAGGTGTGGGGGCACACGCCTATAGTCTCAGCTACTGGAGAGGCTGTGGTAGGAGGATCACTTTTGTCCAGGAGTTCGAGGCAGAAGTGAGCCATGATCACACCACTGCACTCCAGCCTGGGCAAAAGAGTGAGATCCTTGCTCAAAAAAAAAAAAAAAAAAAAAAACTTGATTAATCCAAAAGAAGGTGGAAAAAGAGAACAATGACCAGATGAATCAGGAAAAACCATGAAAATAATAGATTTTTTTTTTTTTTTTTTTTTTGAGAGTTTCACTCTTGTCATCCAGGCTAGAGTGCAATGACGGGATTTCAACTCACTGCAACCTCCACCTCCGGGGTTCAAGCAATTCTCCTGCCTCAGCCTCCCAAATAGCTGGAATTACAGGCATACGCCACCATGCCCAGCTAATTTTTGGTATATATATTTTTTTACTAGATACGGGGTTTAACCATGTTGGCCAGGCTGGTCTTGAACTGCCGACCTCAGGTGATCCACCCGCCTCGGCCTCCCAAAGTGCTGGAATTACAGGCGTGAGTCACTGCGCCCGGCCCCTAATTTTTATGTTTGTAGAGACGGTATCTCAGTATGTTGCCCAAGTTGGTCTCAAACTCCTGGCCTCAAGCAATCACTCTGCCTCTTTTCTCCACGATAACCACTCTAATAGGTGGAGAGTGACCTTGTGGTTTTCATTTGCGTTTCTCTAACGACTGAGGATGTTGAGCAGCTTTTTGTGTACTTGTTTGTCATCTGCATATCTTCGTTAGTGAAGTGTTTATTCAAATCATTTGCCCTTTTTAAATAATTGGGTTGTTTGTTTTCTAGCTATTGACTTTTAAGGGTTCTTAAAATATCTGGATACTAGTTGTTTATCAAGTATGTAATTTGCAAATATTTTCTCCCACTGTTTGGCTTATCTTTTCATTCTCCTAATAATGTTTGTTGAAGAGCAGAAGTTTTTAATTTTGATGGAATCTAATTTATCAAGATTTTCTCTTATGATCATGCTTGTACATAATGAACTTTTGCATCATCTAGGGTCACAAAGATTTTCTCCTATGTTTCCTTCTAGAAATGTTAAGTTTTGCATTTAGTGATGTGGTCCATTTTGAGTTAACTTTTGTACAGAACGTCTTTCTATTTAAAGTGTATTTTGGCCAGGTGCAGGGCTCACGCCTGTAATCCCTGCACTTTGGGAGGCTGAAGCGGGTAGATCACAAGGTCAGGTGTTTGAGACCAGCCTGGCCAACATAGTGAAACCTCATCTCTACTAAAAATACAAAAAATTAGCCGGGTGTGGTGGTGGGCACCTGTAATCCCAGCTACTTGGGAGGCTGAGGCAGGAGAATTGCTTGAACCCGGGAAGTGGAGGTTGCAGTGAGCTGAGATCATGCCACTGTACTCCAGTCTGGGCGACAGTGCAAGACTCCGTCTCACACACACACACACACAATTTCTTGTGGGCAGCATAGAGTTGGGTCATGCTTTTTCATTTAGTCTGAAATCTCTGTCTTATAATTGGATGTTTACATAATTTAGAGTCAATGCAATTATTAGTATGGTTAGGTATAAATCTATTATTTTCAGCCAGGCATGGCAGCTCACACATGTAATCCTAGCACTTTGGGAGGCCAAGGTGGGGGGATTACGCGAGGTCAGGAGTTTGAGACCAGCCTAGCAAACATGGAGAAACCCTGTCTCTACTAAAAATACAAAAAAATTAACCAGGCATGGTGGTGCATGCCTGTAATCCCAGCTACTCAGGAGGCTGAGGCACGAGAATCACTTGAACCCTGGAGGTGGAGGTTGCAGTGAGCCAAGATCATGCCACTGCACTCTAGCCTTGGTGGCAGAGTGAGATTCCATCTGGGGAAAAAAAAAAAATTCTGAATATCCTGAGACTGCCATGCTATGCAGAAGCTGAAGCTGGGCATGGCAAGAGGCAGCATGGAGAGAGAGATAGATAACTGGTCAGCCGCAGCTGATCTAGCCATCCCAACTGAGATGTCAGACATGTAAGACGCCATCTTGGATTTCCAGCCCAGCTGAGCCTTTGGATGACTCCAGCCCCAGCTGCCATCTGAATGCAACTAGTTGAGAAACTCCACCCAATCATTGGCTCATTTGGCAGGGTGCAGTAGCTCACACCTGTAATCCCAGCATTTTGGGAGGCTGAGGCACATGGATCACCTGAGGTCAGGGGTTCAAGACCAGCCTAGCCAACTTGGTGAAACCCTGTCTCTACTGAAAATACAAAAAAATTAGCTGGGGCATGGTGGTGGGTGCCTGTCATCCCAGCTACTCGGGAGGCTGAGGCAGGAGAATCGCTTGAACCCAGGAGGCGGAGGTTTGCAGTAAACCGAGATCACACCATTGCAGTCCAGCCTGGACAACAAGAGCAAAACTCCATCTCAGAAAAAAAAAAAAAAAAAGGCAAAACAAAAATCAGCCGGGTGTGGTAGCCAGCACCTGTAATCCCAGCTACTCGGGAGGCTGAGGCAGGAGAATTGCTTGAACCGGGGAGGCAGAGATTGCAGTGAGCCAAGATTGCGCCACTGCACTCCAACCTGGGCGACATAGTGAGACTCCATCTCAAAAAAAAAAGAATCGACTGGTTAAACCCACTTAACCTACTGAACCATGAGATGTCATATTTGACTGCTATTTTAAGCCAATGAGCTTTTGGGGTGGTTTGAGATTTTGGGATGGGACTGCTATTTTAAGCCAATGGGCTTTTGGGGTGAGGTGCTACCCCAAAATGCCACCCCTCCCACATCTCCTGGCAGCAGTCAGATGGCAAGGAGAGAGAATCTGTGCATTTGGGGTAGGGAGAGCTCAGTGACTGATTTGAGGCTTTGCATTGGAACTCAGCGCTGTTCTATTACAGTGGAAAGCACCATGGGGCAGAAATCAGACACCACCCATGGAGGGAGCATTTAAATGATCATTAGACAGAGGGAAATCATCTATTCTAGTGGTGAGAACCTGAGTTCTGGCATGCCTAGCCACTGCGGGCCAAAGTGCTCTGGGACCCTAAATCAACTTGAGGCTGGGCGCGGTGGCTCATGCCTGTAATCCCAGCACTTTGGGAAGCTTAGGCAGGCGGATCACGAGGTCAGGAGTTCGAGACCAGCCTCACCAACATGGTGAAACCCCGTCTCTACTAAAAATACAAAAATTAGCTGGGAATGGTGGCGCACGCCTGTAATCCCAGCTACTTAGGAGGCTGAGGCAGGAGAATCGCTTGAACCCAAGAGGCAGAGATTGCAGTGAGCCGAGAGCACGTCATTGCACTCCAGCCCGGACAACAGCAAGACTCCATCTCAAATAAATAAATAAATAAATAAATAAATAAACTTGAAAGGCAGTCAGGCCACAAGGACTGCAATTTCTGGGCAAGTCCTGGTGCCTTGCTGGGCTCAGAACAAGTGGACCTGGAGGGCATGAGGCCCACTGAGACATTGGCTGAGGCAGCCAAGGGAGTGCTTGAGCCCCCGAGCCCCAAACCCCAGGCAGTATAGCTTGCAGTTCCGGGAGAGACTCCTTCCTTCTGCTTGAGAAGAGGAGACGAAAAGTCAAGAGGTCTTTGTTTTGCAACTTGGATACCAGCTCAGCCATAGGAGGATAGGGCACCAGGCGGAGTCCTGAGGCCCCCATTCCAGGCCCTAACTCCTGGATGACATTTTTGGACACACCCTGGACCAGAAGGGAAGCCGCTGCCTTGAAAGGAAGGACCCAGTCCTGGCAGGATTCATTACTTGCTGACTAAAGATCTCTTGGGCCTTGAATAAACATCAGTGGTTGCCAGAGAGTGCTCGCCGCAGGCCTTGGGTGAGACCCAGTGCCGTGCTGATTTCAGGTGTGACCCAGCGCATTCCCAGCTGTGGTGGCCCTGGGGAAAGACTCCTGCTTGAGGAAAGGAGAGGAAAGAGTAAAGGAGACTTTGTCTTGCATCTTGGACACCAGCTTGGCCACAGTAGGGTAGAGCACCCAGCAGCTGCTGGCATCCCCAATTGAGGTCTTGGCTCTTGCACAGCATTTCTGGACCTGCCCTGGGCTAGAGGGGAGCTGTCTTCCCTGAAGGAAAAGACCCAGGCCTGGCAGCACTCACCACAAGCTGACTGAAGAGGGCCTGGGCCTTGAGTGAACATCAGCAGTAGCCAGGCAGTACCTGCCATGGGCCTGGAGCAGTGGTGGCCACAGAGAGAGACTCCTGTGTGAGGAAAAGTGAGGGAAGAGTGGTGTATTAGTCTGTTTTCATGCTGCTGATAAAGACATACCTGAGACTGGGTAATTAATAAAGAAAAAGAGGCTTAATGAACTCCCAGTTCCACGTGGCTGGGGAGGCCTCACAATCATGGCAGAAGCTGAAAGGCACGTCTTTTTTTTTTTTTTTTTTTTTTTTTTTAGATGGAGTCTCACTCTGTCACCCAGGCTGGAGTGCAGTGGCACAGTCTGGGCTAACTGCAAGCTCTGCCTCCCGGGTTCACGCCATTCTCCTGCCTCAGCCTCCAGAGTAGCTGGGATTACAGGCGCCCAGCTAATTTTTTGTAGTTTTTAGTAGAGACGGGGTTTCACCATGTTAGCCAGGATGGTCTCGATCTCCTGACCTCATGATCCACCCGCCTCGGCCTCCCAAAGTGCTGGGATTACAGGCGTGAGCTGCCATGCCTGGCCAAAAGGCACGTCTTACATGGTGGCAGGCAAGACAGAATGAGAACCAAGCCAAAGGGGTTTCCCCTTATAAAGCCATCAGATCTCATGAGACTTATTCAATACCACAAGAACAGTATGGGGGAAACTGCCCCCATGACTCACTTATCTCCCACTGGGTACCCCCTATAACATAGGGGAATTATGGGAGCTACAAATCAAGATGAGATTTGGGTGGGACACAGCCAAACCATATCAAGTAGGAAAGACTTTTTCTTGTGGCTTGGGTGCCAGCTCAGCCACAGTAGAATAGAGCACCAGGTAGATTCCTAAGGTTTCTGTCTCCAGGCCCTGGCTCCCAGATGGCATTTCTGGACCTGCCCTGGGCCAGGAGAGAACTCACCATCCTGAAGGGAAGGACACAAGCCCGGCAGGCTTCACCACCTGCTGGCCGAAGAGCCCTTGGGCCTTGTGTGAACATTGGTGGAAGCCAGGTAGTGGTTGCCACGGGCCCTGGGTGAGACCTAGTGGTGTGTTGGCTTTGGGTCTGACCCAGTGCAGTCCCAGTGGTGGTGGCCACAAGGGTACTTGTGTCACCCCTCCAGCAGCCCCAGGCAGCTCCGTACAGAGATAGAGAGACTGCGTTTGTTTGGAGAAAGTAAGGGAAGAGAAGAGTTTCTGCCTGGTAATTTAGGGAATTCTCCTGAATCTTAACCAAGACCACTGAGGCAGTACCTCTAAGATTCCTTTTTTTTTTTTTTTTGAGACAGGGTCTTACTCTGTCGCCCAGGCTGGAATGCAGTGCTGCAATCTCCACTCAGTGCAACCTCCACCTCCCATGCGCAAGTGATTCTCCCGCCTCAGCCTCCCAAGTAGCTGGGACTACAGGCGCCCACCCCTACGCCTGGCAAATTTTTGTATTTTTTGGTAGAGACAGGGTTTCACCATGTTGGCCAGGCTGGTCTCAAACTCCCGACCTCAGATGATCCGCCTGCCTAGGCTGCCCAATGTGCTGGGATTACAGGCGTGAGCCACTGCGCCTGGCCAGCACCTCTAAGATGCTGCAAGAATCACAGCATTACTGAGCCTGGGGTGCCCCCTAATGCAGATACAGCTGCAGTGACCAAAAGTTTAGTTCACAACACTCAATTTCCTGGCAAGCCTTCCCAAGAAGGATGGGTTCAAATAAGCTCAGACTACAAAGACTACAATAAACACTGAACTCATCAATGCCCAGCCATTGACGAACATCCACAAGCATTGACACCATCCAGGAAAACATGACCTCACCAAGTGAACTAAACAAGGCTCCAGTGACCAACCCCATTGTGACAGAGCTATGTGACCTTTCAGACGGAGAATTCAAAACAGCTGTTTTGAGGAAGCTCAATGAAATTCAAGATAACACAGAGAAGGGATTCAGAATCCTATCGGATAAATTAACCAAACAGATTGAAATAATTTTTAAAAATTAAGCAGAAAGGGGCTGGGCACGGTGTCTCACACCTGTAATCCCAGCATTTCGGGAGGCCGAGGCAGGTGGATCACGAGGTCATGAGATCAAGACCATCCTGGCTAACACGGTGAAACCCCATCTCTACTAAAAATACAAAAAAATTAGCCAGGCGTGGTGGTAGGCGCCTGTAGTCCCAGCTACTCGGAAGGCTGAGGCAGGAGGATGGCATGAACTCGGGAGGTGGAGCTTGCAGTGAGCGGAGATCGTGTCACTGCACCCCAGCCTGGGCGACACAGCGAGACTCCGTCTCAAAAAAAAAAAAAAAAATTAAGTAGAAAAAATTCAACTGACACACTGAAGAATGCATCAGTCTCTGAACAGTAGAATTGATCAACCTGAAGAATTGGTGAGCTCAAAGACAGGCTATTTGAAAATATGCAGTCAGGCCGGGCACAGTGGCTCATACCTGTAATCCCAGCACTTTGAAAGGCTGAAGTGGTTGGATCACCTGAGGTCAGGAGTTTGAGACTAGTTTGGCCAACATAGTGAAATCCTGTCTCTACTAAAAATAGAAAAATTAGCTGGGCATGGTGGTGCATGCCTGTAATCCCAGCTACTCAGGAGGCTGAGGCTCCAGAATTGATTGAACGCAGGAAGTGGAGGTTGTAGTGAGCCAAGATTGCAGCACCACTGCACTCCAGCCTGGTCGACAAAGTGAGACTCTGTCTCAAAAAGAGAAGAGAAGAGAGGAGAGGAGAGGAGGAGAAGAGAAGAGAAGAAAGAAGAGAAGAGAACAGAAGAGAAGAGAACAGAAGAGAACAGAAGAGAAGAGAAAAGAGATGAGACAGGACAAGACACAGCCAGAGGAGACAAAAGAAAAAATAAAAAAGAATAAAGGCCAGGCGCAGTGGCTCACACCTGTAATCCCAGCACTTTGGGAGGCCGAGGCAAGCGGATCACGAGGTCAGGAGTTTGAGACCATCCTGGCCAACATGGTGAAACCCCATCTCTACCAAAATACAAAAAATTAGCCAGGTGTAGTGGCAGGCACCTGTAATCCCAGCTACTCGGGAGGCTGAGGCAGGGGAATTGCTTGAACCCGGGAGGCGGAGGTTGCAGTGAGCCAAGATCGTGCCACTGTGCTCCAGCCTGGAGACAGAGCAAGACTCCATCTCAAAAAAAAAAAAAAAAAAAAAAAAAGAATAAGGCACACCTACAAGATCTAGAAAATAGCCACAAAAAGGAAAAATCTGAGTTTTATTGGCCGTAAAGAGAAAGTAGAGAGATTGGAATAGAAAGTTTATTAAGTGGGATAATAACAGAGAACTTTCCAAACCTAGAAAAAGATATCAATATTCAAATACGAGAAGGTTATAGAACACTAGGCAGATTTAACCCAAAGACTACCTTCAAGGCATTTAATAATCAAACTCCCAAAGATCAGGGATAAAGAAAGGGTCCTAAAAGCAGCAAGAGAAAAGTAACAAATAACTTACAATGGAGGCCGTGTGCAGTGGTTCACGTCTGTAATCCCCAGCATTTAGGGAGGCTGAGGCGGGTGAATCACTTGAGGCCAGGAGTTACAGACCAGTCTGGGCAACATGGTGAAATCCCGTCTCGACTAAAAATACAAAAAAAATTAGCCAGGCATGAGGCCAGGCGCAGTGGCTCACACCTGTAATCCCAGCTACTCGGGAGGCTGAGGCACGAGAATCGCTTGAACCTGGGAGGTGCAGGTTGCAGTGAGCCGAGATTTCGTCACTGTACTCCAGCCTGGGTGACTGAGTGAGACTCTGTCTCAAAAACAAAAACAAAAACAAACATACAATGGAGCTCCAATACGTCTGGCAGCAGACTTCAGTGGAAACCTCACAGGCTAGGATAGAGTGGCACGACATATTGAAAGTGATGAAGTTGGCTGGGTGCGGCGGCTCACGCCTGTAATCCCAGCACTTTGGGAGGCTGAGACAGGTGGATCACCTGAGGTCAGGAGTTCAAGACCAGCCTGGCCAACATGGCGAAACCTTGTCTCTACTAAAAATACAAAAAAGTTAGCTGAGCGTGGTGGCGGGTGCCTGTAATCCCAGCTACTTGGGAGGCTGAGGCAGGAGAATTGCTTGAACCTGGGAGGCGGAGGTTGCAGTGAGCCGAGCTCGCACCACTGCACTCCAGAGCCTGGGCAACAAAGCAAGACTCTGAAAACAAAACAAAACAAACAAACAAAAAAACCCCTTCCCCATATGGTTCTAAGTTAGAGTTGGCCAAAGGAGAAAATTGCATGAAAACTGGAAGAAAGAAGTTTAGCACAGTATTTTTCTTGGACGGTTGCTCTATTTAGATGGGGGAAAAGACAGATGTAGATGCATTAGGGGGTTCCCATTTGCTCTCGCTCTGCCCTGCAGGGTGAGACAGATGCAAGTGTTCGGGACCTTGTTTCCCCCACACTCCTGTTTATCTCTTCTCAATTTTCTGCCCTGCTAACCACCAGTGACCTCGGGCTCAACATCAGATGCAGAGGCAACAGCCTTCCATGACTCTGATAGTTGGATATGCCTGACTTCCCAGATTTTCCTGCAAACTCTGACTTGTTCCCCTGTCTAGTGCTTCAGGAGGGCTGGCTAGAGATTTTTCATGGACTCCCTAACTCTCCTTTCTAGATCTTTTTTTTTTTTTTTTTTTTTTTTTGAGACGGAGTCTCGCTCAGCCACCCAGGCTGGAGTGCAGTGGTGCAATCTTGGGTCACTGCAACCACCATCTCCCAGGTTCAAGCAATTCTCCTGTTTCAGCCTCCTGAGTAGCTGGGATTACAGGCACCCACCATCATGCCTGGCTAATTTTTGTATTTTAGTGGAGACGGGGTTTCACCATGTTGGCCAGGCTGGTCTTGAACTCCTGACCTCAGGTGATCCACCCGCCTCGGCCTCCCAACGTGCTAGGATCACAGGGGGAGCCACCACACCCAGCCTCTAAATCTTCTTTTTTATTCTTTTTCTTCTTCTTCTTTTTTTTTGGTGGTTGTTGTTGAGACAGAGTCTCACTCCATTGCCCAGGCTGGAGTGCAGTGGCACAATCTCAGCTTACTGCAAACTCCACCTCCCGGGTTCAAGTGATTCTCATGCCTCAGCCTCCTGGGTAGCTGGAATTACAGGCACCTGCCACCACACCCAGCTAATTTTTGTTTACTTTGTAGAGACAGGGTTTCGCCATGTTGCCCAGGCTGGTCTTGAACTCCTGAGCTCTAGCAAATCTTCCCACCTTGGTCTCCCAAAGTGCTAGGATTACAGGTGTGAGCCACCGCACCTGGACTTCTTTTTCTTTTTTTGAGATAAGGTCTCACTGTGTCACCCAGGCTGGAGTGCAGTGGCACGATCATAGCTCACTGCAGCCATAAGGGAGTAAAGGAAAGAACACCCCTCAGCCCCCTCCACTCCCAGCATCCCACCCACCTGCTGAGGTCCCACTTGGGTCCCTGTGCCCAGGAAACCCCGTGGGCCCCTGTGGGACCATACCCCCTGCAAGAAGCCATGGCTTCTGAGCACTTCCCCACTCAAACTCTTCTGAGTCACTGATCTCTCTCAGACACTTTCCTAAAATTGATTTTTTTTTTTTTTGAGACAGTCTTGCTCTGTTGCCCAGGCTGGAGTGCAGTGGCCCCATCTCGGCTCACTGCAAGCTCTGCCTCCCAGGTTCACGCCATTCTCCTGCCTCAGCCTCCCACGTAGCTGGGACTACAGGCACCCGCCACCATGCCTGGCTAATTTTTTGTATTTTTAGTATTTTTAGTAGAGACAGGGTTTCACCGTGTTAGCCAGGATGGTCTTGATCTCCTGACCTTATGATCCACCCGCCTCGGCCTCCCAAAGTGCTAGGATTACAGGCGTGAGCCACCGCTCCCGGCTAAGAGTTTTTTCCTTTTCAATTCTCTCACTTACCCAAAGACCCCTGCCTCCTGCTCATCAAATTCACTCCCATCTCCCTAAATTCCCTCAGGAATATTCCCCTAGCACCTCCTCCTTGGCAGGCTCAGTGCTGTGGGACACTGAGGACCACCCAGAGGGGTCAGACCTACCCTGACCTCAGACCTCCTAGCTCAGCCTCACCTGGACCATGGACACCATGTTGCATTATATTTGAGACAGAGTCTCGCTATGTCACCCAGGCTAGACTGCACTGGTGCGATCTCAGCTCACTGCAACCTCCATCTCCTGGGCTCAAGCAATTCTCGAGCTTCAGCCACCCAAGTAGCTGGGATCATAGGCATGTGCCACCATGCCTGGGCAACAGAATGAGATCCTGTCTCAAAAAAAAATAAAAAATTAAAAAATAAAGTAGCACCTAACAGAATTTAAAATGTACTCACCCTTTGACCCAACAACTCCACATCTGGAAATGTGTTTCTTTCCAAGATACCCATACATGTGGGAAATGAATATATTCAAAGATATTCTTTGCCACACCATATGTAGTCACAAACAATAGGGAACACCCTGAATGATCATCAATAGGGGAATGACTAGCAGATGGCTTGGTCACCGTATAAGTAAACAGAATGGCTCAGCTGTTTTTCATTCTGATTAGAATGCTCTCCAAGACATATGACTACTTGAAAAAGGCAGGCTGGGCACGGTGGCTCACGCCCGTAATCCCACCACTTTGGGAGGCCAAGGCGGGTGGATCACCTGAAGTTGGGAGGTCGAGACCAGCCTGGCCAACATGGTGAAACCTTGTCTCTACTAAAAACACAAAAATTAGCCAAGCGTGGTGGTGCACACCTATAGTCCCAGCTACTCGGGAGGCTGAGGCAGGAGAATCACTTGAAGCCAGGAGGCGGAGATTGCAGTGCACTGAGGTCATGCCATTGCACTCCAGCCTGGCCAACAAGAGAGAAACTCTGAGGAAGGAAGGAAGGAGGGAGGAAGGGAGAGAGGGAGGGAGGGAGGGAGGGAGGGAAGGAGGGAGGGAGGAGAACAGTAGGCTTCCATGTAAATTAAATATACATTTGTGGCTGGGCCCTGTGGCTCATGCCTATAATCCCAACACTTTGGGAGGCCAAAGTGGGCGGATCACTTGAGTGCAGGAGTTCAAGACCAGCCTGGGCAACATTCCAAAACCCCGTCTCTGGTAAAATTACAAAAAGTAACTGGGCATGGTGGTGTGAACCTGTAGTCCCAGCTACTCGGGTGGCTGAGGTGGGAGGACTGCCTGAGCCCAGGAGGTCTAGGCTACAGTTAGCCATGACCATGCCACCGCACCTTAGGAAGGTGGCAGAGTGAGACCCTGCCTCAAAAAGAATAAAAAATTGGCCAGGCGCGGTGGCTCACACCTGTAATCCCAGCACTTTGGGAGGCAGAGGTGGGTGGATCACACGAGGTCAGGAGTTCAAGCCCAGCCTGACCAACATGCAGAAACCCCATCTCTACTACGTGCTGGCGCATGCCTGTAATCCCATCTACCGGGAGGCTGGGGCAGGAGACTCGCTTGAACTGGGAGGCGGAGATTGCAGTGAGCTGAGATCATGTCATTGCACTCCAGCCTGGGCAACAAGAGCGAAACTCCATCTCAAAAAAAAAAAAAAAAGTATAACACACATACCAGAGTTCACAAATTTTTAGTGTGAACACAAATCTTTAATTTCCACCCCTATGAAGAAATACAATATTGACAGTGGCTCAGATGCAACCCTTCATGCAGTCATTACCCCTTGCCTCCTCCCCAATTAACTGCTGTCCTGACCTTCAACACCCCTAGCATGGTTTTGCCTGGTTCTGACTGGAGATAAGTGGAATCATACGGTATGTGCTCTGGCTTTGTTGGTGGAACATTATGCTTGTGAGATACATTCATGTTGTGTACAGCAGAAGGTCATTCGTGTTCATTGCTATAATGTCTGTTGTATGAATGTAGCATGCTTTACTTACCCAGTCACCAATGGATTGACATTTAGATTGTGTCTAGTTTGAAGGTACAAACAATTTATCTAAGCACACTGTCTTTTGGAACACATATGTGCTCATAATAAACAAGAGGGAAATAAATGGAACGATCGCGGGTGTATTAGTCTGTTTTTATACTGCTATAAATAAATACCTGAGAAATTGGCTGGGCGCGGTGGCTCATGCCTGTAATCCCAGCACTTTGGGAGGCTGAGGCAGGTGGATCACCTGAGGTTAGGAGTTCGAGACCAGCCTGACCAATATGGTGAAACCCCATCTCTACTAAAAATACAAAAATTAGGCAGACATGGTGGCACAGGCCTAAAATCCCAGCTACTTGGGAGGCTGAGGCAGGAGAATTGCTTGAACCTGGGAGGCAGAGGTTGCAGTGAGCTGAGATCGTGCCACTGCACTCTAGCCTGGGCGACAAAGTGAGACTCCATCTCATTAAAAAAAAAAAAAAAAAAAAAAAAAGGCCAGGCGCGGTGGCTCACACCTGTAATCCCAGCACTTTGGGAGGCCAAGGAGGGCGGATCGTGAGGTCAGGAGATCGAGACCATCCTGGCTAACACGGTGAAACCCCTTCTCTACTAAAAATACAAAAAAATTAGCTGGGCGTGGTGGTGGGTGCCTGTAGTCCCGGCTACTCAGGAGGCTGAGGCAGGAGAATGGCATGAACCTGGGAGGAGGAGCTTGCAGTGAGCCGAGATCACACCACTGCACTCCAGCCTGGGCGACAGGGCAAGACTCCATCTCAAAAACAAAAACAACAACAACAAAAAAAAAACAGAAAAAATGGAATAGAAACTTCAGTGACTACACAGCAAAAGGAATACACATTTTGCAAAAACAGTTTTAAAAAGTCAAACAGATGGCTCTAGCCCTTGACAAGCAAAACCCAGCAATCTCCAAGGAAAGGGTGAATCCAATTTCAATAATTAACATATTATAATACTCCAAAAGTCCAATTTTCAACAAAAATACTACAAAACATACAAAGAAACGGGCAAGTATGGCTTATTTATAGTAAAAAAAAGTTCTTTTGACAGAGACCATCTCTGAGGAAGCACAGACATTGGAATTACTAGTCACAGACATCATCGACTGTCTTAAATATGCTTTATGAGCTAAAGGAAACCATAGACAAAGAATAAATGGAAATCAGGAAAATGATATACAACCAATATACAAACAACATGAGAAAATCAATAAAGAGATAGCAATTATGAGGAGGCAGGGGAAGATGGCTGAATAGAAGCCTCCAGTAATCATCTCCTTCAGAAGAACAACCAGCTGAACAACTATCCACACAAAAAAGCACTTCATAAGAACCAAAATCAGGTGAGCGAACACAGTACCTGGTTTTAACTTCATATCACTGAAAGAGCCACTGAACGGGGTAGCAAAAATAGTCTCTTTTTTTTTTTTTTTTTTTTTTTTTTTTGAGACGGAGTTTTGCTCTTGTTGCCCAGGCTGGAGTGCAATGGAGTGATCTCGGCTCACAGCAACCTCCGCCTCCTGGGTTCAAGTATTCTCCTGCCTCAGCCTCCTGAGTAGCTGGGATTACACGCGTGTGCCACAACACCCGGCTAATTTTGTATGTTTAGTAGACACGGGGTTTCACCGTGTTGGTCAGGCTGGTCTCGAACTCCTGACCTCAGGTGATCTGCCTGCCTCAGCCTCCCAGAGTGCTGGGATTACAGGCGTGAGCCACCACGCCTGGCTTGAAATGTCTTCCTCACACTGGAGGAGATAAGCGGGAAGAATAAAGAGGTCTTTGTTTTGCACCTTGGATATCAGCTCAGCCACCGTAGGATAGCGCACCAAGCAGGGTCCTGAGGGCCCCATTCCAGGCTCTAGCTTCAAGGCGATTTCTAGAAACATCTGGGCCAGAAAAGAAACTGCTGCCTTGAAGGAAATAGCCCAGTCCAGGCAGGATTCATTACCTGCTGACTAAAGGACCCTTGAATAATCAGCAGCAGTACCCAGGCAGTACTCCGTGTGGGCCTTGAGTGAGACTCAGAGACACACTGACTTCAGATATGACCCAGCATATTCCCTGACGTGGTGACTACGGGGAGAGGCTCCTACTGCTCAAGGAAGCGGGAGGGAAGAGTAAAGGGGCCTTTGTCTGGCAGCTTAGTTACCAGCTCGGCCACAGTGGAGTAGAGCACCAAGTTGGCTCTTGGGGGTCCCTGATTCCAGGCCTTGGCTCTTGGATGTCATTTCTGGACCTACCTTTGGCCAGAGGGGAGCCCACTGCCCTGAAGGGAGAGACCCAGGCCTGGCAGCCTTCACACAAGCTGACTGAAGAGACCTTGGTCCTTAAATGAACACCGGCAGTAGCCAAGCAGTAGCTGCCATGGTCCTGGGGCAGTGGTGGCCACAGGGAGAGGCTCCCCTGCTTGCAGAAAAAAGAGTGGGGAAGATTTTGTCTTGTGGCTTGTGTGCCAGCTCAGCCACAGTAGAACAGAGTACCAGGTAGAGTCCCTAAGGTTTCCAACTCCAGGCCCTGGCTCCCAGATGGCATCTCTGGGCGCACCTGTGATGGGGGGCTCACACCACACTGAAAGGATGAACACAAGCCTGGCTGGATTTGCCGTCTGCTCCTCACAGAGCCCTAGGGCCTTCAGTGGACATAGGTGGTACCCAGGCAGTGCTGACCACGGGCCTTGGGGGAGACCCCGTGTTGGGCTGGCTACACGTCTGACCCAGCACAGTCCCAGCACTGGTGGCCACAGCAGTGCTTGTATCACCCTTCCCCCAGCTCCAGGCAGCTCAGCACAGAGAGACTCCATTTGTTTGGGAGAAAAGGAAGAAGACAAGAATCTCTGCCTGATAATCCAGAGAATTCTTCCAGATCTTATCCAAGACCACCAAGGCAGTGTCTCTACAAGTCTCCAAGGGCCACGGCATTCCTGGGCTTGGGGTGCCCCCTGATGCAGATACAGCTGCAGTGACTAAAGACTTAGATCGCAACACAAAAGTCTTTTCAATACCTGGAAAGCCTTCCAAAGAAGGATGAGTACAGACAAGCCCAGACTGTGAAGACTATAATAAATACCTAACTCTTCAGTGCCCAGAAATGTATGAACATCCTCAGGTAACAAAACCATCCAGGAAAACATGACCTCACCACAGAAACTAAATAAAGCCGGCCGGGCACAGTGGCTCATGCCTGTAATACCAGCACTTTGGGAGGCCGAGGCGGGCAGATCACCTGAGGTTGGGAGTTCAAGACCAGCCTGACCAACATGGAGAAACCCTATCTCACTAAAAATACAAAATTAGCTGGGCGTGGTGGTGCATGCCTGTAATCCCAGCTACTCGGGAGGCTGAGGCATGAGAATCGCTTCAACCAGGGAGGCGGAGGTTGTGGTGAGCCGAGATCGTGCCATTGCACTCCAGCCTGGGCAACAAGAGCAAAACTCTGTCTCAAAAAAAATAAAAAAATAAAATAAAAAATAAACTAGGCTGGGTGTGGTGGCTCACGCCTGTAATCCCAGCACTTTGGGAGGCCGAGGCGGGCGGATCGTGAGGTCAGGAGATCGAGACCATCCTGACTAACATGGTGAAACCCCGTCTCTACTAAAAAAACAAAAAATTAGCCGGGCGTGGTGTCGGGTGCCTGTGGTCCCAGCTACTCAGGAGGCTGAGGCAGGAGAATGGCGTGAACCTGGGAGGCAGAGCTTGCAGTGAGCCGAGATTGCGCCACTGCACTCCAGCCTGGGCGACAGAGCAAGACTCTCTCTCAAAAAATAAAATAAAATAAAATAAAATAAAATAAAATAAAATAAAATAAAAGCATCAGTGACCAATCATAGAGAGACAGAGATACGTGACCTTTCAGACAGATAATTGATTAGCTGTTCTGGGGTTGGGTGCAGTGGCTGGCGCCTGTAATCCCAGCATTTTGGGAGGCTGAGGTGGGCAGATCACTTGAGCTCAAGAGTTCGAGACCAGCCTGGGCAACATGGCAAAACCCCGTTTCTACAAAAAAAATACAAAAATTGGCCAGGCATGGTAGTGTGCACCTGTGGTCCCAGCTACTCAGGAGGCTAAGGTGAGAGGATGGTTAGAGCGCAGGAGGTGGAGGTTGCAGTAAGCCAAGACTGTGGCACTGCACTCCAGCCTGGGTGATAGAGCCAGATCTTGTCTCAACAAGAAACAAACAAACAAAAACTATATATATGGGTGGGGGAGAGAGAGAGAGAGAGAGAAGGAGGGGTCTGTTTTGAGGAAACTCAACAAAATTCAAGATAACACAGAAGAAATTCAGAATTCTATCAGATAAATTAAACAAAGAGATTGAAATAATTAAAAGAATCAGGCAGAAGTTCTGGAGTTGAAAAATTCAATTGACAAACTAAAGAATGCATCAGAGTCTCTCACCAGCAGAATTAATCAAGCAGAAGAAAAAATTAGTGGCTGGGCATGGTGACTGATGCCTGTAATCCCAGTACTTTGGGAGGCCAAGGCAGGAGGGTCACTGGAGCCTAGGAGCTTGAGACGAGGCCAGGTTACATAGCAAGACCCCTTTCTCTATCTTAGAAAAAGAAAAAAAAAGAAATAATTAGTGAACTTGAAGAAAGGCTATTTGAAAATACACAGAGGAGACAAAAGATAAAAGAATAAAGCATACCTACAAAATCTAGAAAATAGCCTCAAAAGGACAAATCTAAGAATTACTGGACTTAAAGAGGAGGTAGAGAGAGACAGAGGTAGAAGGTTTATCTAAAGGAATAATAACACAGAACTTCCCAAATCTACAGAAGGATATCGGTATTCAAATGTAAGAAGGTTATAGAACACCAAGCAGATTTAACCCAAAGAAGACTACCTGCCGGGCGTGGTGGCTCACGCCTGTAATCCCAACACTTTGGGCGGGCGGATCACCTGAGATCGGGAGTTTGAGACCAGCCTGGCCAACATGGAGAAACCCCATCTCTACTAAAAAATACCAAAAAAAAAAAAAAAAAAGCCAGGCTTGGTGGCACATGCCTATAATCTCAGCTATTCGGGAGGCTTAGGCAGGAGAATCACTTGAACCTGGGAGGTAGAGGTTGTGGTGAGGTGAGATCGCACCATTACACTCCAGCCTGGGCAACAAGAGCGAAACTCCGTCTCAAAAAAAGAAAAAAAAAAAAAAGAAGACTACCTCAAGTCCTTTAATAATCAAACTCCCAAAGGTCAAGGATAAAGAAAGAATCCTAAAAGCAGCAAGACAGAAGTAACAAATAACATTCAATGGCGCTCTGGCTGGGTGCAGTGGCACATACTTGTAATCCCAGCACTTTGGGAGGCCAAGGTGTGTGGATCACTTGAGGTCAGGAGTTTGAGACGAGGCTGGCCAACATGGTGAAACCTTATCTCTATTAAAAATATAAAAATTAGCCAGTGGGGTTGGGGAGGTGGCAGAGGAGGGGATGGATGGTTAATGGGTACAAAAATAATAATTAGAAAGAACAGCCGGGCACAGTGACTCATGCCTGTAATCCCAGCACTTTGGGAGCCCAAGGCGGGAGGATCACCTGAGGTCAGGAGTTTGAGACTAGCCAGGCCAACATGGTGAAACCCCATCTCTACTACAAATACAAAAATTAGCTGGGCAGAGGCAGAGGTTGCAGTGAGCAGAGATCACGCCACTGCACCCCAGCCTGGGCAACAGAGCAAGACTCTGCCTCAAAATAGTAATAATAATAATAGGCTGGGAGTGTTGGCTCATGCCTGTAATCCCAGCACCTTGGGAGGCCAAGGTGGGTGGATCACCTGAGGTCAGGAGTTCGAGACCAGTCTGACCAACGTGGTGAAACCCCGTCTCTACTAAATATAAAAAATTAGCCAGGCATGGGGGCGCGTGCCTGTAATCCCAGCTACTTGGGAGGCTGAGGCAGGAGAATTGCTTGAACAAGGGAGTCACAGGTTGCAATGAGCCAAGAATGCACCATTGCACTCCAGCCTGGGCAACAAGAGTGAAACTCTGTCTCAAATAATAATAATAATAATAATAATAATAATAATAATAATTAGAAAGAATGAATAAGATCTACTATTTGACAGCACATCCGGGTGACTAGTTGTACATTTTAAAGTAACTAAAAGAAGCCGGGCGCTGTGGCTCACACCTGTAATCCCAGCACTTTGGGAGGCTGAGATGGGGGACTGCTTGAGGCCAAGAGTTCTGTACAAGCCTGGTCAACATGGCAGAGACTATCTCTATTAAAAAGAAAAAAAATAACGAAAAGGGTGTAATTGACCAGTTGCGGTGGCTCATGCCTATAATCCCAGCACTCTGGGAGGCTGAGGCAGGCAGATCACCTGAGGTTGGGAGTTCGAGACCAGCCTGGCCAACATGGTGAAACCTTGACTCTACTAAAAATACAAAAATTAGTCGGACATAGTGGCATACACTTGTAATCCCAGCTACTCGGGAGGCCGAGGCAGGAGAATTGCTTGAACCCAGGAGGCAGAGGTTGCAGTGAGCTGAGATCACGCTGCTGCACTCCAGCCTGGGCGACAGAGTGAGGCTCTCTCTCAAAAAAAAATGTGTAATTGGATTGTAACATAGAGTAAATGCTTGAGGGAGTGGATACCCCATTTTCTATGTTGTAATTGTTACATATTGCATGCCTGTATCAAAACATCTCATAATGTACCCCATAAATATATACATCTACTATGTACCCACAAAAAATTAAAAAATTAAAAAAAAATAAAGTGCACGGGAGGGTATGCATAGGTTATGTGCACATACTAGGCCATTTTGTATTAGGGTCTGGGGCATCAGTGGGGGTCCTGGAAGGAATCCCCCACAGGTACCCAAGTGAGGACTTTACCTTTGTATATTACGCGAGTTTTCCAACAGAGGGCAGTAAAGAGTTGGAGGAAGAGGTGCCAGGTGGGCTAGGACTCTGTTTCACTCTGGCGACATTCTCACAGTCGAGCAGCTTCCTCAAGCGTCCCTGCGCATACAGCATGCCACATTGTTCACTGGGCGAGAGGGAACAGGCTGTGTCACCCCAACAGTCCCAAGGAGACCAGATGGGGCCAGGTGAAGGGTGATCACAAAGGGCCCTGGGTCAGTGTGCGATGCCTGCAGCTTGGCGGGGCTCCCCAAGCAGGTGTGGGGACATACCCAGCATCTCAATCTCTAGGCCCTGCAGCTCTGCCTTAATGGCCCCAAAGATCTCCAAGCCTCCAGCGAAGTTGGCCACAATGACTCCTGTGGTCCTGCTGTGAAGCCGCTCTGGAAAGAGAGGTGTTGGGGAGTCAGGCCCTTAACCGAGGTCGCCCCCAATCGTGTCCCCTCCCTAGCCCCTGGCCCTGTCCCTCCCATGGCCCCAGCCCCCATCCCTGTCCCAGTTCCATTCTAGATTCTGCTCTTGGCTGGACATCAGCTCCAGCCCCTGACCCTGACCCTGACCCCTGCCCCAGTCCCTATCCTGGAATTCTCCCAGCCTGGTCCTCCTGGCCTCCACCCATCTCCTTTGCCTCCTGCTCCAACTAGCTCAGGTTTCTACTGATGAGGATGATGTTCAGACCTCTCCAGTGGAGCTGCAGGGGATTCATTCATTAAGTCAACAAATAGTGACTGCCTGCTGACTGCCTGTTATACAATGTTGCTATAGGCACTGCCCATACAGAGCTGAGTGCCAGAGAAAAACAAAATTGCAAAGGCTCTGTCTGGCAGCTTAGAGGACAGCCCAGAGTCCAGTATTACTCAGTGAAGTGGCCAGTTGTCTATGAGCTCAGCGAGATGGACCCAGGACCAGATCATAGGGCCTCCAATGTCCCAGTAAAGACTGTGGTGTTGAGGCTGGGTGTGGTGGCTCATGCCTGTAACCCTAGCACTTTTTTTTTGTTGTTGTTGTTGAGACGGAGTCTCACTCTATCGCCCAGGCCGGAGTGCAGTTGCATGATCTCTGCTCACTGCAACCTCCACGTCCCAGGTTCAAGTGATCATTCTGCCTCAGCCTCCTGAGTAGCTGGGATTACAGGTGCGTGCCACCACACTGGACTAATTTTTGTATTTTTAGTAGAGACACGGTTTCACCGTGTTGGCCAGGCTGGTTTCGAACTACTGACCTCAGGTGATCTGCCTGCCTCAGCCTCCCAAAGTACTGGGATTACAGGCTGGGCATGGTGGCTCACTTTAGGAGGCCGAGGTAGGAGGATTGCTTGAGCCCAGGAGTTCAAGACCAGCCTGAGCAACGTAGTGAGATCCCATCTCTAAAATAATAATAATAATAATATACGATTTGGCTTTTATTCTCAGTGACAACAGAAGTCCAATAATTCAAGTGTTTGCCACTTCCTTCATTCATATCTTCATTCAAAATGTGTTTACTGTGCACCTGCTCTTTGCTAGTGGTGCTGGGGACACAGAGTGACCAGGACAGACCCAGTCTCACCCCCTCCCATGCACCCTCCACTCAGTAGCCAGAGGTTTCTTTTTTTTTATTTTGAGACAGAGTCTTGCTGTGTTGCCCAGGCTGGAGTGCAGTGGCGCAATCTTGGCTCACTGCAATGTTCGCCTCCCAGGTTTAAGTGATTCTCCCGCCTCAGCCTCCTGAGTAGCTGGAATTACAGGTGCACACCACCACGCCCAGAATGATTTTTGTATTGTCAGTAGAGACGGGGGTTTCACCATGTTGGCCAGGCTGGTTTCGAACTTCTGACCTCAGGTGATCCATCTGCCTTGGCCTCCAAAGGCCTGGGATTACAGGCATGAGCCACCGCACCTGACCCATCTAGGTATCTCTTGCTAAAGCACAAACTCGTCCCTGCCTCTCTCCTGCTTGGAACTTGCCTTGGCTCCCCAGGGCCCTTGGGACAAAGCCCTGCTCCTCATTCTGGCCCTGTGTGGCCTGGCTCTTGACTGAGTCTTCAGCTCTCCCTCCTGCCAAAGGCCCCTCTATAGCAGTCCATGCACAACAGACAATTCATCTCGCCCAAACAAGCACCCCCAGGATTTTCCTGCCTCTGGTTCTTTGCACATGCTATTCTTTCTGCCTTGAATGCCTTTCCCCTTGAAATGTGGTTAGCAAATATTTGTGGAGTGGGTGTTATTAGCATTTTGGTGCATGTCTGACCCTCTCATCCTGCACATCTGAGGGTGATGTGTTATGTGGGACCGAGTGCCCATCACCTTTGGAGGGAGGCTGTGCCCGAACGTCTCAACAGCTCCATGCATCTGAGAGGCTGATGCCGTGTGATGGTGTGAAGGCCATTCATTCATTCAACAAACAATTTGCCCAGTATCTACTCTGTGGTTTCCCTGGGTTAGCTGGCCCTGGCCAAGACAGCCTCAGCCCCGTCCTCATGGGGCCAACAGTCCAGTGGGGGTGACAGACCAGTTCCCAGGCAGTGATGACCAGAGTGGTCATCACTACCCAGTGACTTGCAACTAGCCACAAATAGTCTCTCTTACCCCAGTGTTGCCCTTCCCCTTGGGGGCTATCTCCTCCTCCCTTCTTACCTACTGCAGGACAATGGTCTGGCTTTTCTCCCACCTTTCCCCTGTATCACGACTTCTCCCTCTTCTGAAATACTCCCAGCAGCATACAAACATGCCATGACCCCTCCCATCTTCCCCATCTAGGTACTTCCCCAGTCGGTCCCTCCTTCCCTCCCTCCCTTCCTTCCTTTTTTTTTTTTTTTTTTTTTTTTTTTTGTTTGAGACAGAGTCTCGCTCTTTCACCCAGGCCAGACTGCAGTGGCGCTATCTTGGCTCACCGCACGCTCCACCTCCCGGGTTCACGCCATTCTCCTGCCTCAGCCTCCCGAGTAGCTTGGACCACAAGTGCCCGCCACCGTGCCCAGCTAATTTTTTGTATTTTTAGTACAGATGGGGTTTCACCATGTTAGCCAGGATGGTCTTGATCTCCTGACCTCGTGATCCACCAACCTCGGCCTCCCAAAGTGCTGGGATTACAGGCGTGAGCCACCACGCCCGGCCCCTTTTTTATTTTGAGACAAGGTCTCACTCTGTTGCCCAGGCTCGAGTGCAATGGCACAATCATGGCTCACTGCAGCCTCGACCTCCTGGGCTCAAGTGATTCTTCCATCTCAGCCTCACGAGTAGCTGGGACCACAGGCGCACACCACCACGCTCAGCTAGTTTTTGTATTTTTTGTAGAGATGGGGTCTCGCTATATTGCCCAGGCTGGTCTCAAACTCCTGGGCTCAATCAGTGCTTTCACCTTGGCTTCCCAAATTGCTGGGATTACAGGTGTAAGCCACCATGCACTGCCACTTCCCCATTTCTTACCATCCCACCCCTTCACTCAACATTGCAAAGAGGATGGTCTCTGGCTCTCCTTCCACACCCTCTTGTACCCTCTCCAATCAGATTCCCATCCCTGCCATGCCAAGGTGGGAAGATCCATTGAGGCCAGGAGTTCAAGACCAGCCTGTGCAAAATAGTGAGACCCCACCGAAAGAAAGGAAGGAAGGAAGGAGGGAGGGAAAAAGAAAGAAAGGGGCTGAAAGCCAGGCCTGGCTAGTGAGCTGGAGTTTAAGGAGTGAGGGAAGCTCTGTGCTCCAGGGCTGGAAGTCCACCATGAGACCACTAAGCTGCCACTCTCCCAGGCAGCTCAGCTCCTCAGGGACTCTCGCTAAACTCATTGAAAAGGGAAGTCCTGACCAGGTGTGGTGGCTCATGCCTGTAATCCCAGCACTTTGGGAGGCAGAGGCAGGCAGATCACAAGGTCAGGAGTTTGAGACCAGCCTGGCCAATATGGTGAAACCTCATCTCTACTAAAAAGAAAAAAAAATAGAAAAACTAGCTGGGCATGGTGGCACGTGCCTATAATCCCAGCTACTCAGGAGGCTGAAGCAGGAGAATTGCTTAAACCTGGGAGGTGGAGGTTGCAGTGAGCTGAGATCTCGCCACTGCACTCCAGCCTGAACGACAGAGTGAGACTCCATATCAAAAAAAAAAAAAAAAAAAAAGAAAAGAAAAGAAAAAGAAAAGGGAAGTTCTGGGAGATCATCCTCTTTGAATTGTGATCCACTCGCCCTAGGTGTGGAAGGGGAGCTGGAGGGAGTGCTCAGGAGGGAGGAGATGCTGGTTGATCCGCACCTACTTTTTTTTTTTTTTGAGACAGAGTCTTGCTCTGTCCCCTGGGCTGGAGTGCAGTGGCGCAATCTTGGCTCACTGCAACTGCTGCCTCCCGGGTTCAAGCGATTCTCCTGCCTCAGCCTCCTGAGTAGCTGGGATTACAGGCATGTGCCACCATGCCTAATTTTTATATTTTCAGTAGAGACAGGGTTTCACCACGTTGGCCAGGCTGGTCTCGAACTCCTGACTTCAGGTGATCTGCCTGCCTCGACCTCCCAAAGTGCTGGAATTACAGGCGTGAGCCACTGCGCACAGCCAATAATACAATTTTTTTAAAGCTCACCTTTATCTGGCCCCTTCTGGTACTGCACTCAGCACCCCCCTGCCCCACAACCACCCCACACTTCTCCATTCTAGGTGGAGAGCAGAAATCATCTTCTTCTGTTAAACAGGTTATGGTCCCTTTCCCTTCTGCCTCAGGGCCCTCGCATATGCTGTTCTCCCTGTCTGCAACTCTTCACCCTACTCCCATTTCACCTACTTCCACCTTCCGGGCTCAGCTCCAGCACCACTCATCACTTCCTCTCTCCCGCCCAGATTAGGTCAGGTGGATCCCGCTCCACCTTCATAAAGCTCCTTTACTTCTTCATGGCTCTAATCATGGTGCCAAGAAAATTGTATCTAAATTATAAATTATGGCTGGGTGCAGTGGCTCATGCCTGTAATCCTAGCCCTTTGGGAGGTCAAGACAGGAGAATCCCTTGAGCTCAGAAGTTCAAGACCAACTTGGGCAACATTGTGAGAGCTCGTCTCTATTTTATTTTTTAAAATTAATTATTTTTTATTTATTTTTGAGATGGAGTCTCACTCTCACCCAGGATGGAGTGCAGTGGCATGATCTCAGCTCACTGTAACCTCCACCTCCTGGGCTCAAGCGATTCTCCTGCCTCAGCCTCCCGAGTAGCTGGGATTACAGGCATGTGCCACCACGCCTGGCTAATGTATTTTTAGTGGAGATAGAGTTTCACCATGTTGGCCAGGCTGGTCTAGAACTCCTGACCTCAGGTGATCTGCCTACCTCGATCTCCCAAAGTGCTGGGATTAAAGACATGCGTAACTGCGCCTGGCCTATTTATTTTTGAGACAGAGTCCTGCTCTGTCGCTCGGGCTGGAGTGCAGTGGCACGATCTTGGGTCACTTCAACCTCTGCCTCCAGGGTTCAAGCGATTCTCATGCCCCAGCTCCCTGAGTAGCTGGAATTACTAGCACGTGCCTCGGCCTCCCAAAGTGCTAGGATTACAGGCGTGATACATCGCCCAAAATTTTTGTATTTTTAATAACTACAGGGTTTCACCATGTTGGCCAGGCTATCATCTCTATTTTTAAAAATTAAACTATAAATTATGATTACTAGAACTATCTATGAGAACATCTTATTACTGTTTCTCCCACTGGACTGCGACCTCTGTGAGGGCAGGGACTGGGTGCTATACCCCTAGCCGCAGCACAGGTCAGGTACCCAAAACGTGTGTGTTGAATTAATAAAATACGAGTAAATACAGAACCAGGGCAAAAATCTAGGGCCCCTGATTTCCCAACTACAGCTTCACCTTCCATAAGCCAGGCATGGAGGTCTCGGGACCCCCATTCTCAGAGAAATCAACCAACTCACCCTTAGCTTAGATAGGGAAACAAAAGGAACTAACCATAAGGGTAAATGCTTAAGAGTTTTAATCAGTCCGCCATAAAAAGCTCCTCCCCATTCTCCATCTTGGGGGCTCAGATCTTGGCTTCGGGTTGAGATGAGGGACAGGGATATCAGGCTGGGAGAGGAGAGTAAATATGAATGCGGCTGAGGGACCAGAGCTGGGATCGGAAGAAAACACAGGTGAAAAGGAGCAGAAAGAGACTGCTAACCCCAGTCCCTGAGCCAAGTCAGAAATCCAAGTCCTTTTATAGCATCCAGGAGCCAAATGTAGTGAAATCCACACATCATATCGTTCTTATCTGCAAAGTGCTGTCATCTGGCGCTGAAAGCACCAGGACTGGGCTGAATTGGGCCCGAAGTGCCTGAAGGGTGTCACTTTAGGTCTGGAGAGTCAAGAGGAGACGCCACCTTGGCCTACAGAGTTGAGAGCGAGCATCATCTTGGCCTGGAGGGGTGTGCAGGAAATGCCACCTTGGTCCAGGGAGTTGGGAGGAAGATCCCCTGCCTTGGGTTAAGAGGGGCCATCATTTTGGGCCTGCAGAAGGAAGGAAACCATGGGGAGTCCCCAGACCCCAGGATCAGGGAGGTGTAAGTAGGATGGAGACAGTAAAAGAAAGCAAAACCTATCCCACGACACTGCTGGACTTGGGAAACAGAAATCAGGCTGAGAGGGCGGGGCTAAGCTCAAAGGGGAGGAGGCAGGAGGCAGATGGGAGAACAAAAAGTAGAACCAGCACACGGAACCAGGGCCAAGCTTGGGCAGCAGAACAAGGACCCAGCTGGCTAGGCGCAGTGGCCCACGCCTGTAATCCCAGCATTTTAGGAGGTGAGGCGGGTGGATCACCTGAGGCCAGGAGTTCGAGACCAGCCTGGCCAACAAGGTGAAACCTCATCTCTACTAAAAATATAAAAAGTAGCCAGGCGTGGTGGTGCATGCCTGTAATCCTAGCTACTCGGGAGGCTGAGGCAGGAGAATCGCTTGAACTCGGGAGGTGGAGGTGGCAGTGAGCCGAGATCACGCCACTGTACTCCAGCCTGGGAGACACAGTGAGACCCTGTCTCTAAAAACAAAACAAGGACCCAGCCTAGGGTGAAGGCAGTTCTGGAAGTGGAGCTAGGATGGGAGGCGTAGCCAACTGAGTGAAGGAAGACGGCAGGGAAGCTGTGCCACATCCTGGGTTCTTGTGGGAAGAACGGGAACAAGCTCCCCACCATAAGCAGAAACCAAACTCAGAAAGGCAGAGCAGAGCCCAGTGTGTGGTGGCTCACACCTGTAACCCCAGCACTTTGGGACGCCACAGTGGGAGGATTGCTTGAGCCCGGGAGTTTGAGACAAGCCTGGGCAACATAGTGAGACCTTCTCCCCTCTTCAAACCGACAGAAAAAAATTAACCGGGCAGCTGGACGTGGTGGTGCAGGTCTGCAGTCCCAGCTACTCTTGAAGGCTGAGCTGGGAGGATCACTTGAGCCCAGGAGGTCGAGGTTGCAGTGAGCAGTAATCCCGCCACTGCACTCTAGCCTGGGTGACAGATAAACACCCTGTCTCCAAAAAAAAAAAAAAAAAAAAAAAATTGGTGAGCCCCCAGGGTGGAAACAGATTAAGGAGCAACTATGTAACAAAGGCTGGAGCCAAGCCCCAGGGGAAGGCTCAGAACCAGGCGGCAGGGTCAGGATCGGGAGAGGAACCAGATCTAAGGATAGTGGGGCCCTGGTCTCCGCAGTAGGGGTTGAACTATATCCAATATAAAGCATTATCCAAGGGGACCGGATTAGCCCCCATGGGTGACACCAAGATGGGAGCGGGGGTGGGGGGTGATAAGAGACACAGGAGACAGAGTCAGGTCCCAGAGGCAGCAAGGCCTACCCCCAAATTGCAGTCAGGTTGGGAAGTAGAATCATGGCTAGGCCCGCGGCCCCGGGTCTTTCTCAGGCTCGGTCCCTGGCACGCCGCGGATGTCCGGCAGCAGGCGGCAGCCAGCCACGATGTCCAGACGCTCGGCCAGCGCACAAAGGTCCCCGCGCGCCAGGCGCACGCTGTGGGCCGCCGCCAGCCCCGCCGCCTGGGCTGCCGCCAGCCTACTAGCCAGGGCGGCCACGTCGCGGCCTGCACGGCGGTAGACACCGCTCACGGCGGCCGCCACGTCGTGGTCCAGCCGCGCCTGGCTCTCCGCCAGCCGAAGTTGCAGGAGCGAGCGCGCGGGGGCGGGCGCCGGGGCCTCCTCCGTGCCCCAGGCCTCCTCCGCCGATTCCCGCTGCACCACGAGTGGAGGCAGGTCCCTCGGCGCGGCCGTCGGTTCCGGCTCCGGCTCCGGCTCCGAGTCGGTCTCCGCGGCTTCCCCAGCCACCCGCAGCCCCGTGGGGCGGCCGCGCGTCGGGCCCGAAGGACCCAGGTACAGCTCCTCCTCCTCCGACGAGGACGCAGAGCGCTCGGAATCCGTCTCGGTCGCCTCCCCCGGCACCACCGTCTCCGGCCTCCGCAGGGGCCTCCGCCGACGACCCTGGGACGCCATGGCACCGAACTAGGGGAGAAGAGCGAAGGGACTGCACGTGAGACCGGCGCCGCGGTGGGTAAAAGGCGCAGGTCCTGGATTCCCAGCCCCTTCGCTGATTCTCTTAACGACTTGGTGTCAGCTGCTCCCCGTCTGGGCCTCAGTTTCCTCTTCTGTAAACTGGGTGATGATGGGGGTTACTGGACCCCAGGCTCTTCAGCGTACAGATGGGGAAACTGAAGACCAGCTCGAACAAGGATCTGGGGCCCGAGTTCCCGGAGTCCCAAGCCGAGGTCTTTACGAATTTGCCTCCTAGTAGAGGCCACACCCTCCACCTGGTCCACCATGCCAATCTCAGACCCGGAAGCACACGGGCCCGTGAGCTGCTCGGGACCAGCGCCAGAGTCGCAGAAAGGATGACAGTCCGACTGGACTCTGCTGGGGGCACTCATGGGATGGGAGAAGCGCTAACGCCAAAGACCGTACCCGGCAGCTGACGCTCGGAGCTTGCGAGATCCGCTTCCTAACCCGAGTGCTGCGTTCTCACCGTGGCAGCTGAAGGGCTGTGATTTCAACCAATAGGGGAGCGGGTTGGGCGGGCATTAGCGGCCAAGTCACGTGGATTCGCCCGGCTACCAATCAGGAAGCAAGTTCTCAGCATCAGCTTTGAGTGAGCGTGCAGAAGAGTCACATGAATGGAGGAACCGCCAATAGAGAAACAGCTGGGCCGGCTCTTCCAGGTTGTGCGACGAGGAAAGTCTGGAGTGGACCAATAGGGATTTTAAAAGCCGAGTATGTCACGTGTAACCAGTAATTTGGCCAATAGGAATGCTCGAGAACCCGGAAATAGGGAAGGGACGGCAGTAAGAGCAGAAGATGTTGCCACATGTGGCCAGAGAAGGCGTAGGCCCGCCCCCTAGTGTCCCAGGCTCACGCGCACACCACCTGAGTCCGGGGCGGGGAGGCGGGGCTAGTCTAAAACACCAATGGAAGCCGGAGTAGGAGGGCTCGCGCCATGACGCAAGAGGCGTGGCTTACCAAGCCTGGCCAATGAGAGCTGGAAGCGCTGGGCGCATCTTTAGGCGTGCGAGGAGGGGGCATGGCGGATACTGTGTTGTTTGAGTTTCTTCACACGGAGATGGTGGCTGAGCTGTGGGCTCACGACCCCGACCCCGGCCCGGGGGTGAGCGCCGGGCTCCGTGGGGAGGAAGCGGGGGCCACCAAGGTAACGCCTCTGGGAGAGCGGAGGGCGCGTCAGGCGTCCGGGTTCGAACCCGGCCCAGCCCCGGCCTTGCAGGGCAACGTCTGGCCCTGGCTTCCTCCTTTGGAAAGTGGCGTTCGCGACGGTGCCGGCTCGGGGTTATTGCTAAATTGAGCGCGATGATTCAGGGTAAAGCACTTAGCTCAAGGCCTGAGTAAGCGGCTAGTAATCATAATAATGCTGTTATTGGGCGTGTGCTGAGGACTCGCCTCCCCCACTTACTAGGTGTGCGACCCAATGACTTAATCTTTGTGTGTCCTAGTTTTCTCTTTTGTAAAATGAGTATCATAACGTACCTAAGCCTCAGCGTGGGACATTTATTTATTCGACACCCACTTATTGAGCGTCTGTTGTATTCCAGGCACCGTTCTAAGACAGAATCCCTTCCTTGTGAAGCTTACATTTCACTAGGGGAGTCAAATAATAAAATGAAATATGCCGGCTGGGCGCTGTAGCTCCCAGCACTTTGGGAGGCCGAGGCCGTCGGATCACCTGAGGTCAGGAGTTCAAGACCAGCCTGGCCATGGTGAAACCCCGTGTCTACAAAAATTAGCCGAGCATGATGGCGGGTACCTGTAATCCCAGCTACTCGGGAGGCTGAGACAGGAGAATGGCTTGAACCTGGGAGGCGGAGGTTGCAGTGAGCCAAGATTGTGCCATTGCACTCCAGCCTAGGCGACAGAGCGAGACTTGTCTCAGGAAAAAAAAAAAAGAGATAATGGGGTTTTGCCATGTTGCCTAGGCTGGTCTTGAACCCCTAGGCTCAAGTGATTCTCCCGCCTGGGCCTCCCAAAGTGCTAGGATTACAGGCGTGAACTACCGTGACTGGCCCGGGACTGTGTGTGTGTGTGTGTGTGTGTGTGTGCGCGCACGCGCATCCTGCTCGGTCGCCCAGGCTGGCTGGAGTGCAGTGATGCAGTCATGGCTCACTGCTGCCTCGACCTCCTGGGCTCAAGCGATCATCCCACTTCTCAGCCTCCCAAGTAGCTGGGACCACAAGCGCTGCTGGCGCCACCACACCTGGCTAATTTTTTGTATTATTATTATTTTTTTTAGTAGAGACGGGTTTTCACTGTTAGCCAGGATGGTCTCCATCTTCTGACCTCGTGATCTGCCCATCTTGGCCTCCCAAAGTGCTAGGATTACAGGCGTGAGCCACTGCACCCGGCCAATTTTTTTTTTTTTTTAGTAGATACGGGGTTTCACCATTTTGGCCAGGCTGGTGTCGAACTCCTGACCTTGTGATCCACCCGCCTCGGCCTCCCAAAGTGCTGGGATTACAGGCGTGAGCCACCGCACCTGGCCATGTAAGACATTTTTATTGGCTCTGGTTTCCTTCCAGGGTTAGAAGCCCCAGGGAGGATGTTGCTTGTTACCATCTCGATATACAGATACAAACCTGTCATAAGTTTAAAACATCATAAATCAAAAATGCATTTAGCCAGATGTGGCGACTTGCACCTGTAATCCCAGGTACTCAGGAAGCAGAGGTGGGAGGATCACTTGAGGCCCACCGTTCAAGACTAGCCTGGGCAACATAGCAAGACCTCACCTCTAAAAGAAATTTTTATTTTTATTTATTTATTTATTTTTGAGACAGAGTCTTGCTCTGTCGCCCAGGCTGGAGTGCAGTGGCGCAATCTTGGCTCACTGCAAGCTCCGCCTCCTGGGTTCACGCAATTCTCCCGCCGCAGCCTCCTGAGTAGTTGGGACTACAGGTGCCTGCCACCACACCCGGCTAATTTTGTTTTTTTTTTTTGTATTTTTAGTAGAGATGGGGTTTCACCATGTTAGCCAGGATGGTTTTGATCTGACCTCGTGATCTGCCCGCCTCGGGCTTCCAAAGTGCTGGGATTACAGGTGTGAGCCACTGTGCCTGGCCAAGAAATTTTTAAAATTAGCTGGGCGTGATGACACATGCCTATACTACCAAGAACTCGGGAGGCTGAGGTGGGAGGATTGCCTGGGCCCAGGAGTTCAAGGCTGCAGTGAGCTATGATCATGCCACTGCACTCCAGCCTGGGTGATAGAGTGAGACCCTGTCTCTAAAAAAACATGGGGATTACTCAGTGAACCATCAAAAATTTTTGGACTCTTGGAGCTTTGTCATCATTGGAGGAGACAGACAAGTAAATGAGTAAAGTGTCTGGTACATTGTGTAACTGCTATGAGGAAGATACAGCATGGCCCAGGGAGTATGCATCAGCCTGGGGGTGGGTAATAATGTCCCAACACTCCATATCCTTCCTGGCTTTCAAACGAGAAACCCTGGAGTCCCAACACCTGCCTTGTCTCCCTCACCTGCAGCCCTCCCCCAGGCTCTGCCCAGTCAGTCTAAATACCTTTCTCACGTGGCCCCTCCTCTGCCCTGGTCCAGTGCTTTCCGCTCTCCTGTGAAATGAGCCTGCTCCCTTCTCCCAGCCCATTCCACCTGTCACATCTTCACCATGCTAACAACTATTAATCCTTCAGATCTTAGCGTAACAATCCCTTCCTCAGGGATGCCTTCCCTGAGCCCCCAGTCAAATTTGGATCTCCTTTATACATTCTCCTGGTCTCCCTCTCGCACTTTTTTCTTGGTAGGCTTCATCATACTCAATAAGGATGTATTTGATTTTTTTTTTTTTTTTGAGACGGAGTCTCGCTCTGTCGCCCAGGCTGGAGTGCAGTGGCGCGATCTCGGCTCACTGCAAGCTCCGCCTCCCGGGTTCATGCCATTCTCCTGCCTCAGCCTCCCGAGTAGCTGGAACCACAGGTGCCCGACACCACACCCGGCTAATTTTTTTTTTTTTTTTTGAGACAGAGTCTCGGTCTGTCCCCCAGGCTGGAGTGCAGTGGCGCGATCTGGGCTCACTGCAAGCTCTGCCTCCCGGGTTCACGCCATTCTTCTGCCTCAGCCTCCCGAGTAGCTGGGACTACAGGTGACTGCCACCACGCCCGGCTAATTTTTTGTATTTTTAGTAGAGACAGAGTTTCACTGTGTTAGCCATGATGGTCTCGATCTCCTGACCTTGTGATCTGCCTGCCTTGGCCTCCCAAAGTGCTGGGATTACAGGTGTGAGCCACCGCGCCTGGCAATTTTTTTTTTTTTTGTATTTTTAGTAGAGACGGGGTTTCAATGTGTTAGGCAGGATGGTCTCGATCTCCTGACCTCATGATCTGCCCACCTCGGCCTCCCAAAGTGCTGGGATTACAGGCGTGAGCCACCACGCCCGGCTGATTTTTTTTTAAAGAGAGTCTTGCTCTGTCACCCAAGCCGGAGTGCAGTAGCATGATCATAGTTCACTGTAGCCTCACACTCCTGGGCTCAAGTGATCCTCCCACCTCAGCCTCCTGAGTAGCTAGGAGTACAGGTGCACACAACCATACCCTGCTAATTTTTAAATTTTTTGTAGAGATAGGTTTTCACAATGTTGCCCAGGCTGACCTTGAACTCCTGGGCCCAAGCGATCCTCTGGCCTCAGCCTCCCAAAAACTCACACCTGGGATTACAGGTGTGAGCCAGCACGCCCTGCCAGGATGCGTCTGAATTGTGTATCTGTATGATCCTTTAATTCACATGCGTCTCCCCCAGCCGGAGTGTACTTTGTGCGGGATGGGCCTGGGTGTGTATTGATGACCACTGGATGTCCTGGCTCGTAGTGGGTCCTCAGTGTGGACGTGTTGAGGAGGTGAATGCAGAGCCTGTGCCGTGGCAGGTGGGGATGGGTGGGGACTGGGATTCATTTGGCTTATGAGCAGTGCTAGCTCTTCCCTCCCTCCCCTCATATGAGTGCTTCCTGTGTGCACTCATGGCTTCTCACTCTTGATTTCATTTGATCTTCTGATGACCCAGAGAGGTTGGCATGGTCCTCCCCGATTTACAGATGAGGCGGCGGAGGCTTTGATGGACGGAGTTCCTTGCTCTCAAGTGGCAGAGTCAGGAGCGCGACCAGGCCTCCCACTTCCAAAGCCTGTGCTGTAAACTCTCACTTGCATTTCCCAGCATTTGCCCTGGGAAGGATTTTAATGGGTTTCTGTGGTCAAGCGAGTGTGGGAAACTGGCTTACTCAGCTCTGCTCACCACCAGCCTTTCAGAGCACACGAATGTGCCTGGGACCTTGGGCAGGGGTTCCCTACCCAGCTGCCACTACATTCCGATGCTGGAGTCCCACACCAGAGACTCTGACGAACCCGGTTGGGGTGAGGCCTGAGTGTCAGGCCTCAGAAAGCTCCCAGGTGGCTCTCGCTGCAGCTAGGGGTGAGAACTGCATCGTTTCCCCTCACTCCTTCCTCCTGGGGAGCCCCGTTTTTCAGGGGGCCTGTCATGAGAAACGGCTTCCTCAGTCCTTTCTCTTTATTGGCCCCACCTCCTCTCTCCATTCCTTCTCTTTGGCCCAAAAGGGTTCCTCTGAACCAGACAGGCCTCCCGTTTCCTGAGGGCGTCTGTGCAGTACTTGCACAGTGTTGACTGCATTTAGTCCTCAGGACAGCCCTCCCGATTCACAGAGGAGGGACCCTGTGCTTGGTAGAGGAAGGGATTTCGAGGTGGTTCAGCAAGACTCAAAGGCAAAATTAGAACTCAGGCTTCTGGCCCCAGGGCTTCTGGGTAGCGCAGGCCGCCTTTCCCACCAGCTTCAGAGCTCCTTGAGGACAGGGATGGTGGCTCCTTCATCTCTGTCCCCACAGCACAGGTGCCCAGGAGCCACAGCCAGTGTGTAGGGCTTTTGTGACCTCCTATCCTGCCTGGTACGGTGGTTATTTGTGGCCATTCTCCTGGGCTGTCACAGGTTGTGAACTGGAGGACCGGCCAGAGGGGCCAGGAAGGCCTTTGTTCTCTAAGGAGGAGAAGCCCTTGGAGGAAGCAGCCGTGGCTTTTCTACCTCAGAGGCTTTGAAGACAAGGGAAGCCTTTGGGCAAAGAGAGGATTCCCCTGAGTGCATGTAGTAAAGAGCTAAGGCGCTGTCACCCATTGTCTGAGACCAGGCCCGAGGCGCCCCGAGAATAGCCCTGCTGCGCCAGGCCTCCATCCACCACACCCCGAGAGTGCACTTGGGCAGCCCCTTATCTGAGGAGGGTGTGGGGCGGGCGGAGCGGCTGTCAGATAGGTCCCTGCCCGGAACACCGTCCTGAGCATCTGTGGCTGGGAGCTCCAGCGAGGCCCTCCTGGGAACTGGGGCTCCATCCCGAAGGCAGTGGGAGCCATAGCCGGGTTTAAACTGAGGTGCGCCTGGCTCAGATTTACATTCTAGAAATGTCTCCCTGGCCACAGGAATGGACTGGATGGAGATTGGCCTGGGAAGGGCCCCGCTGTTGCAGGAGCTTAAGGCAGAGGCTGTGGTGGGCTCAACCTTCCGGGCTGGGCCAGGGGACAGGATGGGGAGTTCTGAGTGGGCAGAGGCAGGATCTGGACTTGCTCAGGATGCCTTGCTGGACCAGGGAGGAGAGTTGAGGGCAACAGCAGGGAAGTCCTGCAGGCTTCTCGCACCCACCCCTCACTCACCCATCTGTGTGCCAGCACTTCTGTCTGTGTGCTTTTCTTAACCAGGGCTGCTCCTTCCCTGGGTTCCCCACCACACCCCTGGGCCTGGCACAGAGTGGCTCAGCAGGTGGGCGTTGAACAGGGTCAGCCTCTGCCCAGGAGCTAGCAGGTGCCTAGAGAACAATCGAGGGGTAGGGCAGACACAAGAGACAGGAAGGGGTGGAGCACATGGCCCCCACCCGCCTCCCTCCCAGTTCAGGGCAGAATGTTCTCTTAAAGGCAAAATTAGAACTCAGGCTTCTGGCCCCAGGGCTTCTGGGTAGCACAGGCCGCCTTTCCCACCAGCTTCAGAGCTCCTTGAGGACAGGGATGGTGGCTCCTTCATCTCTGTCCCCACAGCACAGGTGCCCAGGAGCCACAGCCAGTGTGTAGGGCTTTTGTGACCTCCTATCCTGCCTGGTACGGTGGTTATTTGTGGCCATTCTCCTGGGCTGTCACAGGTTGTGAACTGGAGGACCGGCCAGAGGGGCCAGGAAGGCCTTTGTTCTCTAAGGAGGAGAAGCCCTTGGAGGAAGCAGCCGTGGCTTTTCTACCTCAGAGGCTTTGAAGACAAGGGAAGCCTTTGGGCAAAGAGAGGATTCCCCTGAGTGCATGTAGTAAAGAGCTAAGGCGCTGTCACCCATTGTCTGAGACCAGGAGCTCCCAAGTGTCTAAAGGGGCTTTGGTTTGCTTTTTCCGTTCATCCTCCTTGGAGCTCAACCCCTTGGCTTCAGTCTGGACGTGTGAATCTTCCTTTAGCTCAGGACATTTTTCTCCTGTGATCTCTCTGATGATTTCTTCTCCTGCATCGTTCCCTGTATGTCCTGTAGGCACCACAGGGAATATTAGACTTCCTGCATCTCTTCCAAGCATCCTGTAGCTTTTCTCTCATTTTTTCCTCCCTCCTGTTTTTCTTCTGGGAGGTGTTATCTGTCTTACAGGTTTCTCTGTTATTCAGTTCCCTTGTTAAAAAGTGTTGATTTTGGCCACCATATTTGTTCATTTCCAGGAACTCTGCTTTGTGTCTGATTGATCCTTCCTGTGTGGTGGATGTCATTAGCACCGACACTGATAAGACTTCCCTTCCACCTTTCCTTTCATCCGGTCTGTGTGTAAACTCAGCAGAGGCAGGCGTGGGGAGCCCCAGAAATGCACCGGCTCTGGGCTGGGCTCTGGCAGATTCATATGAATGGGAGAGTCTCTGTCTGGCCAGCCCTTCTGTTTTGTTTTGTTTTGTTTTGTTTTGTTTTGTTTTGTGACTGAGTCTCGCTCTGTCACCCAGGCTGGAATGTGTTGGTGTGATCTCAGCTCACTGAAACCTCTGCCTCCCGGGTTCAAGCGATCCTGGTGGCTCAGCCTCCTGAATAGCTGGGATTATAGGCGTGCGCCACCACGCCCGGCTAATTTTTGTATTTTCAGTAGAGACAGGGTTTTGCCATGTTGGCCAGGCTGGTCTCAAACTCCTAACCTCAAGTGATCCTCCCGCCTTGGCTTCCCAAAGTGCTGGGATTACAGGCAAGAGCCCCCGCGCCCAGCCCCTTCTGTTTTTAAGAAAGATAAACCCCTAACCTCTGAAGAGCTTTTGCAGTGACATGGGCATGGACACCACCAGGTCTCGCTGTGATGAGGTGGGTGGAGGCTTCTCCCTTCCTCCTCCGCCCTTTCTTCCCTGCCTCCTGCTCCTCCTCGGCCCCTCCCTTTTGCTGTGATTCCCCACAGCCCTTTTCAGTTCAGCCAGGATCTGAATGGCCCCTGTCCAGGGCTGGGTACAGTGGGGCCAGCAGTCACACAGCCGTGTATCCAGCTGTTGCCACCTGCCAGTCACACCACCACTGTGAGCAGGTACTGCCATTAGCCCCATGGCACATGTGGGGAAACTGAGGCACGGGATGGTTGGCTAATCTGCCCAAGGTCACAGAGCCAGTGAGTGGCGGGGCCGAGATTCAAACCCAGGCAGTGTGAAGTTCATGAAGGGAAAAGCTGAACTTGCTGGAACCCCTTCAGACTCCACGCTCCTGGCCTGGCTGAAGGACCCTGCTGACTCTCTCCCCCAGCTCACCCCTCCGGGGGCTGCCGTCCTGGCTGTGACCTGGGCCTGGTGTGCCTTCACAGCCCACTCCTGCTGTTGAACTCCCCCTCTTCCCTCAGGCTCAGCACAGTCGGGGTGCTTCCTAGGGGTGGGAGTGCACCCTCGCAGCACACCTGCCTCCCTCTTGGCAGTCGCTGTGAGCATAGTGAAGCCGGCCATTGCACCTTTGCCCATTCCCCGGGTGAAACGCCAGCTCCAGCAGGGCAGGGACTGAGTCTGTGGCCCACTGTGGCTGGCATTCAGGCAACGTGGCCTGCGTTGACCCTCAGGTTGGCTGCACTTGCCTGCAGGGGAAAATGCCCCCTCTGCAGCCCACTCTGAGGGCCCCTTCCCTTCCCCGCCTCTCACCCCTGCCTTGGCACATGCCCTTTGCTTGGAATACCTGCCACCTCCGGCCCCCTCCTGGAGGGCAGGCTCTGCACTGCACTGCCCGGGCCCCTTGCACTCAGTCTCCCAGCCCTTCCCAGATTGTCAGTTGGCATCATTTGGGCACCTGTCAACCCTGCCAGGCAAGGTAGGTGAGCTCCTGGAGGACACTAGGAAATGTCTGTGGCATGAATGAGGGAGGGACATAAAGGAGCCCTTAGCGAGTGGGGACACAGACGTGTTCCACCAGAGTGCAGCCTGGCCCTGCCTCTGGGAGCTTTGCTGTGGACACAGACGTGTTCCCTCAGAGTGCAGCCTGGGCCCTGCCTCCAGGAGCTTCGCTGTGGGAGGAGGTGACACGGGAGCCGCAGCTACCAGGCAGCGAGCTCTCGCCCGGGCTGTTCTAGGTGCTGGCTACAGGAGCCCACAGAACAGACCCCCTTCCTTCCTGGGGTTCTCCTCCAGCCAAGGGCTTCATCCCTCATTGGCTGGGGCCGTCTCCTTGTTTGACAGATGTGGAGGCTGTGAATGCAATAAGTAAGGCTCCCGGAACTGCCTTGAAGTACTCAGGTTGCCTTTACCAACCCTTACTCCTTGTGAGGATCCTGGAGGTAGCTGCCATTAATATTCCCCTCCTTTGGGCTGGACGCAGTGGCTCACACCTGTAGTCCCAGCTACTTGGGAGGCAGAGGTAGGAGGATCACCTGAACCCAGGAGGTAGAGGCTGCAGTGAGCCAAGATCGTGCCATTGCACTCCAGCCTGGGTGACAGAATGAGACCCTATCTCAAAAACAAACAAAATGACCCTCTTTTTTACATGAGGAAACTGAGGCACAGGTATTCAGCCATTGGCCCAGGTCCCACACTGGTAAGTGCTGGGGCGGATCTGGACCCAGGCGGTGGCTCTGCACCTGCGCCGCTGGTAGTGCTGCCATGAAGGACCCACGGGCAGGGGTCTCTTCCCACTCTGTCTCTCACACACACCTGCCCGTCTCCTGCAGTCATCGGCCCCTTCCATGAGCCTCTGCTGTGTGGCCGGCCCTGCTGTGCCTGAGGACACTGGAGGAAAGCAGATGGTGACACCAGAGGGAGACAGTGCAACAGGAAGCCGTGTCGTTGTCACCCATGAGGGCGAGGCCTGGCAAGGGGCCAGGCAGAGGAAGGGCCACCTTGGCTTCAGATATGGGCGACCTCAGCTCAGGCCCCCCCGCCATTCCCAGCGCTCCTCACCTCCGTGAGGCCCTCAACAGCCATGGCTGTCACCCCACCCACCCTCCTATCTGGACCTGCTGGGGTGTGAAAGACAGTCCCGTGCTGAGGGTGCCTTGGATGGGTTCTTCTTAACCTCAGAGCCCCTGTTTCCACCTGGAATTACAGCCTTCTGTGAGGCTGGAAAGGTAAAACAAGAAGGCTGTAGAAAACGCCTGCCACACAGTATGCCGGTCCTGGAATAACATTTTGTTGTGACATTGATGAGGAAAAAATAATGATTCCCGGGACCATTGTCTGGGTGGTGGTTGTGGGTTCTCCCTGTGCTGGTGCAAGTTCCTCTGGGCTCTCCTTTCCTTGTGCATCCTTGGGATGTGTCCGCTGGGTGAGCTCCCGGGTCTCCGTGGGCCCAGTGTGAGTGAGTGTGGGCCCGTGTGCGCCCTGTGATGGGATGGCGTTCTGTCCAGGGTCCATTCCTGCTTTTGGCCCTGCCAGGACGGGCTCTGGCCACCCAGGACCCTGAGCTGGAGGAAGCGAGTAAATGTCTTACTGGTTTTTTGTTTTTTATTTATTTTTTAAGACAGGGTCAGGGCCGGGCGCGGTGGCTCACGCCTATAATCCCAGCACTTTGGGAGGCCGAGGTGGGTGAATCACGAGGTCAGGAGATCAAGACCATCCTGGCTAACATGGTGAAACCCCGTCCCTGCTAAAAATACAAAAAAATTAGCTGGGCGTGGTGGCGGGTGCCTATAGTGCCAGCTACTCAGGAGGCTGAGGCAGGAGAATGGCGTGAACCCGGGAGGCGGAGCTTGCAGTGAGCCGAGATTGCGCCACTGCACTCCAGCCTGGGCGACAGGGCGAGACTCTGTCTCAAAAAAAAAAAAAAAAAAAAAAAAAAAGACAGGGTCTTGCTGTTGCCTGGGCTGCAGTACAGTGGCATGATCATGGCTCACTGCAGTAGCGACCTCCTGGGCTCAGATGATCCTCCTGCCTCAGCTTCCCAAGTAGCTGGGACACGGGTGCATGCCACCACACCTGGCTAACTTTTGTATTTTTTGTAGAGAAGGGGTTTCGCCATGTCGACCAGGCTGGACTCGAACTCCTGGACTCAGCTGGGCGCGATGGCCCACGCCTGTAATCCCAGCACTTTGGGAGGCCGAGGTGGGCAGATCACCTGAGGTTGGGAGTTCGAGACCCGCCTGGCCAAAAGAGAAGAAACCCTGTCTCTACTAAAAATACAAAATTAACCGGGCGTGGTGGCTCATGCCTGTAATCCCAGCTACTGGGGAGGCTGAGGCAGGAGATTCACTTGAACCCGGGAGGCAGAGGTTGTGGTGAGCTGAGATCGCGCCGTTGCACTCCAGCCTGGGCAACAAGAGCGAAACTCCGACCTCCCAAAGTGCTGGAATTACAGGAGTGAGCCACTGCGCCCGGCCTAATCTTTCTTAAACGTATGTATAGCTCACATTTATTTCAGTGTTTAATATTTCAAGTGTTTTCATCCTTATTTAGAAGTTTGGTGATGTGTTTGTACCAGAAATATGGCATTGGAACTTCACTCTTGTTTATGTTAATTAACCTGCGTGAAATTGGTTTCATCATATGTCATTTTGCTTAAAGCCATAGTTTCCAAGAGCCTGTTGACAGCATTAGGTAAGGACTTACGGTGTCCTTTGTTGATGCACGTTGTCTCATCAGCCAGTCTGTTAAGCACCACCCACATGCCAAGCTCTGTGTTGGCTGCTGAAGGCCGGATGTGAATTGGTCAGCCTGGGTCCCCACCTTCACAGAGCTGTGTCCTCATCCAGGGACAGTGTGCAGTGGGCAGGGCTGGGGACGCAAGCTGGGAGGGAGGAAGGGAAGGAAGTCGGTACAAAGGCTCAGAAGTCTGAGCGAATGTCCTCAGGGGGCAGAGGAGAGGGTGAGGGAGGGATGGAGGCAGCTGGGCCCGCAGGCTGCAAGAAGCCTTCCTCGGACACGCTCTCCAGGCTGGGAGACCCGCTCCAGGGCTGGAGCCAAGCAGAGAATTCGCATCCCCATTCGGATGGCTGCGCTGATGGTGCAGCCCTGGAGGGAGGAGGCGGTAGCTGCCATTCCCAAGGGAAGGTGGGGGTCAAGGGCAGGAGAGGGAGGGCTGCAGGGCTCAGGCCTGGTGACTGCAGGCTCCTGAGAGCAGCCAGCGGGAGGGTGAGCTTCCTTCAGCTCAGGGCTGCACACCTGCCGCCTCTGTTCCCCCACTTCTGCTCTGCCAGGCTTTCTCTGAAAAACCTGGCGCCTCACGCCCCAGCCGTCCTGGGATTTCTGGTGCCCCCCAGTCTGGGCCTCCTCCCTTCCTCTGCTTGCAGCAAAACACCCGAATGAAAAAAAAAAAAAAAAAGATCCATGGCCAGGTGCAGTGGCTTTTGCCTGTAATCCCAGCACTTTGGGAGGCCAAGGCGGGCGGATCACTTGAGGCTAGGAGTTTGAGACCAGCCTGGCCAACATGGTGAAACCCCATCTCTACCAAAAATACAAAAATTAGCCGGGTGTGGTGGCACACAGGCCTGTAATCCCAGCTACTCGGGAGGCTGAGGCAGGAGAATTGTTTGAACCCGGGAGGCGGAGGTTGCAGTGAGCCAGCATTGCACCACTGCACTCTACCTAGGCAACAGAGTGAGACTCTGTCTCCAAAAAAGAAAACTCGCCAGGCGCGGTGGCTCACGCCTGTAATCCCAGCACTTTGGAAGGCCGAGGCGGGCAGATTGCCTGAGCTGAGGAGTTCGAGACCAGCCTGGGCAACACAGTGAAACCCTGTCTCTAATGAAATACAAAAAATTAGTAGGGTGTGGTGGCGTATCCCTGTAGTCCCAGCTACTCTGGAGGCTGAGGCAGGAGAATTGCTAGAACCCGGGAGGCGGAGGTTGCAGTGAGTCAGAGATTGGGCCACTGCATTCCAGCCTGGGCAATGAAGCTAGACTCCATCTCTTAAAAAAAAAAAAATCCATGAGCATCTCCTCTCCTCCAGCCATGCCCTCCACACACACAGGCACGTGGACAGACACCGAGTGCAGCCCTCCTACCTGGGGCCTGCCTCTGCCAGCACAGTCCCCTCCTGTATGGACCCTGGCCTACCCTCCAGACACTACATGGCAGCCACTGTCCTTTTCGAGCACCCAAACGAAGATCTGCCTGTCCCGAGCTTCCACGTGTTCCCCAGGGATCTTGGCCAATATTATAAGGCATGATGATCATGGTTGACTTCCACAGCCCCCTTTCCTGTGGCCCAGCCTCCAGCCCTTGGGCAGGTCACCTGGAGCATCTTGGTGGAGTCGCAGCGCCCACTTCCCAGGGCATTGTGAGGGTTCGCGCTGAAAGCACGTGCAGCCTGTCATGGGGGTTATCAGGAAAAGTCATGGAGGAGGAAGGGAGCCTGGGGAAGACCCCCATTGTTCCTGAGGGAAGGGGGAGCTGGTTCTTGGGGGCTGATGATCTGGGGATCCAGAGAGCCTGCAAGGTCTGCAGAGGTGGGTGAGGGAGCCCCAGCACCCTAGAGGCCTGCCCCTGCCCTGGCCGGGCTGTGCCAGAGCCCCTCCCTGCTCACCCCTGAACTGACGAGCACCAGCAAGTTGGTCTTTGGGTCCCCTGGCAGGTCCCCCCCTGGGTGGCCCCGGGTTCGTGGTGGCTAAGGGCCCCTGAGCATCTCTCCCCTGGCCTTCTAGGGACAGAAGATGAGCCTGTCGGTCCTGGAGGGTATGGGGTTCCGTGTGGGCCAGGCTCTAGGCGAGAGGTGAGCGCGGCCCCTCCTGCTCTCCCCCAGCCTGGCTGGCAGGGCTGGGCAGGCCCCGGGCGGGGAGGGTTGCATTGCTCCATGCAGGAGTCGGGCCTGTCTTCCTCCCTCTTCCTGGCCTGGCCCCACGGCCTCAGCTTGGTACTGCCCCACCAGGCTGCCCCGGGAGACGCTGGCCTTCAGGGAGGAGCTGGATGTCCTCAAGTTCTTGTGCAAAGACCTGTGGGTGGCGGTGTTCCAGAAGCAGATGGACAGCCTGCGCACCAATCACCAGGTGGGAGCACCCCGGCCTGCCCGTCCAGCTTCCTCCTGAGGGCAAGACCAAGAGAGTGGGAGGGGAATCCCCCGGCGCCAGAGCAGCGGCTGCCGGGACCCGCCCAGAGCTTTCCCACAGGCGGCCGCAGCTCTTGCTCTGTCTGATCCTCTAAGGGAAGCCAGGAGGCTGCGCTGGGGCATAGGGGGTGTTTCCGGAACTTCTCCAGCCTACCAGGAGTGAGCCATGCATGGGCAGAAAGCCCCTGGTGGCTGCCTGCCCTACCCCCAGTGTGATGCTGCTTGTCCCAAGCTGGTCTAGTCCCCCAGTGACACCCAGGCTGTACCTGCCCTTCTGCATCTTCCTGGGCCGGGTCCCCAGCTTTTCTGCACAACCCTGGGAGGCGAGGGCAGGACCCACACTCCCCAGGGCACAGGCACCCACTCCAAGTTTGGAAGCCCTGGGCCCTACCAGAGCACTGGAGGCCAAGGCTGTGACTCCAGTGGTTCTCAGGAAGGGGGCCTTCCCAACCTCAGCCCAATCTAAGACCTGGGTTCCTGCTTACCCTCCCTGCGCTTCAAATGTACAGGCCCCGACCCCACCCACCAGCCTCTCCTCTCCCCCAGGGGACCTACGTCCTGCAAGACAACAGCTTCCCCCTCCTCCTCCCGATGGCCTCTGGCCTGCAGTATCTGGAGGAAGCACCCAAGGTATGGGGGGAGCTGGGGCCTTGTCCACACCTCCCTTCCTCCTGTTTACCCAGCCCCATCCCACATCAGGCCTTTCCCCAGGCCTAAGGGGTGCCCCAGACCTCGGGTGCTGGCCTCCCCTCTCTTCCCATGCTGGTCTGTGTTCCCTCCTCAGTTCCTGGCCTTCACCTGCGGCCTCCTGCGCGGCGCCCTCTATACCCTGGGCATTGAGAGCGTGGTCACCGCCTCCGTGGCAGCCCTGCCCGTCTGTGAGTCATGGGGGGTGGGGGGATTCTTCTCATCCCTTGAGTTGCTGGGGGCTTCAGAGTTCCAGCCCCACTCCTGTGTGTGTGCCTGGGAGGCAGGCCCAGTTTTAAGTCACCTGCTCAGCCACACGGCTGGTGCAGGCCCATCTGTGCCCCTGGCTCCGTGACGTCGCCAGCCCTGCAGAGAGAACTGTCTGGCGGTTTTGAACATCGTTTCCCAGCATGGGAGCCGAGGTGGACGCAATAGAAGTTATCCTCACTGATCCTTCGATGGGGGCGACGGCAGGCTCCAGGGAACTTGCAGCCTGCCTGACTGGGTGTCCTCTGTCAGACAAGCTGGAGCCCCATTCCTGCCTGGGGACAGCCTGCCCCACCACCTCCCCCACCTTCAGTTATTTTGCCTCTGCCGGTTCCCCAGGCCCACTCATGGGGGCCCCCGGGGCCCCCGTGGGGTAGGACCGAGCAATGCATACCACAGAAGCCCGTGCCGGGCGCTTCCCTGGGGCCACATCCGTGGCCCTCATGCTCCTGGTTACTCACACAGCTCAGGGATGCGGCCCCGTGGGCGGGAGGAAACAGCCCAACCTAGCCACTGGGGTGTCAGTGCAGGACGGGGGTGAGCGCCTAAGAGCCGTCCAGGTGCCCTCTGCCTCCCCCATCCCATCCTCAAGCCTAAGCCAGGCCTTCTCTTCCAGGTAAGTTCCAGGTGGTGATTCCGAAATCCTAAGCCTGCCTCGCACCTGCTGAGCCGCACTGCTGCCCCTGGCCTCACCGGCCTCAGGAGACGGTGGGGCCGCTGCATTTCGGGGTGGTCTTGGGAATCCCAGGCCCTAGGGGTCACATTTGCTCAGGAAGTGGGTATCAAATTGAGGTGGGGGTGTCAGAGGAGGCAAAGGGGTCCCAGCTGCGGTCAGGACTGTGGTGGGATTCCCGCCTCGGCAGCGTCACTGCCCAGTAGCTGCTCAATAAAGGCTGTGTGTGTGGAATCTGACTCAGAGCAGTGGGGGAGGATCTGTGGACCGACTGTCACAGGTCCTGCAGGGGAGTGGGTACCCTCTCTGGCTCCCATGCCCCTCAGACCTTCCCTCCCCTGCCACGTCCCCCTCCACTCCCTCCCTCCCCGTGCTCCTGGCAGAGGGATGCTGGCCTCCGGCATGGGCGGCCTTACTGGCACCTCTGCCAAGTCAACAAGTCTGGGGCTGCCCTCTGCCCGGCGATGTGCACAGAACGGAGCGTCTTCCTGGGGAGCAGGGCTGGGAGTGCCCGGAGTGTAGGCCAGGTCGGGCTGGGGCTGCCAGGGCTGGGGATGCATGGGGTAGGGGGAGGCCAGACACCCCCATGGACACACGCGGCCCCTACGCACTCCTGCTGCCCGTCCCTGGGCAGAGTGGCCCTTATGCTGCCCCCTCCCACCCCGCTCGCATCTGTAGCATCTGGGGACTCCTGGGCTTCGCCGCCCGCTGCCTGACATGGGTAAGTGCCCCAGGCTCAGAGCTGCCCACCAAGGCTGGGGGTGAACCCCAAATGGGATGAGAAAGGGGCCCCTTGCTAAAGAACCTCCCCTGTAGAGTGGGGTCCAGTCACCCCGTCAGGCCCTGCCTGGGTCACCCCTTCCTATTCCACCTGGCTGAGTGTAGCTGTGTCCTGTGTCTGCCTCTGCAGTGCTGCCCGCCTGGCCCACTCCCCAAACGCCTGCTCCCCCTAGTGTCCAGCAGCCTCCTGGCCACTGTGCTCCCAGCCCGGGGCAATCTCGTCCTGCGGAGACGGCTCATTTACATTGGGCCACGCTTCATGATCGGGCCGGGGGTGTGGGGGGTTGGCACGGAGGCCCACTGCAGATGCCCACGCTCAGATGCCAGCCCCGCCTCCCTGGTGGGCCAGGGAGGAACCTTCCCAGAGCAACCGGCTTGAAGGGTGGGGGAGGAGACGGGGTCCCAGGTCGCAGGAAGGGCCCTGGCTCTGGCCGTAGGGAGCAGTGTTTGGTCACCTGGGCAGAACTCAGGGCTGGGTGGGTTCCCTTTATCTTGTCCTGGGCACTGTTCTGGGGCTGCCTCCCCCATCCCCATCGGAGCACCCCGTCTGTCAGGGAAGCAACTGTTGACCCCGTTACGCCAGCAGCCACAGGGAGCCGGGGCCCCAGAGAGCCGAGGGGCCTTCAGGGCATCTCCTGCCCAGCCTTACCCCGGCCCTCACCCCTCAGAGGGCATCTGTGGGGAGGCAGTCACTGAGTGCTGGCCCCGAGGGCAGGAGACAGAGCCTTGGCGAGCCTGGGAGTAGCAACCACTGACTGCTTCCAAATCCCCGCCCTGCCTCTGTGTGCCCTGGGGCCGAGGACTTCACTTCTCTGGGCCTCAGTGTCCTCATCTGTGAAGCGGGCATCACACCTGGCCCCCTGGGTGGTGGAGAGGAAGACGGGGCTATGGTGTAGCAAGCCTTGATGTGTGTGCTGTTGCCCTTGTCCTATGGACATCCATTTAGAACAGCGCCAGGTAAATGGGTCAGCACAGCCCCGGGTCAGGTGCGCCAGGCCCTGAGCTGAGGGGACTCCCACCCAGTGCCTCCCTCGCGACAGCCACGAGAGGCAGGTGCCCACTCAGCAATGAGGAAGCCATGGCTCGGAGAGTGAAGTCACCTGCCCAAGGTCACATACCTGGGCCACGGAGGAGCTGGCATCCCAGCTCCCTGTCCCCCCCACACCAGCAGAAGTGCCTGGGCCTGTGGCTGCCTTAAGGAGATTGAGGCAGTGCTGCGGGATGCATCTCCGTTCCTTACCAGGGATGGGGACACAAGACTGAGTCCAGTCGGAGTCCCAGTCCTCGAGAGCAGAGAGCACTGGGACAGGCAGGCGCTGGGGAAGGGGCGGGGACAGGCAGGCAAACCGGTCAGGCGGGCACTGGGCTGAGGCCTCCATCTGGATGGGCCTGCGCTGACAGTCCGGGCTGGTGTGGCAGCTGCTCGTGGGGCAGGCAGCTGGGGCCGTGAGGCCACCGTCAGGTACGAGTGGGACTGGGACTGGGGGTGGGGAGTGGTGGGCAGGCTACCAACTCTCAGCACCCCAGTTTCCTCTGCCCCTCAGCCTTTCCCTATCCCTGTCCCCCACACAGCATCCTTCCCTGTCCTGCTTTCGGCTCTTCACATTGGAAACGCGGTACACCCATCTTGCCCGAGTTTGCTGAGCCTCTCCCCAAATTGGACCACCGCGATTTCATTGCTCCCTCACAATTCCCCCTCCACCGTATCATTCAATGCCCACAGGTACCCAGCTCTGATTTTCACTCACCCTGCTTCTCATCTGCTCTCCAGCTCACCTCACTAGCTCCATGTCCTTCCAAAGCGTGCCAGCCTCCCACAGCGCCCACACCTTAATGACCCCTTGGTCACTCAGCCACCACACCGGACCCCCTATTTCCCCAGCCCATGTCTGCTCAGCACTCCCCAGTGTCCTAGCCTCTTGGAAACTCCCAGGAGCTTCCCAACACCCAGCCTCAAATTAACCCCTAGCCAACCCCAGCGGTTCTCCGTTCCCTCCTCTGGCCATCCCTCCTTATCCTGCCCCTCACTGTACCCTGAAGGCCACCTCTACCCCCTTCTCCCAAGTGACCTAGGAACCCAGCATCTGGGACTTGGCCTTTCCCCTGTCCAAGCTGTCGGGCAGGGCAGGGACCCTGACCTCAGCTCTCTGCTGTTCGTGCCCCAGAGGCTACGCCAAGCCTGTGTGCTCCCTCCTGCCTCAGGAGCAGGCCCCCAGCACCCAGCTGCCCGGCTGCCATGCACAAACATTACAAAGTCCACTTCGCCAAGGATGCCCAGAGCCCCAACGGGCACTACTTCTGGGACCCAGAGTTGGGGCACCGAAAAGGTACGGGTTCAGTTTGGGGGCGGGTGATGGCCGACAGAGGCCTGTGAGGAAGCCAGAGTGAATGGAGGAACAGAAGGGGAGCTGTCATCCCCAGGAGAGAAAAGCCACTTGCACTCCACCCAGAGGCATCTGTGTAGCAGCAGGGCCTGGGACCCAGGACCCGGACCACAGGGCCTGCGGGCCCAAAGATAGGAGCCTGGGCTGGAGTTGGAAGCAGGGGCCGCCTGGCCTGCCCTGCCCCGTTTCCAAACCCTGAGGCCTGTGTGGATGGCCTCCAGCCTGGAGGGGAGCAGTGTGCTGGGAGTGAGGGGTAGGAGAGGGAGCCCCCCCACTGAACATGTCTGGATGAGGCTGGGCCCAGTTTCTGGTGGTGACCACAGGTGATCTTGTTCAGGGTGGGGAGGGGGCAGTGCCCTCCCACTGGGGCTGATTCAGCCTCCTCAGGGCTAGGGCGAGGGCTGGAGCTTCCCAGGTCACCACCCTTCCTGCCACCCTGGCCCGAGCTGGGGACAAGGTCCACCCCCCACCCAAATCCCTGGCCTACCCCTCTCCACGCCACCACCCATCACTCCGGCCTCCCTGGGCCAGCCAGGGCCAGCTCCCAATGGATCTTCTCAGTTTCCCTGACCCCTGCACTGGCGGCACCCCCCAGGGATCCAGGAATCTGCTGTGGCAGGCACCAGCCTCCATTGAAGCCCCAACCTCAGGCGTCCTCTCTCTGCCCCCAGCTGAAGTCCAAGCCTGCACCTTCCCTGCTCCCCCGCCATGGGACAGCACAGACCCTGGGTCCCTCCCCTGCCCATACCTCCCCCGCACATAATCTTACTTTTTGAGGGGTTTCTGGGGCTCCCAAGAATACTCTGGCCCCCAGGTTCTACCTGAAGACTTGGTCTGGCTTGTGCCGGTGCCCCCGGGGGTCGGGGACACAGGCCCAGTCACCCCCACTTCCTTCCTTCCAGGATGCTGTCATCAGTGGCGCCAGGACTCAGCGGCCCTCCGAGCCCATGGGCCCTGTCGGCCTTCCCCCCAATCACACTGGCAGCTGGCCTACCACAGCCACCAAGTGGGTGGCAGTGGCTGGCGCCGGGGCCTCCTGCCCTCCGTCCTGCAGCAGCAGCGGCAGCCCCAGTCCCAGCCCTCACCTCCCAGCCCCCTGCGGCAGCGGCTCTGCCCCATTCACGAAGCCCAGAAGGGGCTGCCTGCAACCTCCACTGTCCCCAAGGAACCTGCCAGCGCCCCTCAGGCGCCCACCTTACCCACCACGGCACCAGCCATGGCCAGGAGTGGCCCAGCTCTACCCTCCGCGGCTGGCGTCCTCCTGAAGCCCAGCGAGCCCACTGATGCCCGGCCCCTGCCCGCCCCAGCGGCCTGTGGCTCCTTCACTGCCTACAGCTCCGGTGCTCACCCTGGCCTTCTTGGGGGCCCTGTCCCCACTCCTGCCGCCTCACTTCCCACCTGCTCTCCTTGCTCCCTGCCTAGCATCTTGCACCTGCCCTCTTCATCCACACCCTGTTCCCTATCTAGGAGGGGTGCGTCCCTGGCCATGGGGCTCAGGCTGGCTGCCTCAGCTTTGCCTGTTGGGGTCCAAGGCTTCCAGGCCAGGCCTGCCCCGTGCCTCCATCCTGCGCCAGGCAGTGAAGGCCTCCCTCTCCTTCCCCCTTTCCCTCTGCCGACACCCTGGCTCTGCTCTGGTCTCTTCTCAGCTCCCTCCTCTGGCTCAGCAGGGTACAGGGTACATGGGGCAGGGATGGTGAGCCCTGGGTTGTTGGCTGGCTCTGGCGTTGGGGAAGACAGAGCTAGGGAGTAGCCTGGGGAACGGAGAGCAAAGGTCAGCAATGGGAAGACCCACTTGCTTGCTCTCTCCCTCCCTCATTCACTCCATGACTAGGTATCCAGCACCCTGAGCGTGCCAGACCCTGTTCTAGGGGCACAGTGGGGAGTGGGATCAACAGACATCTCTTGTCTTCATGGGGCTCACATTGCATTGCAGCCGGGGGCAGGTACAGGAAACATGGAAATTTAAAAGTGGCTGGGAGGCCAGGTGCAGTGGCTCATGCCTGTAATCCCAGCACTTTGGGAGGCTGAAGCTGGTGGATCACCTGAGGTCAGGGGTTTGAGACCAGCCTGGCCAACATGGTACAACCCTATCTCTACTAAAAGTACAAACATTAGCCAGGTGTGGTGGCTGGCGCGTGTAATCCCAGTTACTCAGGAGGCTGAGGCACGAGAATCACTTGAAACCGGGAGGTAGAGGTTGCAATGAGCCGAGATGACACCACTGCACTCCAGCCTGGGTGACAGAGCAAGACTCTGTCTCAAAAAAAAAAAAAAAAAAAAAAAGTATGTCTGGGCGCACTGGCTCATGCCTGTAATCCCAGTAGTTTGGAAGGCTGAGGCAGGAGGATCGCTTGAGGCCAGGAGTTCCAGACCAGCCTGGGCAGCATAGTTATGCCCTGTATCTACAAAAGATAAAATAAAAAATTAGCCCAGCATAGTGATGCACGCCTGTGGTCCCAGCCACATGGGAGGCTGAAGAAGGAGGATCCCTTGAGCCCCAGAGTTCGAGGCTGCAGTGACTTATAATTGTGCCGCTGCACTCCAGCCTGGGTGACAGAGCAAGACCTTGCCTCGAAAAGTATGCCACTCGGTAACAACCACACTAGGTAAAAATAAAGCAGGGACAGGAGATGGGGGATGTCAGGGTTTGCAGATTTAAATCGGGTTGTCAGGCTGGGCCTCATTAAGGCAGCGTTTGAGCAGAGACCCTGAGGAGGCATGTTCCCGGGCCAGCAAGGAGCCAGTACTTCGGCTTTTGCCCAAAGGAGGCAGGAGCCGAGGATGGATGTGAGCTGACAGGATCTCCAGGAGAATGGGCTATGGGAGGAGGACGGAAGCAGGTGGCCGAGGGAGCAGGAGATTGCAAAAATCCAGGCGAGAGGTGCGGCAGCCTTGCCGGGGTGGCGGCAGCAGAGGTGGAGACGGCTGGGTTTCCAGGTCTGGATTGAAAGTAGAGCAACAGGGACTTTAGGTCGGGCACAGCCCTGTCACCGGAGCCTCAGGGCTACGATGTCTATTTCACACACAGGGAAGTAGAGGGTGGATGAGGTGGGGCCACCCAGTGATCTGGCAGAGCTGGAATTAGACCCGCCTACCCACACCTCAGTAGAACTACTCCTGAGTCTGCTTCCTGGCCTCCTGGCTCTGCCGCCAGGTGTGGCCCGTTTCCTACAGCCCACCAGGCCTCTCTGAAAGTGGCTGTGTTACCCCCACTGTGCACCACAAAGCTGGCCCCATGTGTCCCCCCAAGACTGAACCCTACCTTTTTGATACCCCATTTCCAGGTCCAAGAAGCAACCCTCACTGGGGGACAGGGTGCCCTCTGCAGAGTGGATGCCGTAGTGCCAGTGCCTGGTCCCCAGGGCCCTAAATGGCCACTGGAGACCATGACATTGACCAAGGGCCCGGCGCTGGCCAGACCCTTTGGCATTCCTGCTCCCTGGTGTCTCTGCTGCCCCACTCTTCAGAGGGAAATGAGCCTCTCAGAGGTGGCTCTCCCTGGGGTCTGCAGACAAAGGCGGTGGGGCTGGGACTGGAGCTCCAGTCTGGTCATCTCTCTCCCAACCCTGGGCTCAGGTGGGATTAGTGACTTGCCAGCATGATGGACAGGACGGTGGGAGGAGCCTGCGGCCCAGGGCCTCTCCATGCTCTGGCCGGGCCAGCAGAGCAGGCAGGAGTGGCCTGGAGTCCTGCTGATGGTGGAAAGTGGTGTCTTGGCATCTGAGGGCCTCGTATCCCAAATAAAGGCCTTTGGGATTTTCCCCGGGGGAATCACGGGCTAGTGACCAAGCAAGCCTGGTGACCTAGGGCCAGGAAAGCTGACTTCCCGCAGCCTCAGCCTCTGGTGTGTGGCTGGGGGGATTCCAGCCTCCCAGCCTCAGCCTGGTGGGACCCAAAGGGGCACAGCTCGCCCTGGAGGTGAGGGCCACTGATGGCCACAGAAACCTCCACTGCAGGGTTTGACCTGAGTCCCCTTTGCACAGGGTGCCAGGAAGGGGCTGATAGTGGGGGCCATGGAGGGCAGATGGGAGGAGGGTGGTGCCTGGCCAGTGGTCCTGACTCAGTGTCCCCACTCCCAACCACCAGACATCCTGACAGAGGATGACGTCTACTGCAGCTGCCTGGCCAAGACACTCTGCCACGTGCCGGTCCCTGTGACCGTGGGTTTCTATGCCCCTTTCGGCTGCCGCCTGCACATGATGCTGGACAAGATCACGGGTGAGGAGCTGTGTGTGTTTGTTGGGGGGAGGATGAGAAACAGGGCCTCTGGTCCCCGCCCAGCTCCAGGCTTCCCCCAGATCCCCCCACCCCTGTGGCCAGCCTGCCCCAGCCCAGGCCCTCCCCAAGCCCATGCCTCTACCCCGGGCTCTGCTTCTCTGGCCTCCTGGCTGCCCCCAAGTTTTACCCTTCCCTGCTTCTGCCACCAAATCCACTCCAAGGACTCTTTCTGAAGGACAGATCTGACCCTGTCCCTCCTGTGCTTGGTGCCTTCCATGCTCCCCAGCACCTGAGGCAGAAAGCCCAGGCTCTTTATTGAGGCTGCAGGCTCCTGCCAAGCCCCTACTGGCCTCTGTGCCACCCAGACCCACCTCTTAAGGCTTGGTGGTCACAAAGTACCTGATACATAGATGCCAACTGAAGACATGAACTGCAACCCGCCAGGTTCCCCAGCAGCTTTTTTTTTTTGAGACGGAATCTTGCTCTGTCTCCAGGCTGGAGTGCAATGGTGCGATCTTGGCTCACTGCAACCTCCGCCTCCCGGGTTCAAGTGACTCTCCTGCCTCAGCCTCCCAAGTAGCTGGGATTACAGGCGCTCACCACCACGCCCAGCTAATTTTTTGTATTTTTAGTAGACGGGGTTTTACCATGTTGGCCAGATGGTCTCGATCTCTTGACCTCATGTGATCCGCCTCAGCCTCCCAAAGTGCTGGGATTACACATGAGCCACTGCACCTGGCCTTTTTTTTTTTTTTTTTTTTAAATGGAGTCTCACTCTGTCGCCCAGGCTGTACTGCAGTGGCGCAGTCTCAACTCAGTGCAGCCTCCACCTCCCAGGTTCAAGCGATTCTCCTGCCTCAGCCTCCCAAGTAGCTGGGACTACAGGTGCCCACCACCAAGCCCGGCTAATTTTTGTATTTTTAGTAGCGATGGGGTTTCACCGTGTTGGCCAGGCTGGTCTTGAACTCCTGACCTCATGTGATCCGCCCACCTCGGCCTCCCAAAAAGTGCTGAGATTACAGGCGTGACTCACCGCGACTGGCCTCCCCAGCAGCTTTGATCTGGATCAAGCCCTGCTGGAGCTCAGACCTCAGCCCCACGTGGGGCCAGAGGGGCTGGGACTGACGTTCCTCCTACGTGTGCCCAGCCCTGGTGCAGGCCCAATAGCCTTTCCTTCCTGTACTGACTGTCCATTGAGCACTCACTGTCCTGTCCTGTGTTGTCACAGGGTCCCGGGAGGAGAAGAGGATATAAAGAACAGAGAGTCCCTACTCCTCCTGCTGGGTGCTGTAGACACTCCCGCTCATTCACTCTGTGACCTCAGATTTCTCATGATCTATTGTTCAGGCATTCCCTAAGCACCTTCTGGTGCCCAGGGGACACGGTGACCAAGACAAGCAGGACCCTGCCCTTCCGGCTCACAGTCCAGCAGGGGAGAGAGACTTGTCCTCAGACAGTGATGACCCAGAGTAGGAATGGCTGAGGGCCCCCGACCCAGCCTGGGGATCAGGGAGGGCTTCCTGCAGGAGGAGCAGTTAAGTCAACAAGATAAGACCGAGGGTGTATCCTGCTGCCTAGCATAGCTCCTCCTCAGCATCTCATTCATTCATCCCTTACACCGACCACTTGTCCCCTGCCCCACTCTCAGAACCTTCCCGGTGCCCTCCACACCCTCGCTCCGCCTCCAGCCTCTTGCCCATCCCTGGCTCTTCCTCGTATCTCTTTTTGCCTCCTCCCATCTCTCCTCTGCCGGCTCTACCTCTGCCCATCCCGACCCCACAGCCTGGCCTTCAGACCGCTTCCGGTCCAAGCCCGGCTCCAGGCCTCTCCACGCCCCCGCTTCTGCACCGGCTTCCAGCTCTTTAAGGAGCGGCCGCGGCTCGCTTCCAGCCCCTCGCCTCTGCTGGGCGCCCCTCGCCTCTCCAGGAGCGCTCCGCCCTGCCCGTACTAGGCCCCGCCCACCCCGGCGGGTCTGCGGCTCACGCGGCTCCCGGGCTCCCTTCCCGCAGCGCTGATGCAGCAGGAGGCCGCGCAGCGCGAGAGCGAGGAGCTGCAGCACGTGCAGTGGCGGCCGCGTGCCGTGAGCGGCTGGGGCGTCCCGCAGCTACTGTGGTACCTGGTGTTCCTGCAGCCCATCATCACCGAGGTGCACCTGCGGCGCAGGAACGTGCAGTTCCTTTTCATCCGCTTTAGCGCCTGGCAGTACGCGGGCACCGACAAGCTGTGGGCCGGCCTGGTGACCACGTTGTGCGAGGGCATCCGCCGCCACTATGGCGCACTGCCCTTCAGCGTGTACTCGGTGCTGGGCAACAAGCCGGCCACCAGGCAGGACTGCTGCCAGAGCGAGTGGCATTGTCGGCGCCGCGTGTGCCTGGGGCTGCTGGCGCTGCTGGCGGCGCTGGGCCTGGGTGTGGGGCTGCTCTACTTGTCACTGGGCGGCCACGCGCTGGGCCACGGCAGCCCGAGCGGCAGCCTGCTCAAGGTGTTTGGCGGCGCGGCCACCACACTGTCGGGCTCGGGGCTGCTCATGGCCGTGTACTCGGTGGGCAAGCACCTGTTCGTAAGCCAGCGCAAGAAGATCGAGCGGCTGGTGTCGCGTGAAAAGTTCGGCAGCCAGCTGGGTTTCATGTGCGAGGTGAAGAAGGAGGTGGAGCTGCTCACCGACTTCCTGTGCTTCCTGGAGATCTACCAGCGGCGCAGGCTGCGCGTGGTGCTGGAGGTCACCGGGCTGGACACGTGCTACCCGGAGCGCGTGGTGGGCGTGCTCAACGCCATCAACACGCTGCTGTCCGACAGCCACGCGCCCTTCATCTTCATCCTGGTCGTGGACCCCAGCATCCTGGCCGCGTGCCTAGAGAGCGCGGGCAACATGAAGGGCACGGCCGATAACGGCTACCTCTTCCTCAACCGCACTGTCACGCTGCCCTTCTCTGTGCCCATTATGGGCCGCCGCACCAAGCTGCAGTTCCTGCACGATGCGGTGCAGAGCCGCGACGACCTGTTGTACCGCGAGATGACGCGCAAGCCGTGGCTGCCGGGGGACGCCGGGGGCGAGAGCGCGCAGCTGCTGGCGGTGCAGGCGCAGGCGGGGACGGAGCGCGGGCAGGGCCGCATCGACGACGAGGCGGCGCGGCGAATCCAGGAGGCGCTCTTCTGCCTTCACGACGAGCGCGACTGCCTCTACGAGTACGTGCCCGACAACGTGGTGTCCATGCGGCGCATCGTCAACACCGTGCCCATCACCGTGCGCCTGCTGCAGCAGCAGCAGCAGCAGGGGGACTTTGGGGGCCCCACGCCGCGCCAGGCGGTGGCGTGGGTGGTGCTCGCCAACCAGTGGCCGTGCCGCCTGAGCTGGGCGCTGCAGTGCCTGGAGGACCGGCAGCAGACCGGGGGCGCGCCCGAGGGCCGCGCGCGCCTCTGGGACGTTTTCCGCGACAACAGCCGCGAGCTGCACACCATGACCAAGGCGTTGCAGAACGTGCTCGACCTGGACGGCGACCCCGAGCTCTTCGAGCGCTTCCTGGGCGCCGACTTCCCCTTCACCGTGGCCGAGGCGCAGAGCCTGCTGCGCTGCACGGTCAACCTGGACCACTCCATCCGCCGGCGCATGGGTCTCATCCGAGCCGTCAGCGCGCTCAAGCCGCCCAGCCCGCCCAAGTCCCCTACCCGCGATACCCCCCACGCTGCCCACCGGGCCAACAGCGCCTCCAGGGCGCCCCCGTCGGGCCGTGCCTCAGGGCAAGCCGGCGAAGGCCACCACACTGGGGACTTGGCCCACAGGGGCAAGCTATGGCCGGTGGCCTGTGCGCTCTTCCGTCCAGGGCAATCCAGCCCAGGTGGGCCTTAAATGGAGGACTTGGCGGGCAGCAGGAGGCAAGGGTTCCTCCATCTGCCCAGATGGGAGAATAGGGGGCTGGACTGGGGCCGCAACCCAGGGTCCGAATGAGCCCTGTGAGGCCCACACCCCCAGGTGAACCTGAGCCAGAGCCGTGGACATAGCTTCCAAGGAGTGCGGCCACAAGCCGGTGCCAGCATGAGAGCAGGCACAGAAGGACCAGTGAGGAAGTCAGGGTATACATGCAATAAATGGAGGTGTTGAGAGCCCGGAGTTGCTCTCCGCATCCTGATCTGACCAGGGACCAGGCCTGCCCCGTCCTGCCACAGGGCCTGCCCCATCCTGCTAAGCCCACTTACTCCTCTGCACCATGCTGGCCTCCTCATCTGGCATCTCTGTGGCAGGAGAGGCTGCGGGGGTGGTGGGTGAGGCTGCAGAGATGACAGGTGGATGGGCCAGGTTGACTCAGGCAACATGGAGCGCCCAGGCCTCAGGGAATCCCAGTCCTTGTCCCCATGCCCTAGCTTGCCCCTCTGTGAGTAGGGCAGGGGCTGGCATTTCTGAGGATGACCTCGGTGACCTCAGCAAGCTGCTCCACCCCTAGGGTGGCTCCATTCTCAACGTAATGGGTTAGACCTCGCTGGCACCTCAGCCAGCTGGAGTGGGTGGCACTAACCTCCCCCAGACAAATAACTGTCCACAGGGTACCTGCCTTACGAGTCACTCCAGGGCCACTGGTTAGTCACTGACACTGAAGCCACTGCATCAGCCCCCTGATGAGGACAGGGAAGTTGGGCAGAGATGGGGACATACAGGGCCCAAGCCACAGCCAGCCAGGAGGGGTTACACTAGGGCTCCCCCACTTTCCCTCTGGGCAGAGCCCTGGGCTGGGGGTGGGTGTCACTCCTCTGGGCAGTTCCTGATTCCTCACTGGTCAAATGTTCAGCCACACGCTCAGGCCCTGGGGTGCCTGGCCCAGTTCCAAGTGTGTGCCGGCAGGGGCCACAAGGGCCAACACTGAACATACCCTGGGATGAGGCTGAGGGTGTGGCTTCTGAGCCAGGGCCCTGAGGCTGGTGGAGGGGACAGCCCCCGAGGAACCTGAGAGCTCTGCAAAGGCACACACCCTCAGGCCATGGGACTGGGTCACTGACCTCACAGTTCTTTAGTTCCAAGGCTGGGCATAGCATCCAGGTCTGGCTGCAGCACCGGAGTTCTCTGGCCACAGCAATTGTCACAGGTGCATGCAGGTCAGTGGGAGCCCTCTATGATCTTCCCTGGGGCTGGGCAAGCAGAGGTGCTGTTTCCCATTCCTGGACTGACTAAGCTGGTAGGATACGCCTGGACCTCCTGGGAGCTGTTTCCCAGCAGTCAGGGAGAGCTGGCCTCAGAGGGAGAAGGATGGGGCCTCGTGACACCGTTAAGTCTGTTTCTGTAGATGTGTGGTTGGGGTCAATATATCCCTGTAGCCTCCCTTAAGCCAGTTTCAGTTGGGTTTGTTTCTTACCACCTGGAATCCAAGCTGAAAATAAATTTTCACTCCTGTTACCAGGAGTGGGGTGCTGTGAGAGATGCTAACGTGTAGACTTGGCTGGAGGTGAGGGCAGGACTGAAGCCCCCCATGCCTCAGTAAGAAGCTGCATCAGCCTGGCCAACATGGTGAAGCCCTGTCTCTAATAAAAATACAAAAAGATTAGCTGGGCATGGTGGTGCATGCCTGTAATCCCAGCTACTCAGGAGGCTGAGGTGGGAGGATCACTTGAACCCGGGAGGTGGTGGCTGGAGCCAAGATGGTGCCACTGCACTCCAGCCTGGGCGACAGAGCAAGACTCCGACTGATTAAAAAAAAAAGCCGCAGCCTCTGTTACGTGGTACAAGCTGTGGCCAAACTGTTGGTCACTGTATCTTCACGTGGAGCTGCTATGAGAACTTGCACCTGTGTAAAGCCACGGGACCGTTGTCACGAACAAAAAAGGAGCACGGCTGACCTGTGCGCCTTTCCCAGCAATGAGTCAGGGAGCAGGTTTCCCTTCTCCACTCCCTTCCCCCATCTGCCCACTTGATCCGGGATCCTTGAGGCCCTGGGGAGCAACAGAGCCCTAAGAGCTTCAAAGGGGCCTGGGTCCAGGAATAACTTGGTGAAGAGCTGCCTGCCACTCTGAACATCCACATGTGACAATAAACATCTCCTGTGTTAGGACATTGAGATCTTGCATGAAACAGACCCCCTACGTCTTCAGCAAAGGCTACCAAAACGTGACAAGCTCGGGTGACACTTGGGTGGCTGAAGGGAAGGGGAAGACAAGATGGCAAGGGGGATCCTCTCAGCCTCCAGCCCTCGATCTGGGACCCTTCAGAAAATCAGGAGCGCGGCAGGCTGGGGTGTTGTGGTAACGGCTGTGGTTTCTAGAGCTGCTCTAACACAGTCTAACAGACCACGTGCCTTTGAAGGACAAATGTATCGTCTCTCGCTTCTGGAGGCTAAAAGTTCCAGATGAAGGAGGGGCTCTCTGTGCCTGCTCCCCACTCCTGGTGCATTGCTGGCCATCTCCGCACTCCCTGGCTTGCAAAGGCATCACCCCATCCTCTGTCTTCACGTGGCAGTCTCCCTGTGCCCAAATGCCCCTTTTAATAAGGACACCAATCAGACTGCAGCAGGGCCCACCCGAGTGACCTCATTAAAATGAGTTAAAACTTGATTACCTTTGTAAAAACCCTATTTCTAAGTGAGCTCACATTCTGGGGTACTGGAGGTAAGGACTTTAAAGATCTTTTTTTGGCCAGGCGCAGTGGCTTACGCCTGTAATCCCAGCACTTCGGGAGGCCGAGGTGGGCAGATCACGAGGTCAAGAGATTGAGACCATTCTGGCCAACATGTTGAAACCCCGTCTCTACTAAAAGTACAAAAATTAGCTGGGCGTGGTGGTGCACGCCTGTACTCCCAGCTACTCGGGAGGCTGAGGCAGCAGAATTGCTTGAACCTGGGAGGCGGAGGTTGCAGTGAGCCGAGATTGCGCCACTGCACTCCAGCCTGGCAACAGAGCGAGACTCCAGCTCAATAAATAAATGAATAAATAAATAAACAAACATCTTTTTTTGTGGGAGACACAATTCAACCCCCAACAGTAAGAAAGGCCCAGTTCCTCACTCCAAGCTCAATTTAGTGAAAGCAAATCAAGGGACAGGCTGGGAAGAGGATCCCTGTCCCTCCCCTAGCATACCTCACATGGGGTGGGGAGGCAGACGGCCAGCGGGCTGGGTGAGACCCCAACACAGCTGCCTCCACAGAGGCTGAGACCATGAGCAACGGCTAATATCGACCAAGGGCCTCTGAAGATCGTTGGGGCACTGTGCTGACCCAAACCAGGCGAAGGACAGAGGTCTCTCAGTACCTTGATGCAAACACCTCACATGCCCCGGCCCCTCACCAAGACGGGCTGGATCCACAGTGGCCAGGAGGGGGCCCCTTCTTCCCTTCACCCATGGCCACATCGCACATTAGCAGAGCTGGGGACAAGCTGGCTGTGCAGGGATGGGAAGAGTGCTGCGGGCTGCTGGCGGCTGTTCTGTGTAGCTTCCCTAAGTCCCTCGCCCAAATAAGAGTCCTAGCCGTGGCTGACCTGGGGAGCAGTTAGGACACTTACAGCTGCAAGGGACCAAACAGCAAACCAGCAGTGGCTTCCTAAGGTGTTCCTCCCAGAGGCCAGGGTGGCTGGGGGCAGGGGACTCCCTGGTGTGTGCAGGAGCTGAATGACACCAGGGCTCCAGCCTGCGACTGTGGTTCTCGTGATGTCACCACAACGCCTCCATCCATGTCAGCCTCCCACACGGGAAACAAGGGGATGGGTGGCCCAGAAATGCTCGTTTAGTAATTTTTTTTTTTTTTGAGACAGGATCTCACTCTGTTGCCCAGGCTGAAGTGCAGTGGTGCAATCACACCTCACTGCAGCCTCAACCTCCTGGGTTCAAGCGATCCTCCCAACTCAGCCTCCTCAGTAGCTGGGACTACAGGCACACGCCACCACACCCAGCTAATTTTTGTATTTTCTATGGAGATGGGGTTTCACCATGTTGCCCAGGCTGGTGTCAAATTCCTGGGTTCAAGCAATCCTCCCACCTCAGCCTCCCAAAGTGCTGGGATTACAGGTGTGGGCCACCATGCCCGGCCTGCTCCCCCCTTTCCTAAAGGGAAAAACAGACCTCTCAGAAATCCGCAACAGCACCCCCATGGCCCCCCAGGCCCCTGCTGGCAAAGGGGAACAAGCCGCCCACCAGGCTCCTGCAGTGCTGGCTGGGCCCGGGGCATACTCCCACCTGCACAACACCTGGGGCTGCCAGGGACAGGCTGGGATCTGTTCCTGTTGAGCGATGGGCGACTGGGCAGAGCCACTCCATATCCAGCATCCTGAGACCCTAGACCTGAAGCCAGGAGGTATCTGGGGCCTGTCTCTCCCTGCAGAAAGGATGGGTGTAAACTCGCCTGGCTGGGAGGTGACCGTACGAGACACCAGAGCATGGATGCAGAATAGACGGGACTGTGGGGGAAGACGCAGTAATGCCTGACCAGTGCCCTGGCAGATGCTCTGTAACCAGGAGCTGTGATGGCCTCCACCCAGCCCACCCCCAGCAACCACCTCCAGGATCCGCACGAAGCAGACGTTGGGCAAAGTGAACCCAGCCCCAGTTTATTAGAAAAGGTGTGAACAGAGTTGCACCGACAGGAGTAGCCCCAGCCCTCTGCCCACCCTCACCCACACCCATGCCACTCGCCCCCAAAGGGCTGTAGTGCCTCTCAGGGCGCAGCCTCCAGTGGCCTGGACAGCAGGGTCCCGGAGTGCCGGCTGCTCCCGCCCCAGCTCCCTGATAGATTTATTGCACTTGAGAAAAAGAAAGCTCTGATCCTCTGCTCCCATCCCCCCACCCTGCCCGGCCTGCGCTGTCTGGGGCTGTTCTGTGCATCTCAACCACCACCAGCACGCACCGCCTCTCCGGCACCAGGCTGCCTGCCCGGCCCTGTGCCCGGGGCCACAGGGGACCATCCCACCACCACCCAGGACGCCTGCCCTCCGCAGGGCAAGCCTGGCCCCTCCAGAACAGGCGCCTGATGTCCTTGGAGACCTCCTCCTCCTCCTGCTCCCCCTCCTCCCATTCACCCCCAGAGTCTTCCAGTGCTGGGCTCATAAATAGAAGTGCTTGAGTCACGCGCGGAGGGCCACTCCCTGTAGCTCCTGCACCCCTTGTAGTGTTGCTGTGGGGGGAGGGGGGCCCCAGAATGGCCCCCACCCCTGGCATCCTGGGCCTCAGGAAGGCTGGGGGGAAGGTGAGCAGATTCTCATGGCTCTGGCCTCAGCTCATCGCAGACCGACCGGAAAAAGGGAACTTGGGGAGGAGAGATTGGGGGAGAGACTGTCAGAGCCAGAGGCTCTCTCAGCTCCTCCCGAGTGCTGTGGGCCCCGGGCCTGGCCTCACCTAAAGTGTCACAGTGTCTCCTGCCCGGATTCCTGACTGGCTTCCAGAAGCAGCTCCTCGAGCTCCTTCTCGTTCTTGGAGCAGCTCAGTTCTGTGTGGGAGGACGGGCCAGCACCCCCGTCAGGCGGGTGGGGCAAATACAACCTGTCCCCAGCCCGGCCCCAGCCAGACCCTCAGGGCCTGCAGAGTGCCCAGAGACCGCTGAGATGGTCAGGCTCAAGGCAGCACACCTTACATGCCCCCCCACCCCAGGAAGAGCTCCCAGGACCCAAGGGAAGCAGGGTGGAGATGAGAACTAAGCCCCACTTTGCTGGCCCCTGCGAGAACCATTTTAAAGAGGGGGAAACTGAGGTCCACAACAGGCAGGGGCTTGCCTGGGGTCACATACAGCACCCAGGGCCCCTCAACACCTGCCCTAGGGCCCCTCTCACCGTGCTCCAGGCCGCAGCTGCCCCCCTTGACCTCAGGCCCCGGGGGCGGCTCAGGGGGCAGTGCCAGGGCGAACTCGGGCTTCAGGCCGTTGGGCAGTGGTGGCCCTGACCGAGGCGGCTCCGGTGGTGGCTGAGGCTCAGAGGACCCTGTGTCCCGGGTGTCAATGGCCCCGGCTGGTGGTAGGGAAGGTGAGGCGGGTGGGGAGGGAGGGGGTGGGGGAGAGGGAGGGGTGGGGGACGCAGGGGGCTCTGCCCTCTCGGGCGGGCTCTCCACCCGGGTCACCACAAACACCTTGTGGCCCCGGCCCGGGCTGGACACGGAAATCCGCTGCTCGGTGGGTGTGGAGGGGCTGCCTGGGGGACTCCTGTCCCCAGGGCCCAGGGAGTCCGTGGGGGGCACCAGGGCAGGACAGGGGGTCTCGTCCCTCTCCCCTTCCTCTTCCTCCTCTTCCTCCCCATCCGAGTCCGAGTCTGAGTCTGAGTCCGGGCTGGGTGCGGGGCTGGGGGCCCCGTTCTGCACCCCAGCGGCGGGCTCGTCGTCGGGCTGGGGCTCGGTGGCGGTGGTCTCAGGCATGGAGGCCGACAGCTGTGGCGGCTGCTCCTTCTCCTCCCTCTCCCGCGCCAGCACCAAGTTGCGCTTGCAGCCGTTCTGGATCTCGGCCAGCAGCGCCTTCTGCGTCTCGATGAAGCTCTTCACCTGTGGCGGGAGCGCCTGGCTAGGGCTCTCAGGCCGGCCCCACCACCCGGCCTTCCGCCCGCCCCAGGGCTGCAGGACCGTCCCCTGCTCACCGCCTCTTTCTTGGGTTCACGGTCGAGGTCCAGGCGCAGCAGTGAGTGGTTCACCTTGAGGGCCAACGACAGTGCCATGAGCCCGCCTGTCTTGATCTCGTTCTCCCGAAGGTCCAGTCTCAGGAGGCGGGGGCTCTCAGCGATGAACTCCGCCACCGCCACCGCGCCTGGGGGGGCACCGCAGGGGCTGGCCACGGGCCCCACACCCGGCTGGCCGCCCGGCTGAGCCCACCAGCCCGCACCCTGGCCCGGCCCCGTACCCTACCCTCGCACGTGAGCTTGGTGGAGGCCAGCCCGAGGCGCAGCACGCTGCGGTTGCTGATGAGCCCGTTCTTGAGGTGCCGCACACCCTCGTTCCCGATGGGGTTGTGGCCCAGGTTCAGCGTCTCCAGGCTCTGAGTGTGCGGCTGGAGGGAGGGGGTGTGAGGGTGAGGAGGAGGCCGTGATGGCGGAGGAGACCCAGGAGGCCAAGTCAGGAAAGAAGCCGGGAAGAGAGCCAGGCCCGGGCGCTCCTTTTCTTTCGCGCGCCTGCGTGAACACCGGCGCCGTCCTGCCCTGCCGCAGGCCTGGCCTGAAGTCCCTCCTGTGCCTGAAGTCTCCCCAAATGCCAGGTCCCCCGTCCACTCCCAGCTCCCCAGGCACCCAGTCAGTCCCTACCCCCCACAGCCTGGGCCCCTGGCCAGGGCCTGGACCTTGAGCGCCCTGAAGCCCCCAAGGAGGGCAACTCTTATCCCGGGGTTTGAGCACACGAGTGCTCGCCCTGAGAGTCTCTGTACCTGAGTGGCTTGCTTTAAGCACCACATAAAAACTGAAAACCAGGCACGGTGACTCACTCATAATCCCAATACTTTCGGAGGCCGAGGTGGGGGGGATCACTCGAGGTCAGGAGTTCAAGACCGGCCTGGCCAACATGGTGAAACCCCGTCTGTACTAAAAATACAAAAATTAGGCCGGGCGCGGTGGCTCACGCGTGTAATCCCAGCACTTTGGGAGGCCGAGGAGGGTGGATCACAAGGTCAGATTGCGACCATCCTGGCTAACATGGTGAAATCCCCTCTCTACTAAAAAAATACAAAAAAATTAGCTGGGTGTGGTGGTGGGTGCCTGTAGTTCCAACTACTCGGGAGGCTGAGGCAGGACAATGGTGTGAACCCAGGAGGTGGGGCTTGCAGTGAGCGGAGATCGAGCCACTGCACTCCAGCCTGGGCGATTGAGGCTCCGTCTCAAAAAAAATAAAAATAAAAAATAAAAAAATTGGCTAGGCGGGGTGGCGGGCACCTGTAGTCCCAGCTACTTGGGAGGCTGAGGCAGAAGAATGGCTTGAACCCAGGAGGCGGGGGCTGGAGTGGCTGCAGTGAGCCTAGATGGCGCCACTGCACTCCAGCCTGGGTGACAGGATGAGACTCGGTCTCAAAAAAAAAAAGGAGATAATGAAAGAAGGGCTCCTCCTCAGGGAAAACAGGCACAGAAGCTGAATGAGGAAGCAGGTGGGGCTGAGTTTAAATCGTCTTGAACCTGCAGGATGGGCAGGACAGGAGCCGTCAGCTAGAGGCAACTGTGCTGAGAGCTGGAGTGGGAGGTGGCAGCGGGGACCGAGGTGCCTCCCTTCCCTGCCAGCCTGACTCACCAGTGTCATGCCCAGGAAGGCCATGCCTGTGTGCGTGAGCTGGTTGTTCCACAGCACCAGGGTCACCAGCCCCTTCCTCTGCTCCTTGAGGCCCTCGCAGATGTAGGCCAGACCTGGAGGAGGCCGGCAGTCAGAGCCCTGTCTGGGGTCCGGGTGCTTCCTGGGGAGGGGACTGCAGGGTAGGAGCAACCCCCTCTGCTTAGGACCTCCATGGAGGCCCCGCAGTCCCAGGCCTTGCCCTGCAGCCCTGCCTCGGCCTGGCACCCCTGGGCACACATCTGTGACCCCTGGGCCTGGGTGCCTGGATGACAGCCTCCACCAGATGCTTCTGATCTTTGCTCAAATGTGACCACCTCTGGCCCACCTCACCTCACAGCCAGCTCACTCCCACCCACAGTCACCACTGTCTCCCTCCAATGCAGATCCCACCATCTGACAGGCTGGAGATTTCACTCATCTTATCGTTGTCTCTCTAGACTGGAGTACAAACTCCCAAGGGCAGAGCCCTGTGTCTCCCTCCGAGCTGAGCCCAGGGGCCGACAGCCATGGCCCTTGGCAGGTGCTCAGTAGAGTGGGGTCTGGGCCTGCCACCTGGGGACACAGTGACCCACCCCACCCCTCCAGGATGCAACAGGAACGCCTCCTTTGACGGCTCCCCATTCTCTGCTCAACCCCCAGCATCAAACACCAGAGCTCCTCCCACTGCACTCACTGCTCCCGCGGTCTGGACCCTTTCCCAGGCTTCTCACAAGGCTGGTTCTGCTCCCAGCCTCCGGATGGAAGCCCAGAGGCCCCGCCCCACGGTGGTCTTCCCTCCTCTCCCATCTGAAAGCAGCCTCTAGCTGACCCTGTTATGGCAGCAACACTGCTTTCTTTTCAGATTGTAATTATTCACTTCGCCTCATCCTGCGGCTGTCAGCTGAGCTGTCTCCTCCTCCTGGAAGCCCTCCCTGGCCCCCAGACTGATCGGACCCCGCCTCTGGGCTCCACCAGCCCAGTCCTGCCCACTCTAGGTTGTCACTGTCTAGGGCGGGTCTGTCTTCCTCCTGGGAGCCCCAGCAGGACAGCGTTGGGGTGGTCTTGGCCATGTCTGTGTCCCCAGCACCACCTAGCGCAGGGCCGGGCAGAGTGGGTGCTGGGTGACGGGTGTGGGTGGGGTGGGCCACTGCACCCACCCGAGTCTAGCACGTGGTTGTTCCGGAGGTCCAGGATCTGCAGGGAGCAGTTGAACTTGAGCAGGTTACCCAGCTGGGCCGAGTCCTGCAGGCCGTTGAGCTTGTTGTCCGCCAGGTACAGCTCCCGCAGGTTCATGTTCATCTTCAGGGCCGTGGCTGGGGACGGGGAGGGGGCACGGTGACTGGGCAGGCCCCTGCCCCCCAACAGGCTGCACATCCTGCTCACCCTCCCGGGCTTGGGGCTCACCGAGCAGCATGAGGGGCCGCCCCGACAGGCTGGCGTTCTCCAAGTGCAGCACTGCCAGGCTGCTGCGGATGCGCAGGGCACGGGCCACGAAGGGCGCCGAGTGGTCCAGCAGGGGCGTGTTGCGGGCGTCCAGATACTGCAGGCAGCTCGTCTGCAGGGGCAAGAGGACAGGGGTGAGGCACTGGCTCAGGCCTGCCCCAGCACTCCCTGGCCCCAGGACCGCCCCAGCACTCCCTGGCCCCAGGACCTGTGCCCCCATGTCTCAATGAGCAACGAAGCCACAGCTGTCGTCTGGCTATGTCGCCTTGTTTTACAATGGGGGTAACTGTGGCTGGGGAGGGAAGGCTCAGCCTGGGGTCCTGTGGGTGAGCGAGGCAGGGCTGGTGGCAGCCAGGATCTCCAACTCCTGTGTGGCTGGGAGGTTACCAGATAGCCCCGTCCCGTCCCTCCACCCAGCCTTCACACAGGAGTGACGTGGGGATGGCGACCATGGCCACCTCCAAGGGGATGACATTACAGAAGGATGACATTACGGAAGGGAGAAGTTGGAGGTCATGAAATGCCTCGCAAGGAGAGAAGGGGCCAGGGGGCCTGGGGGCCAGGACACCTCTCGGCCCTGTTCTCCTGGCCTGAGGGCCAGGCCCAGCATCCCCACAACAGCCCACACTCAAGAGCTCATGCAGTCAGAGCCTACGGGCCATGCCCTGAGAAAGTGCCTCCCCGTGCTGGGAGCCTGAGCTGCCTCTTCCTGGAAGCCGAGAGGCGCCCACCTTGCGCATCATGTGGGCGGCCGCCTGCCAGCCCCGGGTGCCGATGTGCTTGTTGAAGGAGATGTTGAGGTGGGTGGCCGACTCGTAGTACTCGATCATGTCGAAGAGGGCCGAGGCACCCTGCGCATAGAGATTCGGGGGCTCAGCCTCAGCTCTGGGCTGCCCTGGAGGAGAGGCGTGGGCCCTGACACCGGGCCCCACCGAGAGACGATGGGTCCAGGGTCTGGAGAGAGCCACACGGGAGAGGAGGACAAGCACAGACAGGGCCCCGTGAGCCACGGGGACAAACCCTTTCCTTCTCTGCTGTAGTCAGTTTTGTTTTCTGTCACTTGCCCTCCAAAGTCCTTGACTGACGTGCTGAGTGACCAGGACAGGCCTTGGTGTTCCTGAGCCTGGGCCTCAGTTCTCCAGGTCCCCTGCCCCTGGATCCCGACACCTGGGGTGCCTGGGGACTCCCAAGGCTGAGGAGGTGAGGGCCCTTGGGCCTTGATGGGAGGCTGCTCTCAGAATGCTTCCCAAGCCCACCCTGTAGGAGCTGGACCCTCCAGCGTGGTTCCTGAAAGGGCTCCTGGGGGCCACACGCCTGCCCCTCAGCCCAGCTCCCTAAGGCTCTCCTTGCTTATGAGGGTGGGCCATAGGTGCCCCAACGCGCCCTCCACATCCACTCTGGTCATATTGGATGTCTCCCTCTTGCCCTGCAAGAGGCCCCGCCCTTGCGCCACCCCTCAGCCTTTGTCTAGGGGACCCCCTCCTCCTGCAGTGTCCTCTCCCCACCCAAACCTCGAAGGGGCCCGGGAGCTCAGGGAGCCAAGTGGGCGGTGGCAGGGCCGCTCACATCTTCATCCAGGTTTGTCTGCTCCAGGTCCACGACCTTGAACTGCAGCCTCTTGAAGACCTCTTCCAGGGCCTCACAGGTCTTGTAGTCAAGCTTCTCACCTGGGGGGAGACAGCAGCCGTGCGCATGTCTAAGACAGTGCACCTTTGCATGGCTGGAAGGGCCCTCTGCCCCCAACCTCCCACCCCCCACCAGGCCCAGCCCCTGCCCTGGCTGAGCTCAGCTCCAGAAGCCGCTAACCCCAGGCAGGTCCTCAGACCCAGCTCTAGGGAGCCCCCGACCTGCCCATGACCCAAGGGCTCTCAACCCCTAGCCAGACACACACCTTTCAGGTCCAGACAGTCGAGGCGGTGCCCGAGGTCTGTGAATTCCTGAGAAAGTAGAGTGGGGTTAAGGCAGGAAGACACTTGAACAGGGGGGCAGCCGAGGCCCCAAATGGCTGCTATGCCTGAGGTCAGGCAGGGTTCTGGGGTGGGGTTTGGGCGAAGGCACTGAACAGAGGCTCAGAGGCCACCCACCAGCTGGAACCTGGGGTACAGGGCCTTAGACAGCGAGAGAACTCTGCACCCACACAACTGAGGACCAGCCAGCACTGCAGCCAGGCAGGCCTGGGCGAAGCCCTCTGCCCCAGCGGGACCGAGTGAGGGAGTGGGCCCAGCATCTCTGGGTATGTCCCAGCAGAGGAGGGAGTCTGTGCAAAGGCTGTGAGGCAGGAAATGAGCCTGGGAAGATGGCAAGGCTGGGCACAGGAGGCTTCTTGGTGAAGGCAGGGCCTGGGGCCCAGCACCCAGTCAGAACCCACCGTCCCGCAGATGCCAGCACCCGCGCTCTGAGCTTACACACATCACCTGCAGGGTGGGTGCTGCAGGGCTGGTCTGAACCAGGCCGATGGGGTCCAAGGACCCACCCTCTCAGCTGCCACACTGAGCAGCCACCCTTCCTGGGACCTGACAAGCCCCTCTTCTGGAATGTTCCAGAGAACCTACCCTAACTCCAGTGAACACTGATGGACAAGGAGCGTGGTTGCTTCCAGCACAGCTGAGGGTACAACAGCCCGAGGACAGGCAACCCTGGAACCCTCGGAACGAGCGGTGCTTCACTGACTAGGCGCCAGGCCGGGGCCCACAGGAGAGGTGCCGAGGGAGGGGGCTGGGGGACCGGCAGGGTGGGAGAGCGACCAAATGGAAAACCAGCAGGTACCCCTCAATAGCCACCTTGCCAACGCACAGAAAAGGCCAGGAAATGCCGAGTGGCCAACAACGGGGGTTCCCGAGGAGGGGGCCTTGGGGCAAGAGATAAGAGGTGGATTTGGCTTTTCAGATCTGTAGTATTTTTATTTTTTTAAATCTGAGGATATGTGTTATTTCTGTAATTCTGACTTTTATGAATATGCTGGGCATGGTGGCTCATGCCTGTAATCTCAGCATTTTAGGAGGCTGAGGTGGGCAGATCACCTGAGGTCAGGAGTTTGAGACCAGTCTGGCCAACATGGCGAAACCCCGTCTCTACTAAAAATACAAAAAAAATTAGCTGGGCATGGTGGCGTGCACATGTAATCCCAGCTACTTGGGAGGCTGAGGCAGGAGAATCGCTTGAACCCAGGAGGCAGAGGTTGCAGTGAGCCGAAATGGCGCCACTGTACTCCAGCCTGGGAGACAAAAGCGAGACTCCATCTCAAAAAAAAAAAAAAAAAAAAAAAAAGAATACATAAATTTTGTAATTCAGACTCACAAGAATCGTAGATATGCCTCTTCCCCAGGGAACAGCGTTTCTTTTGGGGCTGACAGATACCTGAATGTCTTACTTTATAGAATTCTGTGCTCTTCAAATTTATGAAGAAACTGATTCATTCTCTAGCTGAGCAGCAGGCTTTCAAAGATGTATTCATGAACACCTGGGGCTGGGGAGTGGGAGGCCCTCTCCTGCTGGGCTGGTTCCACCCTAGGGCCCCCCTTGACACCCACACCGGACGCACCCACCCTGTCCCGCCCATACCTGCAGCTGCCTGAGGAGCTTGGGGATCTGCCTGCAGTTCAGCTTCTGGCAGGCCTGCTTGTAGGCGCCGATGACCTCGTCCACGGTCACATTCTGGGCTGCAGGCACAGGGGACCCAGGCCTGTGACTGTCCACACCCCGAGTCCTTCATGGGGCTCCACCCACTCCCGCCCTAAGGCCTCTGCCCATACTGCCCTCTTCAGCCCTCCCCCAACAACAGGCTGCCTGAGCTCTGTCCTCCCTTTCAGGCCCCCCGCTGGCCACTGCCCGAGGTAAAGTGCCCTTGGGCACCCCCACCCCAAGTCACCACTGCCCTCCACGCCTCACCTCCGCTCCAAGCACCTTCACACAAATACACAATGAACAGCACACAATCTTTCTACACATCAGCCACCTCCCCTACTAGCCCGGGAGCCCAGGAGGACAGGACTGGGGCTGTCTTGGTCACCACCATGTCTCCAACACTGTCTCGGTGTTTTGTTTGTTTTTGAGACAGGGTCTCACTCTGTTGCTCAGGCTGAAGTAAAGTGGTGAGAACATGGCTCACTGCAGCCTTGACCTCCCAGGCTCAAGCATCCTCCCGAGCAGCAGAGACCAAACGCTTGCACTGTCACGCCCAGATCATTTTTATTTCTGGTGGAGATGGGGTGTCACTATGTTGCCCAGGCTGGTCTCGAACTCCTGGGCTTCAGCAATCCTTCTGCCTCAGCCTCCCAAAGTGCTGGGATTACAGGTATGAGCCACTGTACTTGGTCCTTGGTTTGTTTTTTTTTTTTTTGTATTTTTGTATTTTTGGGTGAAAGAATGAATCCTCACTTCAACCCTATGAGGAAACCAAGCTCAGAGAAACAACCTTGCCCAAGATCACACACCTGGTATATATGCGAGCCGGGCTTTGAACTCAGCTCTCAACTACAATGCCACGTGCCTCTCAGGATCCCCACTCCCAAAACACTCTCAACAGCTAAACATCGCCGTACGCTATTCAGGGCCCGGCCCCTTGACGCAGGACACAGAAGCAGTTGGAAGAGACAGGCCTGGTCCCGGGTGTTCCCAGGCTAACAGGCAGTGGCTCCCAGCATGAATGAAGGGACGTAGCCCAAACCCAACAGCTGCAGCCCCGGTCCCTGGAGGGCCACAGCCGCCACCATGCGGAAGGGAGGGCTGGGCTTTCTATCTACACAGATTTGCCTTTTCTGGACATTTCATTAAAATGGAATTGAAACTGTGTGGCCTTCTGCGGTTGGCTTCTCTTACTGAGCATAATGAGCGTGAGTTTCAGTCCCTTTATACTGCTGAAGAGTAATTATAGGATGTGCTGCGTTGTGTTTGCCCATTCACCAGCTGACAGGAATTTGTACTGTTTCCAGTTTTTGGCTATTAGAGCTTGGATTTTACCTCAGGGTGACCAGCGGAGCAGGAAGGAAAGGCTAGGAGCAGAAGAGGGAGAGGTCAGGACTGGCCGTTAGAAAGATCTTCGGGCCAGCAGATATTGGGCATGGAGATGCCACAATGGGCAGGGAAGGGGGCCAGGAAGAGGGCTTGCTGGCAGCTTCTTGGGGGGGGGGCCCCTCGCCCTGCTGCCAATCCGCTGCTGCTGGACGCAGTGGGAGTCCCTGAGAGAGCTCCCAGTCCAGTAATATCTCCGTGTGGACTCCTCCTCCTGCCACCCTGCTAGGCCAGGGGCTCTGGACCCCTGGTCTCATCAAGCACTGCCCCATTTTCTAGGGGAAGAAGCTGAGGTCTGGGTAAAGTATGGTGTCTCCCTGGGACCAGGTGGCTGGTCCAGAGCAGAGTCTAACATCAGACCCTGGGACTCCGCTCTGGCCACTGTGCTGGGTGGCGGTGGGTTGCTGAACTGCGGTGCTGGAGGAAAGAAGCCGACAGAGGCCAGCCGCCAGCCTCCCCAGAGGTCAGGCCTGGTCCCTGCCTGAGCACTTCCTCCTCCTTGGGGGTGGAGGCCTGGGAGGAGCTGCAGGGGATCAGCTGATGGCAGGTGCCCCTCTTGCAGACAGAAAGGGAGCTGTCTGACAAAGGCCCATGTGCTTGGTGACCCTGGAGCTCTAGTGGGGACCGGAGCTTGCCCTGCCTGGGAAGGCAGCCCCCAGGACTGCAGCAGCTACCCCAAGCCATGGACAAGCCCATGCATGCCCTGGTCTTAACCATTTGACCCCCAAAGGGCCCACGAACTTGAGGGGAGACACTTATCTCTTTATTTTCATGAATGGAACTGAAATTTAGCATTTCCTTCTTATTAACAGAGGCCAAAAGAGAGAGAGAAAAGAAACAGTGTTTAGCAGACCTTGAGACTGACATGAAAAGAAACGACAGATATTTTCCCATTGCATCAAGTTACTGCAGATTCTGAATGCCCATCACTACTCTGAGACTGAAGGCCTTATTACAGCTGCTGCTACATCCTATCGCTTCACATGTCAATTCAGTGAGGAAGAGCATTTAGCTAATGATATTCCAACTGGCATCCTTTGCAATCCTATTTAATGTTTCGCCTTAAAAATCATCATTCCAGGCCAGGCATGGTGGCTCATGCCTGTAATCCCAGCACTTTGGAAGGCTGAGGTGGACGGATCACTTGAGGTCAGGATTTCAAGACCAGCCGGGGCAACACGGCGAAACTCAGCCTCTACTAAAAATACAAAAATTAGCTGGGTGTGGTGGCACGCTCCTGTAGTCTCAGTTACTCGGGAGGCTGAGGCAGGAGAATCACTTGAACCTGGGAGGCAGAGGTTACAGTGAGCCAAAATCGCGCCATTGCACTCCAGCCTGGGTGACAAGAGCCAAACTCCATTTCCAAAAAAAAAAAAAAAAAAAGGAAATGCAAAATTGGAGGAACTATCAGAAGCATAAGAAGAATTCACAAGACACACAGAGCAGCGCTGCCCACGGACTTCGTGCCAGGCGCTTCATCCAGGAGCGAACGCATCGACTCTGTGAAGCAGGGAGCCAGGCCAGGCCCACCCTAAGCTGTCCTCTGTGGCGGCTGAAGCCAGGGTTCAAGTCCTAGCCCCTGGCTCAGGAGCTCTGGAGCCACTCTCAACTCTCCACATTTCAGCTTCCTCAAGCTTTAAACGGGGAAGAGAAGCGTAGCTGTTTTACAGGGTGGGTGAACTAACGGAACTAAATCGTTTGTGGAGAAAGTCCGGCCCGGGCCTAGCACTGCAAACGCTTAGCAGCAGCTCATGTCACACCATTGCCAGGGTCCAGGATCAAGCTGGGGGTGGGCACCGCTGGGGCGAGGAGGCTGGCCCAGAGCTGGCTGTGGCATCAGGGTGGATACCACCATAACCCCTGACACAATGGCAGCCGGTCTCATGCATTGGGATGGCACCTCTTCTTTTTTTTTGAGACAGAGTTTCACTCTGTCGCCCAGGCTGGAGTTCAGTGGCATGATCTCAGCCCACTGCAACCTCTACCTCCCTGGTTCAAGCGATTCTCCTGCCTCAGCCTCCCGAGTTGCTGGAATTACAGGCACACGCCACCACACCTGGCTAATTTTTGCATTTTTAGTAGAGATGGGGTTTCACCACGTTGGTCAGGCTGGTCTCGAACTCCTGACCGCATGATCTGCCCACCTCGGCCTCCCAAAGTGCTGGGATTACAGGCGTGAGCCACCGTGCCCAGCCAAGATGGTGCCTCTTCTTTGTTCCAAGAGCCTCTGAGTGAGCTTGAGGCCCAGTTTCTAGGCTGGCAACCTTCACTCCCCACACAGCAATCAGACCACACCTTCAGCTGGGCACCTACAGGGTCTGGAACCAGGTCCGGCCTTGCAGGAGTCACCACCAGAGTCAGAGACCGAGGAGGTCACATCCGCCCAAGTGCTTACAGAAGCGCCGTAGAAATGCACTTCTACTAAAAATACAAAAATTAGCCGGGCGTGGTGGTGGGTTCCTGTAGTTCCACGTACTCAGGAGGCTGAGGCACTCTCAAGTAGTTGAGCCTGGGAAGTGAAGGATGCAGTGAGCCGAGATCGTGCCACTGTACTCCAGCCTGGGAGACAGAGTGACTCTGTCTCAAGAAAAAAAAAAAAAAGGAATGAGCACACCAAAACTAAGATTTTACAAATACTATTGCTTAGAAATGAGGCCAAATGTATTCAAATAAAAAAGAAACCAATCTATTAATAAGAAAAAAGAAAGAGCAGCATGGGCAGATCAGAGAGGAAGTTCGCGCTGACAGCACTCACACCCGCCAGGCCCATCCCCAGCACTTCCAATGCAAATAAACACAGCTTCAATTCCCTGATCACTTCCATCACGGGAGTATTAGTATCCTCCCACTTTAGAGAGGAGACTGGGCACATGGCTCACGCCTGCAATCCCAGCACTATGTGAGGCCAAGACAGGAGGATTGCTTTAGGCCAAGAGTTTGAGACCAGCCTTGCCAACAAAGCCAGTCTCTACAAAAAAAATTTCAGAAAAAAAAAAGAGAGGAGAAAACTGCGGCATGGGGCAGAGGTGCGATAACTTGTCCAAAGTTGCAGGGAGAGCAGCTGGCTGGCCCAGGATGGGCCCCTACACACACCTGTCCATTTAAAATGGTGTGAGGAGGTGGCTAAGAAGAAAATGGCAGCGTGAAACAGTTCATGAGCAGGCGTGGGTCAAAATAACTGACTCTGGCGTACTGAGCACTAACCACATGAGAGATGCTACCCGAGGCATTTCACACCCAGTTCCTCAGTATCTGCACTCAATGCGGACTCACGAGGGGAGGTGATGGGTCCACCACGTCTGACCACAGGGCCAGCTTGGACCCATCTGACTCTGCCATGTCACAGCCCACATGACCCCATGATGGACATGGAAAAGGTCATGTGATGCCCAGTGTCTCCTTTAAGGCAGCAGGAAGCAGGTGATCTTTGTCAGTCACGGCTTCCAGGCAGAGTGACTGAAGTCTCATAAAGGGGTGGGTCCCCAGGATCCAGGGGAGCATAGCCACAGGACCCCTATTCCACAGGCAAGGCCAAACAGCCATGGCAGGACTGTAGTTCATTCAAAGGCTTTGGTGTAGGGCCTGGGCTGGAGCTCAGAGCCAGGTTCCAAAGGGAAGGGCTGCGCAGTGGTTAGGGCACAGCTGTGGCCCTGAGGGATGGGGCTGGGATCTTTGCTGTCTCTCTCACACACTCAGTGACCTTAGGTGGGCTTCACAGCATCTCACAGGTCCCACCTGAGATATAGAGTCTTGCAATATGGTTAAGAACGTGAATTCTGGGCCGGGCGCGGTGGCTCACGCCTGTAATCCCAGCACTTTGGGAGGCTGAGGAGGGCAGATCATCTGAGGCCAGGAGTTCGAGACAAGCCTGGCCAACATGGTGAAACCCCGTCTCTACTAAAAATACAAAAATTAGCTGGGTGTTGTGGCGCATGCCTGTAACCCCAGCTACTCAGGAGGCTGAGGCAGGAGAATCACTTGAACCCGGGAGGTGGAGGTGGAGGTTGTGGTGAGCTGAGATCGCACCACTGCACTCCAGCCTGGGCAACAAGAGTGAAACTCCTTCTCACGGACACACAAAAAGAACATGAGTTCTGGGGCGAGACTGCCTGGAGTCAAATCCTAGCGCCCAACTCAAACTCTTGAGCAAAGCAATGTGACCCGTGCCTCAACTGTTTTATCCCTAAAATGGGGATGAGTGTAACTAACTCCCAGGGTCGTGTGGCGAGTGAGTGAGTTAGTAGGGTCCCTCCCTGGAACCAGTGCTTAGCACACACATATACATGCTCACTTGGTCCAGGGGTAGTGGCTCATGCCTGCAATCCCAGCACTTTGGGAAGCCAAGGCAGGAAGTTCCTTTGAGCCCAGGAATTCGAGACCAGCCTGGGCAACATAGGGAGACCTTGTCTCTACAAAAAACTAAAAAATCAGTTGGGCATGGTGGTGCGTGCCTGTAGTCCCAGCTACTTGGGAGGCTGAGGCAAGAGAATCACTTGAGGCCAGGAGTTCGAGACCAGCCTAGGCAACATGGTGATACCATCTCTGCCAAAAATTTAAAAATTAGCCAGGCGTGGTAGTGTGTGCCTGTAATCCCAGCTACTCGGGAGGCTGAGGCGAGAGGATCACTTGAAACCAGGAGTTCAAGACCAGCCGAGCAACAAAGTGAGACCCTGTCTCTACAAAACAAACAAAAAATACAAAAATTAGCACATGCCTGTGGTCGCAGTGACTTGGGAGGCTGAGATGGGAGGATAGCTTGAGCCTGGGAGTTTGAGGCTGCAGTGAGCTGTGATTGTGTCGCTGTACTCCAGCCTGGGCAATAGAGTGAGACTCTCTTAAAAAAAAAAGAAAAGAAAAAATACGTAACTGCTCCTTAGCTTTTACATTCCTCTTGTTTTTCCAGCATGCAGTAAATCCACCATGTGCACACAAGTATGTGGGGGTGGGCACGTGTGTGAGTGTGGGTCTCAAGGTCAGGGCTCAGATGCATTTGCTCAAGTCCAAGGCTCTGAAGGCCCATTAAGCAGGGACCAGAATTCAAGTGGCTGTCAGAGAGGAGGACAGGTGTGTTCAAAACACATGTGTTTGGGTGTGTGAGTATTTTCTACAAAGCAGGCATGTGTTGGGGATGGATCTGCAGAGGTAACGGCTTGGAATAAGAAGACCTGAGTTCCATCCCTGGCCTGCCGAGGCTGTGTTAAATGACCACAGCAACCTCTTTCCCTCCCTGAAAGGGACACCTGTGGGGTCGCAGGCAACAAGGGACGTGAGAGCACCCATGAAGTAGCTGGCACCAGTGTCACAGTGTGGCTTAGTCAGCAGGAGACACAAATGGAGAAAAACGTGATGATGGTGGTGGTGATGGTGGCAGCCACTTCCCGGTATCAGAAACTTACTCTGTGTAATGCATAGTGCTAATAAGCACTTTCTAAAAAACAAAGGGGTCAAGGTCTTGCTATATTGCCCAGGCTGGTCTTGAACTCCCAGGCTCCAGCAATCCTCCTGCCTCAGCCTCCCAAAGTGCTGGAATTACAGGCGTGAGCCGCCTCACCCAGCTCCTAAGTACTTTCCATGCACAATTTCACTTGGCCAGCTCAGCACCCCTATGATGCTGGCATAACTAGACCTCCATCTTATCAGGGAAGCAATCTGGGAGAAGAAAAGACACCTGCCCAAGGGATGGAGCCTGGAAGTGGCAGGACTGGAACACACCCCAGGACTGTCTTGACCTGAAACCACAGCACAGCTCAACTCTCGGCTCCCTTGTCTGGCCTGAGGAGGGGAAGGGCTGGGGCGGAGGCAGGGTGTGGGGAGCCCTGGGTGGGATGGTGAAAGGCATGAGCTCCAGGGAGAGATGCTGCTGTGCAGCAGCTGGCGGGCAGGGCCTTGCTGCTGCAGGGATGGGGCTCTGCCGCTCGCCCAGCAGGTGGCAGCCAGCTCCCCAGGGAGAGGATGAAGGGCAAACAGAGCTTGCCTCCCACTCCCGCCGGCTGTGGCCCTCACAAAGGGACAGAGAGAAACCTGACGCCGGGCATCAGGTGACAGGCAGAGAGATGTCTGTCTGGCATTTGCACACAGGTGCAATGGTACCCAAGAGATGCAAGGACAGGTTGGGCATCAGGGGGCGGTGATGACTCACACCATCCGTGCCAGCCTGGAGCAGGGCGGGGGAAACAGACACAGTCATCCAAGTGGGAGTCAAAACACCAGGAAGCAACACTGTGCGGGCTGGGGGACACAGTGGGAGGGTGTCAACTCTCAGAGGAGGGATGGGGAGGGAGGAAGTCCAGACAAGCCTGGAGCAGGAATATTTAGGGCTGCTCCGTAACAACCATGCTACCTCTGGCTGGAAATGACCTTCCCATGCCCCAGTGTCCACCACATGAAATCGGGACGTCTGCGAGCCAGGTTCACAGAGCACCAGAGTCAGGAGGTCCTAGCTAGGGCCCAGGGGCCCAGATTTTAACAGGTCCCCATATGACTGTGATGGCAACCAGGCTCAGAATAACCACGCTTTGCAATGCAGGTGTTATTTTGTTATTTTGGAATGAACAGAAAGGAGCCAGGGTGAGCTGGCCTTGAAAGGAGTGTTCCCAGAGGCCCCACCGGGCTCAGGTCTGGGTCTTCATTCAGGAGGCCCACTGCGCAGTCCCTGTGCAAACCCCGTGGCAGGCAGCAACCACTGGGGCAGGCTTAAGTGTGACGGTGGGAGCAGGCTCGGCGCCAAAGCACACCGGGAGGGGAGCACTGGGGATGATGTGGGACGGTGACCCCGTGGACCCTGGTGAGGACTTCGCTCTCATTCTGCAGGAGACCGGAGCCACTGGGGGCGAGGGGCAGAGCAGCAACAGGATGGATTCAGGCTCATGGGAGGATTGTATTCTGCAGGAGTGGGGTCCCCTGTAGTACTCACGGGGAGGGGACCTGATCGTGCAGGTTGGCAGTCAGGAATGGCACACCAGATTGCCATCTTGGATGGTGACAGCCTCACCTGTCCCTGGGTTTTGGCAGCTGAGCCCCCGCTAGTGCTCCAGCTCCAAGAGGGGTTGTGGGACACAGGCGAGTCAATGCCTGCAGCCCAGGCATCCCCCTGCTTGGCACCCTGCTGGTTAGGTCCTGTGCTGCCTGGACCCCACAGAAGCCCCCCAGCCACCCCAAGAGACATCCTTTTACTATCCCCTTTTCAGAGTCAAGGCTCACAGAGGCAAGAGTACAGACTAAAAGGCCCAGGTCTGCCTCGACTATTATTGTTTTTTTCCATATTAAACTTGTAGTTTTATTCAGGTTTGATTTTAACAAATGTGTTGGGGAGAGAGACCGCAGGGAAGGGTAAAGCCCATGGGGGCAGGACCCCTCCCCGCTCCTCCTTTTCCCTCCCCATCTAAAGGGGTTTGGGGAGAGGCACAGGTACGGCAGGGGGCTGGCCTTAGTCTGTGGGGGTCGTGCTTAGGGTATAGGACCATGGGGAACAGGGGACCAGACCAGGGGTGAGTGGGGAGGGCACAAGGACCATGTGCCAGAATCCACCGCTTTCTGATTCCAGATTGAATTAAAATAAATAAATAAGGCCGGGCTCAGTGGCTCACACCTGTAATCCCAGCACTTTGGGAGGCCGAGACGGGCAGATCACGAGGTCAGGAGTTCAAGACCAGCCTGGCCAACATAGTGAAACCCTGTCTCTACTAAAAATACAAAAATTAGCCTGGCATGGTGGCACGTGCCTGTAATCCCAGCTACTCGGGAGGCTGAGGCAGGAGAACTGCTTAACCCAAGAGGTGGAGGTTGCAGTAAGCCGAGATGGTGCCCCGTGCACTCCAGCTTGGGCAACAGAGTGAGACTCTGTCTCAAATAAATAAACCACAAGCATCGCCCACCGTCTCCCCCCAACCAGGGCTGTAGTGCGAGCAGGGAAAAGGATGGCAGCTTCACCAAGGCCATGGCTTTGCTTGTTCCTGGCCAAGGGAGCTAGGTGAAGGGCAGGGGCTCCCCGACAGATTGAAGGGGTGGGAAAAACAAAATAAAACATCAAATACATTGTGTAGGAAGAGTCCAGCCTACAGAAGGCCAGAGGAGGGGGCCTCTGCAGTCTCAGAAGATCACTGCTGCCACCACTGTCACCCTGGGAGCCAGTTCTTTTGCCATGGCCTTGACTGCAACAGCTGCCTCCTCTGTCATGGCAGACAGCACGGTGATCAGGGTCCCTTCTCCACAGCGGTACTTTTGCTCATCTCCTTGCCAAGGTCTCCTCTGGCAGACGAAGAAGGTCCTCTCGCACCTCCCTGCTGTCCTGGAGCAGTGAGGGGTACCTTCCTGGATGCCAATCAACTGGGAGTCATTCCTTTTGATGCTGGGGACACCCACATTATAAGGTGACAGGCAGTTATTTTTATATTTCTTCCCAGTAAAGATGTCAATACCAACCAGGTGGACCTTGACGCGGCTGTGCTTGCCAGTCTTCCAAGCAGACATCTCAAAGACCTTACAGGGCCAGCCTTTGAGCACCACGAAGCCAGTGTTACATAATGCTGAGCACTGCATTGGGAAGGAGGCCGAGGCCCCTGCATCTCTTGTCTCGAAGTCCAAATCATCTGCCATTTTAAGAGGCTTCGATTCCAGCTCTCGCAAACACACTGACTCAACCTTGTCTTCTCGCTGCAAACCCAACCGCTGCCTCTGGGCCTGCTGCTGCCGCTGCCTCTACCACCCTGCCTTGACTTTAAACACACACAGCTGCAGGCATCACAATATTTTGCTTAAATGATCAGACTAGGCTCTGCAGCAACTACTCAACTCTGCCTTGTAGCATGAAAAGAGTAATAGATAGTATATAAACAAATGAGCCTGGACATGTGCAAATAAAACTTTATTTACAAACTCTGTCGGCTGGCCTGGGCTGTGGCTGCTGTGGATTGTCATTAGCTAAGCTCCATCAGAGATCCTTCCAGAAGGACATACAATAAACTAGGTGACTGCTTTTAGGAAGGTGAGCTGGCAAAGCCAAAGGAGGACAGGGAGAGAGAAACTTCCTTCTCTCTATATACATTTTTTAAAATGTTTAATTTTATTAATACATAATTATTATACATATTTATGGGGTACATGTGGTATTTCGATAAATGCATACAAGGATTGAGTCAGGGTAATTAGCATATCACCTCAAACATTTATCTTTTTTTTTTTTTTTTTTTGAGATGGAGTCTCGCTCTGTTGCCCAGGCTGGAGTGTAGTGGCACGATCTCGGCTCACTGCAACCTCTGCCTCCCGGGTTCAAGGGATTCTCCTGCCTCAGCCTCCCTAGTAGATGGAACTACAGGCATGTGCCACCACACCTGGCTAATTTTTGTATTTTTAGTAGAGACAGGGTTTCACTGTGTTAGTCAGGATGGTCTCTATCTCCTGACCTCATGATCCACCCACCTCGGCCTCCCACAGTGCTGGGATTACAAGCGTGAGCCACCGCGCCCGGCCCAAACATTGATCATTTCTTTATGTTGAATCTCTGTCCACCTTTTTACATCTTTTGAATACTGAGGCACATACAGGTCTAGTCATAAGCCGCATAAAGCCATTTCAGTCAATGATGGACTGCATATGCAGCCGGTGGTCCCATAAGATTTCCCACTATATTTTTACTGTCCCTTGTCTACGTTCATATACACAAATACCTACCACTGTGTTACACTTGCCGAGGGTACTCAGCACAGCCACATGCTGTGCAGGTGTGGAGCCCAAGAGCACTAGACTATTCCAGGTAGCCCAGGTGTGCAGTAGGCATGCCACCTAGGGTTTTTTTTTTTTTTTTTTTTTTTTGAGATGGAGTTTTACTCTTCTTGCCCAGGCTGGAGTGTAATAGCATGATCTCAGCTTACTGCAACCTCCACCTCCCAGGTTCAAACGATTCTCCTCCTGCCTCAGCCTTCCGAGTAGCTGAGATTACAGGCACACGCCACCACGCCAGGCTAATTTTGTATTTTTAATAGAGATGGGGTTTCACCAGGTTGGTCAGGCTGGTCTCAAACTCCTGACCTCAGGTGATCCGCCCATCTAGAACTCCCACAGTGCTGGGATTACAGGTGTGAGCCACCAGGCCTGACCAGGCCTAGGTTTGTGTAAGTCCACTAGGATGTTCACATGACCATGAAATCACCTAACGACGCAGTTCTCAGAATGTGTCATCATTAAGTGATATAGGACCGTATTACTACACAACTCACACATTAAGGTGAAAGAAACCAACATCACCAGCCCCTGAGCAGCCTGGCCACAGGCCGTGCTCCTGGTGATGTGCTGACTCAGAAGGCTCCCATTCCTGAGGCTTCCGGCAGATAATCAGATAATCGATAGGACCTGGTCACTGCTACATGCACAGGGATGGGCAGGGTGGAGAGAGAAGCTGGGAAGAACCTGGCTTCAAGCCTGGGTGACTGGATAGCTGGTGGGGTCCCAAACCAGGAAACACCGCAACACATGGAAATAGAGATGTCATTTTCTTTTAAGAGCATGGAGGCAAGTATTATTTACATAATCTCAAAAGAGAAAAGAAACACTTATTGTGGTATTTTCCAGAATTCTCAAGCCGGGGAGGTAGGGCGAGGGTGCAATAAAGTCACACCTGGAAACCAGGCCTGAGCTCTTGTTCACGACAATAAATAACCACCAACATGGCAGAGCCCCATTTCCCCACAGCATGCGGGCCTCGAAGCCAGGCGCCTGGGTTCCAATCCCTGCTCCGTCGCCAACAGCACAGAGCAGTGACTGCCCTGGGCCTCCCTGCTGCATCAACAGCACCTTCCCAGGGAGGGCTTGGTGAGCTCACCCAGCCTGGCACTCAGCACCACAAGGCACACAGGAAGGGCCCCTGTCCCTGCCCTCCAGAACCGTATGTTACAGTTGCTGCCACCACTCTGTGCCTGCCACATGCACCTACCCCACAAGGGGGCACCATCACCATCGTTCCACCTCACAGGCTCTGCAGGGAAGGTCCCAGTTGGGAGTCTCATGGCAGGTGAGTGACCGGCCCATGTGGGACAGCGTCTCAAGGAGCAGCCTGGGAATCCGGTGCTGGGCCTCTCTGCAGGACTCTCCATGCTTGTCAGCCCCCACGACTTGGGCACCATCCACCCCTATCTGGATGGTGGGCTGCACACCCTCGGGAAGGAGCCTGGGGCACAGGGGGTGTGGTCCACCTTTCCTGAAGCCTGTGCACTTGCAGCAGCCCCACAAGTAGAGATTTCAGGTCAAGTGAGAAACTCATCCCACAGGGAGCTCTGCCTTGGCGTGGGGTCTGGGAAAGGACGAAGAGGTCTGAGGCCAGAATGGCCCACTTCTCTTCCTGTCTTCCCCTGGGTGGACCAGCCTTGGTCACCCAATCTCTCTCACCCCAGGAGCCTGGATAGGCCTCTTCACTTTACCTTGACTCCCCGCTGTCCTCCCCAAAGGTTCTAGGAGTGGATAGGTGCCCCGTCCCACAACCTCTGTTACAATGATCGGTCAGGGACAGGAAGGTTACAGAGCCAGCCACAGCCGGTCCTACGCCCTGAGATGGAACTCTCAGGAAAGAGGAGCTCTCTTCCCACTAGGGTGGTTAAGACTGCATCCCATTTCTAGAGCTACTGGCAGCCATCCCTGCACCCATCAGGAGGGAACAGCCTTCCGCGAATGAAGCCAGCTCAGAGGAAAGCCAAGCTCAGATATTTTATTTTTTAGATGGAGTCTCGCTGTCGCCAGGCTGGAGTGCAGTGGTGTGATCTTGGCTCACTGCAACCTCTGCCTCCCAGGTTCAAGCAATTCTCCTGCCTCAGCCTCCTGAGTAGCTGGGACTACAGGCACGCGCCACCACACCCGGCTAATTTTTGTATTTTTAGTAGAGACGGGGTTTCACCATGTTGGCCAGGATGGTCTCCAGCTCTTGACCTAATGATCCGCCCGCCTCGGCCTCCCAAAGTGCTGGGATTACAGACGTGAGCCACTGTGCCCGGCCAAGCTCAGAGATTAAAGAGATATTGTTTGATAAAGAGATACTGTGCCTGACACCACACTATTCAGGACCCTTCAGACCCATAAGACAACAAATCTCCTCTTTTTGCTTCAACCATTCTGCCTCAGGCTTCGAATTTAGGAGAATTCCAAGCTTCGAATTTAGGAGAATTCCGTCTTGCCTCTCATCTGGTAAACATTTCCCAAAACCTATTTTTTGGGGGGTCCCCATCTGTCACCCAGGCTGGAGTTCAGCGGCTCAATCATAGCTCACTGCAGCCTTGCACTCCTGGGCTCAAGTGACCCTCCCACCTCAACCTCCCAAGTAGCTGAGACTACAGGCACACCCTACCATGCTTGGCCAGTTTTTTTTTTTTTTCTTTTTTTATGTAGAGACCGGGTCTCAGTATGTTGTACAGGTTGGTCTTGAACTCCTGGGCTCAGGTGATCCTCCTGCCCCAGCCTCCCAAAATGTTGGGATTACAGGTGTGAGCCACCAAGCCCAGTCCCCAAAACCTACTCAGGCCAAGCTCTGTGCTGGCACTGGGGAGACAGGGATGGCTCTGAACTGGTCCCTGCCCTCCAGGGGTTCTTGTCTGGCAGGGAAGGAGCACACAGATGATGCGTGAGAGCGAGGAGGGGGCCGTGCACGCACTGGACTGAGGAAAGGCCAGGCAGACAGGTAGAGTCAGGTCTCAGGGGCCGCCCTTCAGCCTTGTCAAAAAATCTGGACCTCTCTTGGGAGAATTTCTAGGATCATTGGGGGAAAAAAAAGAAAAGAAAAATAGACAATCTGGACCTCTCCACTCATGGGGCACTGTGCTCTGGCCACACCCAAATTCTTCCCGTCCCCCGAAGGGCCCGGTGCTTCCCAGCACCTCACATTCTCCCTCCCCTTTACACATTACACGGTACATGCTCTCACTGCTTACTACTTCTTCAATTCTCAGCTTAGGGATGCCTTCTCCAGGAAGCCCTCCCTGATCCCCACGGTAGGTCAGGCCCCACCCTCTGGGCTCCCCGTCTCAGCCCTGTCCCCTCTGAGTTGTCACCATCTGGAGACCTGTGTGTCTCCCCCACTGGACTATGAGTCCTAGGAAGACAGCATGGGGTGGTCTGTGGTCCACACTGTTACCCCAACATTGCTCCACATGGGGCCAGCCAGGCACAGAGAAGGGGCCAAGACAGGCACAGAGAAGGTGAGTGAGCGGACAGAGGAGAAGCTCACATCTGGCCACTGCAGTAGACCCTGAAGGTAGATGGGGATGTTCTGGCCAGGAAGGGCCCGGTCTACTCCATGCTTAGGAAGATTACTGCGGGGACTTGGCCCAGTGAACAAGGAAGCCTGCAGGCAGGGGAGAGGGATGCCAGGGCCTCAAAGCTGCAAGAAGCTACTCATGTAGTGAAACACGTTCTAAAATTCTAAAACATGCCCTAAAGCATTCCCTGCACAGAATGGTGCGAGCAGCTCTTTACTGAACCCCTTCCCTACCAGGCACTCTGCCAAACACTCGATTACTGCATTTAATCCGCATCATAATCCTGCAGAGTAGAATTTCCAGCCTCTACCACGCTACAGAGGGAATGGTCTTCTGAGGCCACACCTGTGGGAGCGGACAGAGGGAGGTTTGAACCAGAGCTGTCTGTCCTGCATCAGTACCCTGAAGCCCTCAGGCCCCGGCTTCAAACCGGACAGACAGGTTGTGGGAGCCTAGAAATGCAGCCTTCTCGAACTTCAAGACAGGGAGGCTGCCAGAGAGACTGTCTTTCTCTGTTGGGTTTCCAGGATGTGGAGAGCGGGTCCTGCCCTCAGCAAGGATGCGCTCGTAGGTTTCTTCCTGGTGCCTGCAGGAAGACCCAGCCTCCAGAGGCCCTTCACAGGTGCCAGTGCTGGGCGGGAGAGGTGTGGGCACCTGGTCCAGCCTGGGGTGCACTCACCCCTGGGACAGCCCCCAAATGCCTCCAATAGGCAGTGGCCCAATCCCCCACAAGCCAGCTCTGTCCCAGAGCCTTCTGCACAATCAGTGAGACAAATCCAGGGGCAGTGGCAGAACAGCATCAAGGCTATGATGGAGGGAGGGAGGGAGGGGACATGGAGGCGGGGAGGATGGCCAGGCTGGGATCAGCTGCAGCGGGAGGCATCTGGAAAAGTCTCAGAGATGACAAAGATGCAAAAGGCGTCTCTGGCAGAGGGAACTTTGTGAAGAAAGTGCAGGTGCAGGAGGCTGCCTGATGCATCTGGCAGTGAGCTGCACAGATCGGGACCTGGAGTGTGAGACGAGAGGGGTCAGCAAGGAGGCTGGAGGGGTCAAGGTCCTGCTTATGGAGCACGGGAGGCAAAGCATGCACATGGGAGAGCTGCATGGCCAGACCTCACTTGGGGGTGCTGGGGAGGGGCTGCTACAGTCATTGAGGTCCTGATCCTTGCCAGTGGCAGAGCCATCTGGACACAGTGCCTCAGGGTCTTTGCACCTGTTACCCCCTGCCCAGAGCACCCCTCTTCCTCACACCCCAACGGCTCCTTCCCTCCCTGCCTGCAGGTCTTCACTCCCAAGTCACCTCCTCAAAGGCCTTCCCTGGCCACCCTCCAAAAAGTCAGCCCCTTTATCACTATGAATCCCTGCTTCCTTCTCTAGGTGGCACTTCTCATGACCCAGCAGGAAGCGTACTGATCTGTGCATTTATGCTATAATGAGGGGAGAACTCTTACCCCTTTTGTTCACTGAAATATCCCCAGAAGGGTCTTTACTGGGCACACAGTAAGTGCTCAATAAATATGTGTTGACTGAAGGAACAGGAAGGTGGGGCTGGGGTGGGTCTCTGGAGTCAGCACAGGTGTGAGTCCCCAACTCAGACAGGGCCAGCTGGGTGAACTCAGGGAAGGTCCCTTCTTGTCTATGGCAGGCTTTTGGGTGCCCTGCACTCAGGCAGCGAAGGTGTGCACGTGATGAGGTCACCAATGGGTGTGCTCAGCCCAGAGCCAGCCTGGGGCAAATGCCTTCTACGCACCTTCACTAGGTGTCCAGTTCCGTCCTCTGCTCCCACAATGCCACGGCCTCAGTTGGGGGGCAGGGGAGGGACAGAACCACACAAGGCCTCCTGGGGCCTGAAATAGGGAGGAGGAGGCAGAAGAGTACCCACAGAGCTTTCTGTGGGAACCCCACACCCCCAAGGCCTCGCTACCTCTGCGGATGTGCTGCTGCACGTCTCTATCCCTGCAAAACCACACGTCTACACTGCCCACGTGGAGACCATCCTCACTCCCGCCTCCAAGCCCTTCCCCAGGCTGCTCCACACAGAATCAGAGTCTGATCAGTCATGTAAGCCCAATGCAGTGGGCTTCCCAAGGGCAGGTATTTCTCAGGGGAGTATCTTTACTGAAAGGGGCCCCAGGGCAGCCTGATATGTAGTCAAACCCAGATTTCTAAGTCCAATCCTGGAGCAACCACAGAATGACGCCCGTGGAGGCCCCAGCACCCCACCGCGGGCATCCAGAGGCCCCTCAAGAGCAGGGCTCACACCAGCCCCTGGACTCCCTGTATACACTGCACACAGCTGCCCACACATCTCTCAGGTCCTTGCGTGAGGACCCTGTATATTCACTGCGTGGCACTGGTCAGGTTTCCTGGGTAGAAAAGGCTCTTCCTGCCTCTAACCTTCTTCCTGTATTTGGGGAGCTCCCTACCTAGGGAATCCAGTGGCCTCAATCCCGCCCATGCGAGGGCCCAGCTGTCCTCCTGCCTGGTGACATCCTCCCCACACATTCCCTTGCTACAAATTCTGCAGGGGTCTGTTTCTGGGCTTACAGCCGAGGGCCATGGCTGACACATGCACTGCCTCCCATGGCAGGGAGACAGACGCCCTGAGGAGGAAAGTCCCTCATCCCAGAGTGTGAGTGTAAATGCAGGTCTGTGCTTCTGACCCCCTCTTCCAGCCACTGCCATGCATTTCCCAACAGTAATCATCCCCACGCTCTCCCACCACTCCTACAATCCCCAGTGGCACTCAGCAGAGAGGCATGGGGGAAGAGAACAAACACTGCTTGGGGCCCTTCTACTGTGCTTTACCGGTGGAGCCGTAACTTTGCGCCCACTCCCAAAACTAAGCGATTGACAAACTCGATCTCGTTTCCACTTCCTAATGGCCCTGAGAAATAGAAATTATCTCCCCAACTTTCCAGGGGACGCTTAGAGATGAGAAAGGACCTGACCAAGGACATGGTTCCGTCTCAAAGGCAATTTGGCAAGACCAGTCAAAAGTACAAATGTGCGGGGCACAGTGGGTCACGCCTGTAATCCCAACACTTTGAGAGGCCAAGGCTGAGGCAGGTGGATCACCTGAGGTCAGGAGTTGGAGACCAGCCTGGCCAACATGGTGAAACCCCCGTCTCTACTAAAAATACAAAAATTAGCCAGGTGTGGTAGCGGGTGCCTATAATCCCAGCTACTTGGGAGGAGAATCGCTTGAACCTGGGAGGCGGATGTTGCAATGAGACAGCGCCACTGCACTCCAGCCTGGGCAACAGAGCAAGACTCCATCTCAAAAAAAAGTAACATGCATATACCCTTTGATTAGCAATTACACACCTGGAGATTAATCCTACAGACATACTTGCAAAGATGAAAAATCATACATGTAAGGACAGTCACTGCAGCAGCTTGTGAATGCAGAACCGGAACCAACCACAATATCCACCAGCAGGGACCGGCTAGCTCCCCAGAGTTCATCCACGCAGTGGAGCCCTGCCGCCACAGAGAATGAGTGTGCGCTCTCTTAGCCAACAGGGAACAGGTTTCAAGACACAAATGAAAAAAGCAAGGTGCAGAACGGTATGCTCATGAATGCTACCCTTTATGCAAGAAGTGGGGAAAGCCGGGTGCGGTGGCTCACGCCTCTAATCCCAGCACTTTGGGAGGCTAAGGTGGGCGGATCACAAGGTCAGGAGATCGAGACCATCCTGGCTAACACAGTGAAACCTTGTCTCTACTAAAAATACAAAACATTAGTCAGGCGTGGTGGCGGGCACCTGTAGTCCCAGCTACTTGGGAGGCTGAGGCAGGAGAATGGCGTGAACCTGGGAGGAGGAGCTTGCAGTGAGCGGAGATCGCGCCACTGCACTCCAGCCTGGGCGACAGAGTGAGACTCCATCTCAAAAAAAAAAAAAAAAAAAAAGAAGGGGAAAATAAAAAATCTGTGCTCCTCATTTAAAAGCAAATGAACACAGAGATGGAGTAGCCAGTGAAGCAGCCGGGAACCAGGAACAAAGAGGGACCCCAGGCCCTTCTCCGGGCTTCCTGGCAGCCCCTAAAGCCCCTCCTGGGGCGGCGGCCTCCTTCAAACAGCAAGGTTGTGCGGGGTGCTGGGGGGTGGAGCTGGCTCTTCTCTGAGCACCACACCCACCACCTCTCATGTGTGCAGAGCCACAAGAGACACAGCCCTACCTGGCCACTTTCCCAGTGGTCTGATCCTGGGCCTGGGGCAGATGACAGTGGAGGACAGAGGGTGCCGGCTTGGGGCTGAGTGTT